>NC_000002.12:197186587-197489618 GCF_000001405.40 Homo sapiens
CATCACTATGCCCGGCTAATTTTTCTTTTTTTTTTTTTTTTTTTTTTTTTTTTTTTTTTTAGAGACAGAGTTTCACCATGTTGCCCAGGTCTCAAACTCCTGGGCTCAAGTGATCTGCCCAACTCAGCCTCCCAAAATTCTGGGATTATAGGCATGAACCACTGCGCCCAGCCTAAATGTGTTATTTTTTTTAAAAGCACATATATTACCATATTACAAAGTATATTTTTAATATTTGGGTAACTGTATCTCAATAACTGATTTCCATTGTAACCCTAGATATTTTATTTCTTATATAGGGTTTAAGAACAGTGTCCTGAGAAACAGTCTGGAGCTTTCACCAGATATCAAGAGTCCATGGTATATAAAAGGTTAAGAGTCCTTTCCTGCTCCAGGCTAACAGGGCCTGAGTAGCAAAACCACAGTATCTCTTACCAGAGTATTCACATCTTCAGTTTTATGGATGAGCATCCGGATCTCCTCTGGATCACCGCTGAAGATTGCCTGAACCAATGGTGGCTGCAAACACAAGAGAATGGGAATCAGAACTAAAATTAATACATCTGATCACATACAGATGCAGATGGTGAGAAGATTTGTTCCTTAAAAGTTTATTGAACCATTATCAGTTGGCAGACAAAGATGAATAAGACTCAGACCAACCCTTACAAGAAGTCCAGTGGGGGAGATATTTACATAAAGAAATAACTATTATACAATCTGAAAGCCAGGCCAGATAGTCTCTAACCTGAACTATGAACTACAGTGAATGTACCATGAACACCACCCATCACTGAAACTTTGATAGGCCCTTAAATCCCTGACAAGGAAACTACTAAATCTGTGGTTTTGTGCATACAATCCCTGTTATGAATTGAATTGTATCCCCACCAACATTGATATGTTGCAAGCCCTAACCCCCAAAGCGACTGTATTTGGAGACAGGGCCTTTAAGGAGATAATTCAGATTAAAAGAGGTCGTAAGGGTGTGGCCCTGATCCAATAGGACCGGTGTCTTCATAAGAAGAGGAAGAGACACCAGAGCTCACGTTCTCATTCTCTCTCTCTCTCTCTCTCTCTCTCTCTCTCTCCCTCTTCTTCTCCCTCTCTCTCTTTCTTCTCTCTCACACAGGAGGAAAGGCCATGTGAAGACACAGTGAAAACGTGGCCGTTGGTAAGCCAGGAAGAGAGGCCTCACCAGAAACTAACCCTGATTTTGGACTTCCAACCTCCAGAACTGGGAGAACAAAAATTTCTGTTGCTTAAGCCATCCAGTCTATAGTATTTTGTTATGGCAGCCTGAGCAAACTAAGACAGTTCCCTATGATTCCTCTACTTCTTGTTAGACAATGTTCCTTGTTATCCTCAAATAATTCCATTCCTAGAGGATGCTAATGGCCATGTTTCTGGCCACCGGAACACTTTTGTGTCGGTATTTGGAAAACCCTTGAAATCATTCCCAAATGCCTCCCATAGCTTTAGCCAACAAGTACTGTCTTAAACATGATTACATCTACTGCTTATTAAAAGTAAGTGGCACGATGGCAGTTTAGGGAAGAAGAGGGGGGTGTTACCAAGCTCTTATTATTGAACTCATCTACATTAAACAAGACCCCAGCATGCAGTAGAAGGATCTATATAGTGTGATGGAAACACAACCAAAAGAACAGCTAGCTCCACTTGGGTAGGAGGCTGGGTGAAGACAAGGGTGTATCCAAAAAAGCTTAAGGAAGGCACCTTAATGAATAAATATGATTTGCTGACAGGGAAGGAAGACAGAGGAGGTACAGGTGTGCAAAGGTGTGGATGTGCAAAGAACCTGATATGTTACTGACCAGAGTGTGGGGTAAAAGAGGAACAGTGGCAGGCTTTAGGGTTGATGTTGGGCTTGCCTGCATGGCAAAAAATGCTATTCAAAGCCAGTCTCACACTTGCTAGCCACATGCAAAGCCCATTTCTACATGCAACTTGGGGGTGAGCATGATCATCGCTGCCTAACCTCCTCATGGGATTGTTATTAGGATCAAATGAGGTAGTACATGAGAAAATGTCCTCTAACCAGACAACCCTACATAGATGTTTTCATTAAGAAATGTTTCACGATGACAAGATGGAGTAGTTGATAATTTTCTTTTAACCTTAAGATCCTTGGTAATTATGCACACACACACATTCACCCAAAATTCTAGAAATATCTTAGTCCTAGTAGTCGATTAGATGACAGCAGTTTCCCCAATGTGTCTGACCATAAGAATCACCGGAGATGCCTATTAAAAAAAATAGTCCCAGATCCCTTTCCTAAGGATATAATACATTCAGGGTGGGGACCTGCAAATCTAGATTTTAACAAGTACCTATCAATTCTTAGGAACTGGTGGCAAGCACTGGCCTCAGGTGAAATCACTAGTGTCACATACCTTGACCTCACCCTGTGATCTGCTGTTGGGAATGTGAGTTGTCATTTTCCCTATAAACCCTCTTTTCTCTTTTTATCCTCCTGTTGGCTTTCTTACAGGTTATGTTGCTGTTTATTGCTAGTTTGGGGGACCAATATAAGTACTATCAGTAAGACAGAGTAAGATTCCTTGAGGAAACACTATGTAAAAATGTCAAGGTGCAGAATGGATATTTCAATATGCCAGGAATTTGTCCATGGGTTTCTCCTCTGCCATAAAAATTCCCAGCAAATGAACATATATCTCTTTTTCTTTCTCGAAAACACCCTCTCAATTCTGCTTCTTGACAAGGTGTATGGATAGTTTCTGAAATTGCCAACAATTAAGTAGCAGGAAAGAAGTCTTGAAAAGAATACAAGTTTACTGCTAGTTCAGTCTTAGCTACTTACTCTGCTTAAAGACAGGCAGATCCTTCCACACTCCCCCTAACTACCTGCTAACCAAGTCTCCGTTCGGGTTACATCTGCCCCGTGGCAAGGACCACATTTCACACAAGACACAGAGCCAGACACAAATTCAGGGTTTCGACAAAAAAAAATATTGAATCTTGTTTATCTGCTCCATAATTCTCCATCTGCTGTGCTCATGGCCAAATGCTCATGTGTGCATTTCTGCCTTTTTGGACCTTAAAAGAAAACAAGCAACAAACCTCCACAACCAGAGAACGATAAGTAGAGGCAGTGTCTGACAAGATTTTCATGTTAAATCAGGAGTAGTCAATCAACAGCTGAACAGTTAAGATTCCGGGGAACAAACCCAACACAGTAGTTAATGCACCACTACTTAGTCACTTTAAGGGAACATAATGAGGTGAGCAGAGTCTCCCAGTTGCGAGTGTACGGAATACATACATTCTGTTGCATTCACTCCGTCCTCACACTTCTGAAGAAAGGCAAGCATTCCAAGCTATGGCTGGAATGTTACCAAGGAGAGGCATCCCAAAAAAGCTTCCAGAGAAGGGCGCCAGCACAGTCCTCAGCAGGGAGTGGTGCCTCTGGGACTAATGCTGCTAAAAGCTACTTTATAGAGAATTGTCAAGGCACAGAATCCCCAGGAGCCATTAGGAAGAAGAGGCTGAGCTATCATTATAACTCTTCCAATACTGAAGTCACATATATGCATACATATGCACCTAGGTACATATGCATACCTATCTACACTCAGGCATGCATGCATAGAGACACATGTTGAGTCATACACAAACCCCTTCTACTTCCCGTGGAATAAAAAAGCAGCTGTTCTCCACATCCCAAAGCCTTGCTATATGGACATCTCTAGCTCAACTGTGCCATGTGGCTACTGAGACATCGCCTTCACAATTATGAATTTAAGCATCATGGGATTTCAAACTAGAACTTCACAGATAACGTGCTTTGCTTCAACTGAAGCTGTGTGTTTGTATGGATATAATTACTGAATGGAATGCATAATGATTCTTGAGCAAGTAATATTTATTTTTTAAATATTATGACTGCTTCTTCTTTTTTTCTCTCCACACTCCCAAAAACATTCCCAGAGAGCACTTTGGCACTCCTTTTTGTTGGAATTTTAATGAGATCCTGCTGTTTTATTTTTCCCCAGGTAAACACTTAACCTAAGAAAAAATATTGGGGAAAAGATATATCTAAATACTATATTATATGATGTTTAAGGCAAAGAATATTCTAATTACAATATTCTTGCTCATAAGTATTAAGGACATATATTCTGTTGTTCATTAATTTGGCAACCATCATAACTTTTGCAGCTTTTGTCTTAACTTAAATAAGGCTTAGAAGCAAAGTCCTACCTGCACAAGAGCAGAGTCCCAAGCCTTGGCATATACAGATATTTCTTTTTAAAGTTTCACACATTTTAGCACTAGCATATATAACACGAGTGCTTTGTGTACAGTAGGGTACAGAGTTGAATAAATACAAAATTGTAACAAGGGTCAAAATTGAGAAAAACAAATAGTGGTAGGAAAAAAGGAGATTCAGATACCATGAAATCATTGATCATCATCCCCTAAAGAAATTTAAATTCCTAAGAGAGGTATGCAGTCTTTTTAGCTTCAATTGCTAGAATTTTCTTAGCATGCTTAGCAGCTGCAAAATGATTGTCAGTGCTGCAGATATTGGTGCAGTGCCTCTGGTAGATTCAGAAGACAGAAGGACACTTCCTGGGCCAAATTTACCAAAAGCACAAGTGGGATTTGTTGTTCAGATGGGACCTGTCCTTGCCTTCAAAATCACCAACAACTAGCCCCCTACTACCTTTCCAGGAGTGTTGACGGCTGCCTTCTAGAGGTGAATGTCTGCCAAGCTGATGACACTTGACCCCTCTAAGATAGAAATGGGGAACAGAAAGACCCCTTGATCTTATAAATTTTGTAGCTGAACTTGCTAACCCTTGGAACTGAAATCTAATCAGCCGAAAGCCACTTTCTCTACCCACATCCCCTATCGGCACATCCAATAAAATATTCTGTTTTTATTCTCACCCTGAAAACAAACTGGGAAAATACCAGACTTCCAAAAATAAAATGCTAAATCAAATATGTACTAGGGATAGTTATTCTCAAACTTTGAAGTAGAGTCAAAATTCCACTAGGGGGAGCAAGATGGTAATTTGTTACCTGGGAGGTAAAAGCAAAGGTTCAGGATGTGTAATTAAGGAAGTAAGGTAATTGAAAAATCCACTTCATTAAAAACATAAAAGAACTCAAGCTTCTGAAAGAGTTCTTAGTCATAAGTAAACATGCACACCATGCACATACTAAAACAAACAAACAAAAAAACACCAAACACAAAAAATTCCTATTGATCCCTGAGGATCCAGGTTTTAGAAATAAGAATAAAACTATCTAAAACCTACGTGCTAAGGTATCATTTTCATCATCTGTGAAATCCAATTCAATTATTATGTCAATTCCATGAAAAAAATATGCTACTGATGTCATCAGACACACCCTCCATTTAAGAATGAAGCCCATCATGGGTTCTACAAAGAGAGCCAAGCTAGTTTAGAGTATCCACTCCATCCGGCTATGAAGTCATCAATGCCCTCCCACATCCCGCAAAATCCCCTAATGAAACCACCATTTTGATTTTTGCTAAAACCACTGTATAGTATATTTCACTTTCCCTTTGCCAGAGTTGCATGCTCTGTACTAATGAATTGGCTTTGGAAGATAGGCAGAGTGACAGAGGCTGTCATTGAGCATTGGTAACTACAGTCAATGGTAATAAGCCCAAGCAGCATCCAGGGATGCTCCAGCATTTCATTCTAGATCCTGGTGTGTTGCTTGTGTTTTTCTGATTAGATCGGGAAAATAAAGACTCCAAGTCTAAAAGAAAAACATTTTGCATTCCAATCAGAAATGGGTGTTGGGAATCAATCAATAGCCAAGAAGGAAAATTTGATATTCCTAAACATCTGTCCCTCCTTGAGCATTCTGAGTACATATGTCATTAAAGTAAGATGGGAGTGTGTTATCAGTAGCTGATAGCTGATACAGCAATAATCTAGCCATATGAAGCCATCAACTTATATGAACAAGCTGAAACACTTCGTTAGGTAACAACTGTTTTTTGTAGGAGCCAGTGCTTGCACTTTTGTGAAAGGATAATAAAAATTTGTTCAAGTCACTAGATTTAATGAACAAAACCTGCTAACTGAATTCATGTGAGTTCTGCTGTATGATCTCCTGCAAGGATTTCATTGAGTTCTTCCTGAATATAGATCACCCTTTACTTGAGAAGTTCACTCCATCCCAGAAAGATAATGATTATCATAAAATCAAAATCTGTTCCTCTTAAGTACCATAAGGACAATACAAAAATATACTGAGTCCTTATAAATACATTTTTTAAAAAATCAGGGAGTGAGGCAGGACTGCATGTCTGAAAATGTCTCCTACAGGCTATGCTGCAGAGTAAATATATATAATATTTTCCATTACTATTAAAAACAGAAAAAACATAAAATTCCATGTTATAGTCATGCCCTCCAAGTAGCATATTTGTTAACTCTATATTTAACATTATGAAAAAAGAATTACATCTAATTAGAAAATGGAGAAAATTAATTTATTACCTAATCTTTTCCCAATGAAAATAACACATGGGTACTGACTATGAAATAGTTACTCAAGGACCAACTACCCCAATTACCCAATTTTTGGAACATTTAATCCTTTGTTGCTCCTTCCTTTCCTGAGATTCTCTTTGGGTGTTTCTCTGCTCTTTAATACCACTAGTTATCACCCTCACCCGATGGCCAACCCAAAGTAAAACAAAATTCAACTTTGTTACCAGTTACAGACAAAAAGTTGGGCCAAAGGAAGTGATGGAATAACAGTATCAGTTAAATTGAAATCTGGAGGCAATGTTAATTTTTATTGATTAAAATGTTAATTTTTATTGACCTCCTTTTTTTCCATAGTAGAAAGATTAATGCTATGGTATCAGACTGACCAATTATTAAATCCAATCCATTTCCGTTTCAGTTTTCTCATCTCTAAGATGGGGTTACAATAGCCATTTTATAGATGTGTTTAAAAAATAACGTAACGGCCAGGCGCGGTGGCTCACACCTGTAATCCCAGCACTTTGGGAGGCCGAGGAGGGTGGATCACGAGGTCAGGAGATCGAGACCATCCTGGCTAACACGGTGAAACCCCGTCTCTACTAAAAATACAAAAAAAACTTAGCCGGGCCTGGTGGCGGTCGCCCGTAGTCCCAGCTGCTCAGGAGGCTGAGGCAGGAGAATGGCGTGAACCCGGGAGGCAGAGCTTGCAGTGAGCCGAGATCGCGCCACTGCACTCCAGCCTGGGCAACAGAGAGGGACTCCATCTCAAAAAATAAATAAATACATAAATAAATAATAAAAAATAACACAACATATGCAACACCCCCAGCACGGGGCCAGATGCCTGGTGTGCACGCAATAAAAACAGGGATGATTGTTTACCTTAACAAGCTCAAAAACCTTCATAGACAAGTACCTTTATGTGCATCCTAAAAAAGGAAAAATAAGAGATCTTGAAAGATTTCCTAAAATACTACAGAGTAAATAAATTGAGTTAGGATTATAACCCACTCAACACCACCTCTAAAGCAGAGGGGCCCATCATATTGGGAGAGAAGCTTTTACAGGCCTGGGAGCAAAAATCAAACTGAGCATGACTTGGCCTTTGTTACACTCAGCAACCTCGAAATTGTCACACAGTCCCTCTGTACTCAGAAGTCTAATCTATAAAGCCAATAACTCACTGAACTAATACATCATTTCTTCTTGACTAATCAAAAGGTAACTGCATATATTCATGCCAGCTTAATGGGACCTGAGATTGTAATTTTACTACTTAAGGTTGTCATAAATACATGTAGTTACACCTTTCTTTTGTGATCTCCTGATAGACACAAAGGAAATGAATTCCCTGTTTGGAGCTGTGACGAAGTCTAATGATTTGCCTGTTAGTGACAAAGTTGAGACTAGAACTTAGTTTTCCTGATTCTCGCAGCTTGGTACTTTCTCTCACATGTAATATAATATATATATAATTCATGATCAGAATTCAGCTTCAGTTTCAACATACCTCCTATGGAGAAATATTATACACTAAGGAAAAAGCTGCCATATATGAGATACATTCTCTCTATACGTATGCATATATATTTACACAAATAGTGGCCAAATGCATATACATAGATAGATAGATAGATATAGATATAATTCCTTGCAACAAAATGGCTAACAATAAAATAATCTTACCAAAAGACAGAAAACAAAGGGCTACAGTCTTTCAAAGTTGAGGGGGCTCCGCATGGGTCTGAGTTATAAAGATGAAGAAGGTAGGCACTAAGCAGAATTTTGAAGGATGAGACTGGGGACTGGAGAGTAAATCTTTCATGTTGGAAAATAATAGAAGATGAAGTTAGAAAAATGAATAACTGGGTGGGGGGAGCATCACATCAGCATAAGAAGCTTTAACCTAATCTTTTTGGTGCAATCATATAGCTCATTACCACCTCAAACTCTTGGGCTCAAGCGATGCTCCCACCTCAGCCTCCCAAGTAATTCAGACTATGGGCACAGGCCACTGTTAAACCTGGTGAATTTTTAATATTTTTTTGTGGAGACAGGGTCTCGCTATGTTGCCCAGGCTGCTCTTGAACCCCTGGCCTCAAGCAATTCTTCTGCCTCAGCCTCCCAAAGAGCTGGGATTACAGTCATGAGCACTGTACCCAGCCTTTACCTAATCTTATGGACAAACAGGAATGGGGGTCATGAGCAGGAGAAAGGAATAGAGTTTTCCCAAGAATTTAATCTGGCCAAAGTGTACACTGAGTACTGGAGAAGGAGAGATTGGAGTTAGAGGCCCAGTTAGAAGGCTGTTGCTACAATCCAAGCCATCACAGGAAAGAACTTTCCCATCTTTTTTTTAATCACAGTCTCCCCAGGTGCTACTTACAGGGATACGGTGAAAACAACAGATATAGTTTTTGGTTCTTTAATGTCTGCTCTATTCCTGGATGCAATTTTGGCCCAGCATCTTGGCCACTTTCCTTCACTCTTTATATATAGCCCAAATCCCTTGCCTCCGAAACACTAATGTTTCCAGGTGAAACTGAGGTTACTTCCTTTAGTTCTGGAACATTTCCATTTTTTCCCCCACAGAACCTCTGCGGATGTAAGCTCTGTTTTGTCAGACTTGTCACTTGATCGCTGAATTTAAATCATAACATTTCAAAAATAGGCCACATCCATAAAGAGAAAGGCAAATCAAAACAAGGCAGACAGCCTTTGCCAAGTGCCATATTTCTATCAGGATCTGCTGCCAACTACCCACAGATTTTTTCACTCTGTCTAGTTTCAAATGGCTTGAGATCAAACCTAAACTTTAGCTAAGATAATTAAATTGTGTTGGGGAGTTAACTTTTAAAGAAAGCTAATTTGGGCAAAAAGGACAATGGATCCAGGAGGTTAGTTCATACAGAACATTTAAATCCATGTAATTTTAGTGAAACAAAAAGAACAACTATATATACTTCTGCAACAGTTTCCTGTTTTGAAAAATTGGTATAGAGGTTTTATTTCTCATCTTGGCTTGGGTTACATTCTTTGTATAACTGTATCTTACTGCATATTGAATTCATGTAGTTGCAAACATGAGAGGTGGATTTAATAATGTTAATCAATATAAACCACTTTAGTGATCTTTGTGGGGAAAAAAGAAAAATGGCCAGAAGATGATTTTCAGGGTTGTAGGTATATTCAGTATAATTTATTTGTCTGTTCAAATAGAGACAGCAGTTCAGTTTTAGGGTGCACTGGAAAACATGACTTTTTATTACTACCTGGTATGTGCATCACTTATAAAAAAGACAACAATAAAAAAGTATTCCTTATAAAAAATAGCAGAAAATGATCCATAACTACAGAAGTATCTTCTTGTGGTCATGAGTAATTTTAATTTTTGAGAATCTCACAAATTGGAAGCTAAATAAAGCAATTCAAGTGTCCTTTAAAAACAACAACAAAATCAGCATGTAGAAATGAAAGGTACTCTCAGAAAGGTGGCAATCTCCTGCTACATTTGAGGAGGCTGGAACTACTGTATACAAGATATATGGATTAACTCAGTCACATTAAATCATTCATGATTTAGGCAACTCCAGATTGGGTTTGTCTAAAATCTGTTAGCACCTGGGTTCTTTCCAAACACCAGCAAGCAATTTTTACACAATCAGGTCTTTCCAAAGCCCATGACAATTTTCCTTTAAACCCTCTCCTTCCCTTCTACTGTTCTTTTCTTTGAATTCCACGTGCATTCTTGGAAAGACAGCAAGCAGTTAAACTCTCACCACCTCTCCACAGGTGAGGGACTAGGGACATGTGTAAAACGGAGTCACCTTCCTGTTCTGGCCATTGTCAATTTTTTTTTTCCTAAGGCATCTTGTTATAGCAACCATTCTAAAATTGTTATAGCAACCATTCTAAAATTTAAGGCAGTGGGTTGATCAGGACCTGAATTAGTTTCTGCCTGAGATGACTGGAAGGTCCCCTACTCCCTCCCCAGCCAGAAAAAGTCACATGGAATGAAAATCTATTAGAGAATCCCCTCAGTGTAGTCTTTCAGGAAGCATCTTCTCATTTCCCCATCCAAAATCATGGTAAGGACATCCAGTGACAGATGTCAAAGGGAAAGGATAAGGCAGCAGGAAGAGAGAGGAGCCTAAGAGACTGGAAAACATTCGATAATATAAAATGGGAAAATGGGAAATTCTGCAAAAAAAAAGAAGTCATATCATATTTCCTTTCACAGACACCAACCCAGTGCGTAGCTCCTTTATTTCTTTACACACTACCCCCTCCAACAGGGGATAAAAGATATGTTTTCTAAAACTTAATTTGGTACATTTCAGATAACCACATTCAATTCAACAAAGATGTATTAAGCATAAGACATTTACTGAGCATAAGAAATTCAGACACTGGAGGCCGGGCGCAGTAGCTCATGCTTGTAATCCCAACACTTTGGGAGACCAAGGCAGGCGGATCACTTGAATCCAGGAGTTCCAGACCAGCCTAGACACATGGTGAAACCACATCTCCACTAAAAATGCAAAAATTAGCTGGGCACGGTGGCGCACACCTGTAGTCCCAGCGACTCGGGAGGCTGAGGTGGGAGAACCAACTGAGCCCAGGAAATTGAGGCTGCAGTGAGCCATGCTCACACCATTGCACTCCAGCCTGGGTGACAGAGTGAAATCCTGTCTCAAAAAAAAAAAAAAAAAAAAAGAAAGAAAGAAACACAGAAAAAGAAAAAGAAAGAAAGAAATTCAGACACTGGAATGTCAGAGTCAGTCTCTCCCTTGATGAGGTTACCAAGGTGTAACAGGAAGTATACAAATACGCACAGCTAGAATGTAAGGCACAGGCCGCAGGAGAAGTGCATGGAGAAGGGAGAGAAATTGTACCTGGCCTCCTGAAAGACGCAGCCTCTGAAATGAATATTGAAGACTGGGGAGGATTTAAACAGGTAGAGACGGATGGAATGGTAAGGGACTTTCCCTTCTTCATATTCAGAAGGCTGTGAGCAGAAGCTAGGGAGCCTGAACATACACAGGGAACAGTTTCATTTGGCTGGAGGAGGGGAGAAGTGAGGTAAGCTGAGTAGTAGACAGGGATCCTATCATGGAAGGTCTTGAATACCAAGCTAAGAAATTTGAGCTCTCTTCTGTGGAACTGGGGGAGCAGTGGGTGGTTTTTGAGCAGGGGAGTGACCTAAGATTTGTGCTTTAGAACAATCACTCTAAAAATGGATTGTATGATGACCTGGAGGAAAAGGCTGGAGTGTCATAACAAGTTAGGAAACTGCAATAATAGTCTGCACAAAGGGCTCTGGGGATGGAGTACCGCTCAGTTGTCAGAGGAAGCATTCTTCTGGTGGTAATATGTGAATCTAAAAGGTAAATTTGACCGGGCATGGTGGCTCACGTCTGTAATCCCAGCACTTTGGGAGGCCGAGGCAGGTGGATCACCTGAGGCCAGGAGTTTGAGACCAGCCTGGCCAACATGGTGAAACCCCGTCTCTACTAAAAATACAAAAAATTAGCCAGGCATGGTGGCGTGCCCCTGTAATCCCAGCTACTCGGGAGGCTGAAGCAGGTGAATCGCTTGAGCCCGGGAGGTGGAGGTTGCAGTGAGCTGAAATCGTGCTACTGCACTCCAGCCTGGGCGACAGCAAGACTCCATCTCGAAAAATAAAAAATAAAATAAAATAAAATAAAATGTAAATCTAGCTCCACCTTTAATGTAGCAAGGGCTAGCCTCCTCAGGAGTGGCTGCCTACATTCAAAACGATTCTCACCAACTTCTTCCACAGGACACAGGGCTCGGGAGCAGCGCCAGCCCGACATCGGCGGAGGAGCACCGGAAGTTCTGCAGCACTGGCTTTCTTTGCTCTTCCACCTATGCAAGCTCCTTCTCTCTTGTGGCTTGCCGAGCCTGGTTAGCTCTGAGACCGGAAGTTCTGAAGTCAGCTGGCATCCTACATCTGTGCAACCTACTTCTCTCCCCATCCCACCACAGAAACCAGAGCCTCGAGGCTTTTGGCTTGGGTGCTGCCTTCACAGTTTAGGTTTTGGTAAGAAGAAAGCTTATCTTCATGTCATGAGAAAGAAAAAAAAATGTATCTTTACGTAACGAGCTGAAAGAACAAAACAAGTATACCTAAGCCAAGTACATGCTATCTTTATTTCTTTATTTCCACACTGAAATTTAGTCAGGGATAAAACTTACTTTTTTAATCACACGAAGTTTGAAAAATAGGAAGTACTATGGGAAACACCTAATGCATCAAAACCCCTGTGCATTTTATCTTTGTCTTATGTTTGCTGGATTTTAATCTTAGTAGGTTTCCTGTTGCAACAATACAAAAACAGATAAAGAAAAAACTTAATAACCTTTCCTACCACAAATGTGAACAGCCCGTGTTCTTGTTGGTAGGTACAGATACAGATATATGAGATTATCGTTATTTATTATCAGAAAATGGGATTTTACTATTTCCCACACACACACTTTTTTTGAGATGGGGGTCTTGCTATATTGTCCAGGGTGGTCTCAAATTCTTGGGTTCAAGCGATCCTCCCACCCAAGTATCTGTAATCCAAGTAGTCTGGATTACAGATGCATACCACCATGCCTGGCTTATTTCCCTCTCTTACAATTTGCAAAAATAATGATGTACTGAGGACATCCCCCAGGTCGATAGCTACAGGATTAAATCATTTCTCTTAATAACTATATATAATACTATTCCATTGTATGGATATGCCATAACATATTCAATTATTCCCCTTCGAATGGGCATTTGGGTTGTTTCTAGTTTGTACCACAACAAACAAGCCTCTATCAGTGCTTATCCACATTGCACAGAGAAGTGCTACCAGAGCCAAAAGCATTTTCTGAGTACCTACAATATGCTATTTTTATGAAATATACAAAAGAAATGTGTGACATAGTCCTTTCCTAAAAGACTGCCAAATATAGTTGGGGAAATAAGCCTAACCCACACAAAACACTTAAACTGTGTAAGACAGTACTGAACCATGTTCTACAGACCTCATGCAAATGGATGCCAAGTTGTCCTTCTGCACAATGACAGATTGGAGAGGTAATCTGGAGGTGCCTTTAGCCATAATATTCTAGGAGCCTTCTTGATTCAGAAAAGGGGAAGCATGAAAGGCTAAGAAGCCAGAGTGGTGTCTCTGGAGGAGGCAGGACTTGAACAAGGCCTGAACATGGTTTAGATGGAGGAAGGAAAAAAATGTATTTTGGAATGACAAATGAGGCAGGGCACAGCACTGACTTTAGACATGTATATGCTCAGGAGAATGTCCTGAGTTACAGCATTTCTAAACACCCTCTTCTCATACTCCTCCCACCACCACCACTCGCCAGACTCTGCTTAAAGATATAAAAAATTCCCAAGCTTGGCTGCTGCAGAACATCACACTAACACTAATTTAAAATGCACTACTTCCAGACAGCACGAGCTTGAAATTACCTCCAAATCTCTTCCTTCCCTGTCCTTCTCATGCCCTATGCTACCCCCTGCCAAAACACATACAACGCTTGCTGTGCCCTTCAAACAACAGTAGTCATTTAAGCTGCTCCTGCCCATCTGGAAAATAATATGAATAACATGAAAGAAAGCAATAATGAAGTGACTGGAATTTAGCAACCAAAAAGACCTCAGTTCTTTTGATAATCAAAAACTTTGTTAAAATGTTTACATCGACAGTCACTACAGTGTTGGTCTTTCACTCTATGTTGCAATAGTATGTTTGCAACTTCTCCAAATCCATTTAAATGAAAATATTTAATAACAAGTTTTAAATTTTATCAATTGTTAAATATGATTTGAAAGTTTAGTGTATGTCCTGATATATAGTATGCCTTGAGACTGAATATAAGTAGCTCTATGGGAAAATTCTGAAAATGAATTAGGAATAAGTAGATTAATGTGCTTTTAGTCTCAAAGACTAGAGATTAAAAAGGCATGGGTAATTTTTAACTGAGAGGTGGTGCCACAGAGAAGTCTATGATTCTCTCTTTTTCATTACCCATCCCAGTTTAAAATTAGCTTGCAGCATGTTTTTTAAACATTAGGAAAACAAGATGCACTCCCAGAATGTTCATGTGAAGGGCACGTGTGAAGACATAATCTTGACAGTCATATTACAGAAAATAAGGGAGTGAGTTACTGAGTTTTTAACAAGGAGAGTAAGTTACTGAGTTTAAATAAAACCTAATTTGCTGTGTGTTTTTATTTAGCAGAATTTTGAATGCCCGTTGCCTCCGTGGCACTAGGCAACCACAAAGGCAACTGAGGTCTGAGACAAGGCATCAGGGAGATAGGATCCTTTGGCCTCCTCTGGCCCAACTGACATAACTGAGGTTGGTTCCTTTCCTGGTATCCACACTCCCCTCTCCTCACCAACAATCCCCCTGACGTTGGCTCTGAATGATGTGGAGACCCTGTTAGTGTCGTCGCATGTTAAATCTAGATTTGGGAATCTGCACTGCACACCTTATGTCAAAACTCAGAGCTGTTGTTTTTATATTTTGTTTTTGTGTTTTGTGTTTTTATTTCAGATGCAGGGGATACATGTGCAGGTTTGTTACACAGGTATACTGTGTGATGCTAAGGTTTGGGCTTCTAATGATCCCATCGCCCAAGTAGTGAACATAGTGCCCCATAGGTAGTTTTTAATCTCTTGCCCTCCTCCCATCCTGCCCCCTTTTGGGATTCACAGTGTTTACTATTCCCATCTTTGTGTCCTTGTGTACCCAATGCTCAGCTCCCACTTGTAAGAACATTCATAGCCACTGTTACCTCATCACCATGTAACATTCCAAGGGTTTAAAATGCACAATACAATCATAGTTCTTTTGAGATCATGGTTGACTGTCCTGACAAAGGAGAACTTTTAGCTGCCCCTCCTCCACCCAGGGATAGAAGTGGACTTGGTGAAAGGCAGGTGGCCTGTGACAGCAGTGGCCTGCCCAGGCACGCAGAGGCTTGCTCTCACTTTTAGAGTACTTGGTACATTTGGCACTGTGCAGCAACTTTTTGCTTCTTGAATTGTGACCAATCAAAAATGATGAAACAAGGCCATTGAAGGGAGTGGAAAGAAATTAACTGATGCGCCAGGAGTCCTGGTCTACCCTTGATCAGTAGGTGTTACATAACGGAGGGCAAGTCACAGAGCAGGCAGAAACCTCTGTTTTCTTACCAGAAAAGATAGGTCCAAAATGATCGACTCCTCCAAGAACAATAAGGGAAAAGATGAGATTTCAGATGGAAAAAAAAAAAACCCAATAAGGGGTGGTCTAGGTGACTATAATCTCACTCTGCCAGAAGAGCTAGACGACCAAGCTTGATGCACACAGCAGGGGAAGTAGCAGGACCAAGCTGCTCAGAACTGGTCAGAGTAGTGGACAATTTCGTGCAGATCTTACAGGCCTCTTTTTTGTTTTTTGTTTGTTTTAAGATAGGGTCTTGCTCTGTCCCCCAGGCTGGAGTGCAGTGGCATAACCACAGTTCACTGCAAGCTCGACCTCCCTGGGGTCAGGTGAGCCTCCCCCATCAGCCTCCCAAATAGCTGGGACTACAGGTGTGCACCACCACACCCAGCTAATTTTTCTAAAAAATTTTTGTAGAGAGGGGGTCTCGTCATGTTGGACAGGCTGGTCTTGAACTCCTGGGCTCAAGTGATCCACCCGCCTTAGCCTCCTAAAGTGCTGGGATTACAGGTGTGAGCCACCACGCCTGGCCTTTTTTTTTTTTAAGACCTAAATGGATGCAGAAGAAATTTGGCTGATGTTTTTTGGCTGGATTGCATATCAAAATCCCCTGGGAAACTAGGTCCCACCCCAATAAGCCTGAGGTAGTGTTAGGGATGCAAATCCTAGCACAAGCGCTTGCAAAGGCTCTCCAGGTGACTCATACAGCTTCAACATACATGCAGCACTGAATCTGATTCTTCATCTCAATACCTTCGAAATCCTACTCCTTTGACCCCACAGTCCCTCTTCAGGGAGGCTGTCCTATAGAAATAATGAGATATACAGACAATTTTTGTATAAAGATGTTCATAACAACACTATTTATGACAGGAAAAATTAAAAGGGAACCAATGTCAAAGCTAGGGAAATTATTGAGCAAGTTATAATATATAAACCAAAAAAGATATACAAATGGCCAAAAAGCACATGAAAAGATGCTTAACATCAGTCTTTAGAGAATATAAATCTCTAAGAACTACTTCACCATTTCTGGTGTGTGTGAGATACCATTTCACACACACTAGATGGCTAAAACAAAACAAACAAACGAAACCCAGAAAACAGTGTTGGGAAGAATGTGAAGAAATTGGAACATTGCTGATTGGAATGTATAATAGTGCAGCTGCTGTGGAATTTTATTTAGCTATTTAGCTTGGTAGTTCCTCAATAAGTTAAACATGGAATTACCATATAATTCAGAAATTCCACTGCTATGTGTATATCCCAAAGAACTGAAAATAGGTGTTGAAGCAAAAACGTGTACCTAAATGTCCACAGCAGTACTATTCACAACAGTCAAAAGGTAGAAACAACCCAAGTGTCCACCAACCGGCATCAACTGATGAATGGATAAACCAAATGTGGTACAGCCGTAGAGTAAAATATTACTCAGCCATGAAAAGGAACAGCGTATAATGATAGATGCTACAACATGGATGAACCTTGGAAACATTATGCTAAGTGCAAGAAGCCAGACACAAAAGGCCACAGGCTGTATGATTCCATTTATATGAAATAGCCACACATAGAAACAGAAAGCTGATTAGCAGTTACCAGGGATCGGGAGGGAACGGGAAGTGACTGCTTCATGGATACAGAGTTTCATTTGGGGTGGTGAAAATGTTCTGGAATTAGTAATAATGGCTGCACAACACTGTGAATGTACCTTTTAAAATGGTTAAAATGGTAAATATCATGTTAGGTGTATTTTGCCACAATAAAAAAAATTATGATACATAAAACAGAATATTTTACTTATTAAAATTGGCCTTTTGAGGGAGTTTAATGAGATGAGGAAAATGTGGAAAAAAAGCAGTCTATGAAACTATATACAGTTTGATCTCAGCTTCATAGCATATAAATATGCACAGAAAAACAAGGACTAGAAGAAAATTTATAAAAATGCTAAACAGGGTTATTGGCAGATACACTTTCTTTTTTTGTAATTTCCAAATTTTCTATAATATTATGTTTATTATTATTGTTAACTATCATTTTTGTAAACATAAAAAGAAAAATTTTCTTTAAAGATGGGACCACTGACACTTTGCATCACAGCTAGGAAAAGAAAATGAGAATAACGAAGGGTCTGGAAACATGTGACATAATGATTCAGGTAGGGGGCTAGACAAGAGCATAGAGTGGTGAAGGCTGCAACAATCTGGAGAATTTATGTCCTGTCCAAAGATAAAATTGTGGCTCCAGATCTTTTGAGTTTTCAAGAGATGCCAGAGCTCCAGACGTTTCAGTGAAATGCCCTGATTTTTAAATGTTGGCAACTTATTCAATATTTTTCAAACACCACAGGCCAAACAAAACACATCTGTGGACCGGATGTAGCCCGCAGGCTCCAGTTAGCAAATTCTAGTTTATAAGAACAGGAATGTTTAGGCTGGAAAAGAAAAACCTTTGAAGGGATATAGTACTAGTAACATCAAGTATCTGAAAAATGACTATGTGGAAGATGGTGTAGGTTAATTCATGTGTCTCTAGAAGGCAGAACCCGATCTAAAGGCTGGGTGTTATCAGAGAAGCAGAATGGGGCACAGTCTATAAGGGAGAGGTCTCTATTAGAGCAGCTGTCCAGCAAGAAACAGCTTCAAAATGCAGCGAGCTGCCCATCCCTGATGTGCTCCAGCAAAGGCTACATAACCAGGATTCCTGCTTTGGGTCAGAAGTTGGACTAGGTCAAAAGCTCCCAATTGTGGCTGCACATTAGAAACTTGAAACAAAGCATACAGACTCCTGGACCCTGTCCCAGAACCACAGAGTAAGGTCCAGGAGTGTGTATTTTTAAAAAGCATCCCCTTTGGGTATATACCCAGTAATAGTATTGCTGGGTCAAATGTTATTTCTGGTTCTAGATGATTTAGAACCACTTAATCTTTGACTGTAACACTGGAATTCTAGTATTCTGATCCATGGTTTTACCCACCTGGCCAGTAAGGAAGGGAAGGAGGGATTGAGGAAAGGAAGAACAATGTACCAGAGCTCATTATGGAGCAGGCCCTGTGCTGCTTTCCTTATGTCATCTCACTGTATTTTTCAGAACAACCTGGTGAGTTGCGAAGTGATGTCCTCCACCCCATTTCCCTGAGAAAGAAACTGGGGCTTGGGGAGTTTGGGGATGGCCCAAGGTGACTGCCAGTCACTGGGAAGATCTTTCCAGCTCCAGATCCCATGCTAGTTCAACTATGCCATATTGCCCTCTTCTTGCCCACTCAACAATCATTTCTCCAAGTGCCGATGGTGGGCCAGGCAATGCATTAGGTGGCAAGGATTCTGCAATGATCAAGATACAGTCCCAGGCTCAAGAAGCTTCGAATCTAGAGAGGAGGAAGAAAAGTAAACAGTGACATCACGGTGGAAGCAACAGGGTCATATGGGAGGGACACCCAACCCAGCCTTGTGTCATCAGGGAAGGCTTCAGAGAGGAGGTGACAGCTAAGCTGGGGAAAAGAGATTCCTAGGTGAAGGTGTAACATCTACAGAGACCCAAAGATCAGAGGGAGCCTAAGCCTACCAGGTGTGGGGAAATGTGACTAGTTCAGAGGCTGGAGTGTGGGATGCAAGGAGTGAAATTGTAAGGTGGGGCTGGCCACGCTGAGACTTTGTCACTAACCTCAGAGAAACAGGAAGCAAGTAAGACTGAACAGAAGGGGGTGACATATGCAGATGCACATTTTAGTAGCTCAGACTGGCTGCGGAGAGGAGAATGGATTGGCGGAGAGAACACAAGGGAGGCTGTGGCAGTCATTCAGCTAAGAGGGGATGACAAGCCACACAAAAGTGGTGGCACGACAGAAGATGTGCAGCATAGAGATGATGTTTTTTCACTCATTCTTTCAGTAAATAATATTACAGAGCCCTTCTTATGTGCTGGCCATTCTGCCTAGGCTGGACATACAAGCATGGGTGAAAACAAACATAGTCTCTGCTGCCGTGAAGTTCACACTGTTAGCGCTCTGCTAGGGAAAAGATGTTTAGGGAAGTAATTTCAAAAGTATTAAATAAGGCAAGGCGTAGTGGCTCGTGCCTGTAATCCCAGCACTTTGGGAGGTAGAGGTGGGCGGATCACCTGAGGTCAGGAGTTTGAGACCAGCCTGGCCAATATGGCAAAACCCATCTCTACTAAAAATACAAAAATCGGCCAGGCATGGTGGCACACGCCTGTAATCCCAGCTACTCGGGAGGCTGAGGTAGGAGAATGGCTTGAACCTGGGAGGCAGAGGTAGGAGAATGGCTTGAACCTGGGAGGCAGAGATTGCAGTGAGCCGACATGGCGCCACTACACTCCAGCCTGAGCGACAGAGCGAGACTCCTCCGTCTCAAAACAAACAAACAAAAAGCATTTTGGTTGATTATGTTATCAATAATAACATAGTAGGGAAAGGATGTACAGGACTGGCTCCTCCATCATCAATTGTCAAAGAGTCATTAAGCATAGGAGTCACATAAGATAAATCTAAAGAGTTATTGCAAGGCCAGTACTCTTTAGAATTACGTCCCTCATGTTCATACATAACAGTGTCAATCAGACTGTCTGCTCTCAGTGTATTTCATTCAAGGAAAGTAAGAAAAATTTACCTACATTTTAATTCATCATTCTTTGAAGAGAAGTGATGGATTTAAAAATCGTGATAAGATTTTAAGCTAATAAATTAGGAACATTCTCAAAAACTTACTAAATGTGGCCGTGCACTAAATTAAATTAAAACTCTTCTTGTGGCATTTGAGATTGTTGCTAGGTGCTGAAGAAGCAAGTTTGGATCTACCCCAAAATTGGCCACAGAGCAAGCAACTGGAAAATCATGGCATGGAGGGAAGGGGGCAGGTGTCTGAAAACTGTGCTATCAATTTATTCAATAACTCCATTCAGGTTGCAGTCCTAGTTCACCAATGAGGCCAGGACGTTCTTACCAGAGTCCTCATTGTTTAAATCACAGCCACAACATTCTTTTAATTCTTTTAGTCTATCCCAGTGTAATAATCACCCATGATTAAACAGCTGTGCCTGCGGATGGCACATTAAGCTGCTTCTCTTTTAGAGGTGATTTTTATTTTTTGCCACCTCTCAGATGACCCCTCTGATTTTTATCATTCTGGCATCTCAAAGGCCAGCAGAGAAAAACATATATTAGAAAATGAAAATGTTCCCTTCCCTTTCTGTTTTTCTCTTGAAACACTACTCTTAACACCAGCTCACCACTGATCTCAAATCACTGAGAAAGATCCTCTTCTCGTTTCTTCCTTTGCCATGGTGCTCTTTCATGAGATTATGATAGACCTTTCCCCAGTCCACCAGGAAAAGGGAGCACACACCCCAGATTGGTAGCACTGAGTCAAAATCTGCTTGCCCAGAAATGTTATAGAAAAAAGGAAATCATGCCCCATATGGGTTGAATAATCCCAACCTTAACATTTGGCAACTCAAAGAAAAACAGAAATGAGGAAGACACATACGAGTTCTTACAAGCCAGCCTCTAACACAACCAGCTTTTTAAAAATGTACTGGATTCCTAAAAGTAAAATTCTAAAGTCTTCCTCCCCCTTCTATAAATTGTACAGCCAGGAAAGAAGAGGCGACACCAAATGGTGACAGGGAGTTTTGTTGCTATTATTGGGCTGTTGGTTTTATCGTAGTATTACATAGTATTGATGAACTTTTAAAAAATCACTTTCCTCGAACTTTCTAAATATGTTACTGTCAATGCTCAAAGAGAGGTCTGAGATTTGTTACGTATTTTAGACATCTTCTAAGTAACTCCACAGAAGACTCTCAAAACAAAAGCGTGACCTCAACCTGCCTATAGGTGCCCTAGTGGAGAATGCTTGATACCAGGTGACAACCCCCACGCGCCCCAATAGTGCAAGAACAAAGTGGAGGCCAGAGAAGGGGCTGGTAGTTTCTTCTTAGTTCTCAGAAGGCTTATATGATGATCCACTCACCTCTCCTTCCACCTTAAGGGAAGAATGGAAGATAATAAGCAAAACTTCTAGAAAGAGCAATTAGCCCTTCAACTTCTAATATCCAGGTGGTTCAGTTCCCAGTGAGAGAGGTAAGTGGGCAATGGTAAGCTGTGCCACACACCAGGTATCTTATTTTTCAAGAATAGCTTTCTTGGCCAGAAGCAGTGTGGCTCACACCTGTAATCCCAATCCCAGCACTTTGGGAGGCCGAGGAGGGCAGATCACGAGGTCAGGAGATTGAGACCATTCTGGCTAACATGGTGAAACCCCGTCTCTACTAAAAATACAAAAAATTAGCCGAGCGTGGTGGTGGGCGCCTATAGTCCCAGCTACTCGGGAGGCTGAGGCAGGAGAATGGTGTGAACCTGGGAGGCAGAGCTTGCAGTGAGCCGAGATTGTACCACTGCACTGCAGGCTGGGCGACAGAGCGAGACTCTGTCTCAAAAAAATAAAAAATAAAAAATAAAAAAAAGAATAGCTTTCTCTTTAATGCTTTCACATGGGTTCTAATGGTAAGCTTGGAGAAGAATAACCTGAAATCCCATGTAAGTGCCCCATTTTCTCCAGGCTATTTGTCTGCCTCTCTCAGAACATAGTGTGATTCATCCATTAGGCTATCTGGAAAATAGGCATTTAGAATAAAGGCAAAGGGGATATAACAGGCAAGACTATTAGAGGTAGCTCTAAGCTTTGCTTTGTGCCGCTCAAGTGATTCATGAATGCAATTCATTTCCTTGCCTACAGTTCACATTCTCATGGCTGTTCAGAGATGAAAAGACAAGACGTTCTGAGTAGTTTCTTCGAATAGACCAAATCCTGATGCTGTTTATGAGCCTTGAGATAAAAAAACTCTGACTTCATAGCAACTCTTAATTATGTGAATGTACACCAAGAATAGGATAAATATAAAATCTATAGATAATCATGAAAAACAAGTTTTAGTTGGCATCCTGCTTCAGCCCTGCTAAATCATTTACCAGAGTAAACCTGGCTTGAAAACACTTTCAATTCCCCAACTGCTCTCAAGTGGGAGTGCAAATGAACAGAGAAATGGTGGGATGGGAGTCGGAGAAAGGCCTGACAAATATGTAGTCAGAGCTGCCACATCCATTCCTGTGCCTTTAGCAGACATCACTAATCAAGCATGATACTCTTTTCCATCTTGAATAAGCACAACCTTAGACTCTTCCTCAGCACTCAAGCAGTCCAGGCAATCATTACCAGTCAATAACAGCTGGCCCATTTGCCGTTCCAGTTTAGGAGAAATCTGGATGATCCACCAGTTATGTCATCAGTTAACTTTTAATTTCATCAAGAATTAAACATTGGTTGATTGGTCTTTCATTTAACTACTTCATTTTCCTCTAAGAACTAGGATAGTTTATGGAAATTGTCATGAAAAGCTAAAGCACATTGCTTCTAAGTTCTCTAAGATGGACAGATAAGCATGCTGTATCAGCACACAGCACAAGATTGTCTTGTGAGTCAGGGGAGCAAAGAATCAGATGAGGGTTTAGCCTAACAGGGAGTGAAGATATGACTGCGGCTAGAAGTTGAGGGCTGCTGGGGACTGGGTACTTGGAGACCTCACTTGGGGGAATATGGGCAAAGCCAGGAACCGCACAGAGACCACAGGAATCCACTCCTACTACCTAAGAGACGTCTTACAGAAATTCCTTTGAGTTAAAGTTTCCCCTGTTGAAATCACCTCTGAGTGAGTGAGGAGACTATCTTTCAGTCACACCTTAGTGGAGAATGTTTACTTAGGTTGTTTTTTCTTGACTCCTAAAAAAAGAACAGCAGCAAGAGGAAGTTGGGTGTTTCGAATGGAGACAAAGAAAGAAAACAAATGTGATTTGAGGCCTCCTAAGAAGGACTGTCTTGAATCCAATGCTGGGCTTGAGATGTGTTGAGAAGCACTTATTGAGCTACTACTGTATGGCAAGCACTTTTCATACATTATATTGCTTCCTCTTCACCCCTAACAGTGAGTTACGATTAACATCTTCCGTTTACAGATGAGAAAACCAAGGCTCAGTAATGTAAGTAACCTGACTGATGTTATAAAGCTAGTGAGGGGCTGAGGTCCCATCCAGACCAAGATTTCTCTGACGCCAAAGCTTGTTCTGTTCCCATTACACTGAGCTGGTTCCTCTGGGAAAGCATCAAAGACACACTTGGTACACTCAGAAATAAATGTTCCTTAAGGCCAATGCCTATCTGACTCTAACACCTTCTTCCAGAGATTAGGAAGGAAGCAAATTGTCCTCATGCAAGGCAGGCCTTAAGAGAGAAGGATCACCCCCACCTGTTGGAACATCTTGTCTTGGAGAGATTAGGGGGCCACGGGTTGTGGACTGGAATGGCATGTGTCATCCTCCTTCGGCTCAGATATCATTCCTCCCTTATGGAGAGAGGCAGCTTCAAAGGGGGTCAGAAACAGAAACTGAGCACAGTGAATGAGAGGCTGGAGAGGCAAATGTCCTCCTGCCACCTTTGATGGGGCAGAGGCATCCATGTGGGGCAGGATGTGCTCTGTTTGGTGGTATTGGAGAGGGGGTGTCTAGAAGCTAGTCCTGTCCTGCTCCATCAGTGGGGTTTACCTGGGGATCACACACTCCCTCATAGTATGTAGACGCCACTGTGCACCTGCATGCCGAGAAAAGGCAGCGGGCCAGGAGGACCCCCTGCCTCTTCTCTAATCATATCCCACCCACCCCTATGCCATGACCTAGGCTGCAGCTGCTCTCTAAGGACTCCTTGGTCCTGCACCCTCAATATTCTGGGAGATCACAGGAGTTGCCCTTTGGGCAGATCCAAGGACACCCAGGAGCAGCATCACCAGCACACGTGGGCAGGGAAGGCATAGTTCCTGCCACAGAAGCAGTGACACAGGGAGCAGGATACCTCCAGGGTGAGAGACAACCCAGGGATGTTGTGGGGAAATGGGGAGCAGGAAGAGATGGCAAGTAACACACACTCAGTGTTTTCTGCATATCCCAGTGAATCCTCCAACTATCCCCATTCTGCAGAAAATTTCAATAACTTAGCCAAGGAGCCAGGATCAACCAGGTACTTCCACCAAAGTACCTGTAACAGAAGACAAGAGTGAACGTCTTTCCCTACATGTCTGCCTGAAAAATACGTTTTTAACTTAACATTCACATGAATTTTACAGTCTAGTGCTGCCTTAAGATATCCATGTTCATTTCAATGGAAAAATAATGTCTTTAGTTAACTAACTTAAAAAAATTAACCATCTGTGAAATCACGCTAATCCCATGAGTACATTTCTCAGGGGTACCACCTCGAGGGGCACAAGAATCTTGGGCCAAGTCAGGGCCACACCATCCTGCTGCCCCAGGCACCATGAGATGCTCCTTCTTTTCCCAACTTGGAGGTTCCAGGTGTTCATTAGGAGATGCAGCAGGTTATAAACCATAACTCAGAGAAGAGGAATAGTGGGGGGCAGCAAGCAGGAGACGACGCAGCACAAAGAAGCCCCAAGAAAGGTGATCGACAGATCCAGACCAACAGAGCCAAAGGAACACAAGCACCTCGGGACTCCAATCACTTTGCCCTCCTCAGGTTTGTGACCAACACTCCGGTGATGAAGGGCTAGTAATCAACAGTAAGCTCATGCACGGGAATTCCCTTCACTGAGCCTCTCTCTCTCTCTCAGTCTCTCTCTCTCTCACACACACACACACACACACACCCCACAGCACCACTTTGGGGGAAGGAGAGGAGATATTGCAGAGCTAGAGTTTTGGAACTGGAACAAGGAGGGACTTTCTGGTGGATCAAAGTATGCTAGAGATCAGGCAGTACTAGAGCCAAGAGTTTGCAACCAGGCAGATAGGGATCCAGTGGGAGCACACTGGCACCAAACACGAAAGTCATCTGGCCTCTGAAACTGGCTTTTATGAGCCAGTAAGTGTGTGAGCTTAGATCATGGATAATTTTCAAAGAAACCACTTGTATCACACAGTCCCTATTCGAGAACCCAAAATGCTTCTGCACTAAATATTTGAACCCCTATGTATTTAATGGTTATCTAGTCAGTCCATTGTTGCCTAGACAAAGGCAAATTCTCAGGAATCTACCAAGACCATAAGTTTTAGAAGGGCAGGGATTCGGTCACTGTGGTCACCACTATATCCCTAACTGCTAGCACATAGTAGGCCCTCAATAAATCTCTGCTCATGATTCATTCACATTCATTCAAAATAACACATTTGTTCACCCTGCCTCTTCCACTCTCCTTTTATAGGGAGTATTAACCAAAAAGGTTATTGCAGGCTCTCACAGAAGAACTTCTACATGAGTAAAAATTCTGCATCACAGCAACTGCAGTGGTGTCATGTCAGACATGTTTTTGCTCAAAAGAATTCAGTTAACACCCACAAGGAAGGGAGGTGGACACGTACACACACAAACACACACTTCAATCAGGAACTCGGTGATCACATGCCCACGGTGAGAGAGAAAAAAGGAAACACGACCCCACAGCTTCCTCTGCATCTCATTCCAGAAAGCTTTTCACAGTGTGAACATCTCACAGAGCTGACTGGGATTCTAGTGTTTAAAGAAACATATTTTTCATACAAGTTGGCCCCTAAATGCAAGCCAACTTCTTATCTGGTGCTCAAAGAAACAGCAATGCGGCTCCAACTCTGCAGGCCAAAGTGGCTGTGTTGGCCTCCACAAGGGATAGTATACAGGCCTCCATGGTGGCACCTTCCAAAGAGATTTTCAAGAGTAATTTTGACTCTACAAGACTTCTACCTCACACATATAGGGGCTTAGCCACCCAGCGAGCTATGACCCCTCTAACACAGTCTGGTATATCACCCAAACAAGGTTAGCCTGAAGGAAGGAGAAGTTCTCAAAGGAGAGCATTATACATCTTGTTACACAAGCGGTCTATAAAGTAAGTCTGTTTAATGTAGACAATGTTATTTTTGGCATATCATCTTCCAACCAGTTTTCTGGTTTTCAAAATAATATCTACGAGGTGATTACTCCAGAGAGCCCACTTGGAATTTTTCTGATTTTTTTTCTAATTTATTTCAGCACATGTTATTTCAAGATCTCTATGAAACATATTAAACACATTTAACCTTACCTAAAATAAAACCAACTCATTAGATGATATAAAAAACATCTCATTAGCAAAGCACTGATAAATATTTTCT
This sequence comes from Homo sapiens, assembly GCF_000001405.40. Taxonomy (NCBI): domain Eukaryota; kingdom Metazoa; phylum Chordata; class Mammalia; order Primates; family Hominidae; genus Homo; species Homo sapiens. Next base: position 197,213,556 of record NC_000002.12, read on the forward strand.
CTCTTCCAGCTAAGCATTGCTCATTATACACTTGAGCACTGTGCAGTCTTATCATGCCACAATTATCAGCCTCATACGCTGAGCCTAAGCATAAAACTATTATTGAGCAAATAATGGAATTGGACCTGTACACTGCTAAGCTCCTGTAGACTGGCTCATACAATCTGGCCGATTTATATAGCCAGTTTGAACCAACTGCACGTTTTCATAAACAGGCAATTCTCACACTTTTAATGATCTGATTTATTAGACCTTCTAAGTAAACAAGCTTAGAACTCTTTCTCTTTTTAAAAAGGTACATACAGCAACTTTAAGATATTATATGTGTATGTATCTTGGCAATACTACAGCACCTTTAAGAGGGTATATGTATCTTTGGGAAGATAGACTGTTTTCTAAAGCATAGTCTAGGTTTCTCTAATGCTATGTGAATTTTAGAATCACTTTAAGGCAATCAAGTCACTTTGGAGACAAAGAAAGAATAAGATGAAGGTAGCAACTGAAAAGCAACCTCAGATAAGCTATAGCTATTTTCATATTCTTTACCCCCATAATTTTTGTGGGAAATTACTATAAGGAAATGATCAGAGATGAGCACAAAGATTTATGTTCAGGGTGTATATTAGGGTGTTGGTTATTATAGAAAAAAAACCAAAAGCTTCTTAATTGTCCAATCTCAGGGACATAATAAAATATGGCACATCAAAATGATGGGATATTATGCAGCTATTAAAAATGTCATTTCAAATAATTTTTAAAGACTTGGAGAAATATTTATCATATAGCATTAAGTGACAATTTAAAAAAAACAGTAAACAAAACTATATCCAAGGCCTAGCCTAGTGTCTGGCACCTGGCAAACATGCAAAAAGAATTTTGTTGCATTAAGTAACATATACAATGAGATAGCAAGTCTATATTTTAAGTAAATATGTACATACATACATAAAGAGGAAGAGTAAGAGAAAAAAGACCAAGTCAGTAGTATTTATGTCTTAGTGATTAGATTACAAGTTATTTTCTCCTTTTTTCTTTTGCTCATCTGTATATACCACATCTTACAGTTAATACCTATCACTGATATAGTTGGGAAAGAAAAGAAATGCTATAAAAACTAAATGTGAAAACACACATTTACATGAAATTGCATTTTAAATGGAATTTTAAAAGAGTAATTAGAACACAGAAGCCTGCCAATCCCAGCAGCAACAACAGAAGCAAAGTCTTGAATTGGAAGGTCACATATGCCTGTTCCCAAATAGATGCTCCAAGGCAGGCCAAACTGGAATTCTGGGACTAGAAGAACAGCTGGATTTTTTTGTTTTTGTTTTGTTTTTTTTGAGACAGAGTCTCACTCTGTCACCCAGGCTAGAATGCAGTGGCACAATTTCCACTCACTACAACCTCTGCCTCCAGGGTTCAAGTGATTCTCATGCCTCAGCCTCCCGAGTAGCTGGGATTATACGCACACCACCATACCTGGCTAGTATTTGTATTTTTAGTAGAGACAGGGTTTTGCCATGTTGGCCAGGCTGGTCTCGAACTCCTGGCCTCACATGATCCTCCCGGCTCAGCCTCCCAAAGTGCTGGGATTACAGGAGTCAGCCACCATGCCAGGCCAGAACAGCTGTATTTTTAAAGCAAGTATATGCTTCATTTTTCACTTTGCATCAGAATCTTCTGTGTTGAGATGATGTATAAAATCTAAGCCAAATTGAACTAGTTTTAATTCATACTGTTTACTGAACAACATTAGCCCAATTTTTCAACTGAAGATTTTTCTTGCTTTTGGTAGAGAAAAGGCTATTTTGCATGTCATTGGCTAGGCTTCAGAAACCAAAGGTTTTGGCCGCATGAGGTTCTCTCAGTGCAGGGGGTTAGAAGGTACCAATGCCTCAGTGTAACATTTGAAGTGGGAGAGTGTGAGGTAGTAAATCCATGTGTTTCCAATTTTCCCATCCCTGAAACCACAGATTAGAGAAAATCTCCGCAAATAATTTTTGATGACCTCAAATGGCTTCAATTAAATGAAATCAAATCAAATATTTCTAGTTGAATACTATGTATTGTTAATAAGGATGAAATGTGTTCTTGATCGACCGAGTATCTGAAAAAAAACTATCTGGCTCTTTAAATGATATATATTTAAGCCCTGTCACTAAGTAGCCATTTAATTAAAGTAAATGTCTCAGCATAAATCCTGCTGGCACAGGGTCATGTAGGTTTAAAAATCAACCTGCAATTAGGACTTTCGGCCTAATTATGTGGCAACAAACTTAGCTAGGAGCAGTGACATATTGAGGGTCTTTAAAAGCTTTACACTTTTGTGCCAAAATTTATGATGCTGTTTCCTCCTCCTTTCCTTCTCAATTTGTATGCAACTTCACAACCTTGATTAACAGCAGCATCTGGCAGTTCTCTTCCAAGCAGCTGTGATGTAGAGGAAAGAACACAAAATTTAAAGTCAAACCAATCGGGGTTCAAGGACTTGCTCTGCCCCTTGCTGGCTCCAACTATGCCCTGGATGCCTGTCTTAGTAAAACCAAGAAGACATCACCTACCTCTTCTGGAGGCTTGTGAGGATCAAAAGAGTAACTCATGTGAAGATACTGGGTACAAAGTCGTCATTCAAAATGCAGTCTGGTATAGTTTTCAAATATTAGTGTCCTAATGTGGAAGTAATATGTAAGAATGGTGCTTCCATTCAACAGAGGAAATGAGTCATTTCACCCTAAAGGTCTCTCACTTAGGAAGAGCAGCAATATTTCCTCCATAATTCATGCTATCCAGTAATCCACAAATTTCTTTGGAGTTTCTTCTGTGAACTAATTAATACCCACCAAAGGATCAATGTCATTGCAGGGAAAATCTGTGGCTTCTTAGTCTGTCCTACCTCCCTCCATTTTAGGAGCTGTCCCTCCTAAATCCTTGTGATCCAGATGAAACTGTTCATCGAGACATTTCCCTCCGCTGTTCTCATCAGCAGGGCTGGGTGCATTATCCAGGCTGACCAGAGTGCTTTTTCAGAAATTGATTTGGATTGTGGGAGGAGAGCAAGGGTGGCCCGTTTCTAAGATACTGAGTTCAAAGTGCATGTCATCATTTCTCACTTCCCCTTCTATAACTGGAAGACAGTAGACTTTCCATTTTGCACTAACATCAGCCCACACATAACTACCTTTTCTGGACTTTTTCCAGCAGAAAAACATTTCCAACCTCACAAGCATCAGCGTCCAGGAAGCACTACTTTATGCCATGAAATCTAAGGCAGCCAGAAGGCAGGGTCTGGCTTTGTCAGCAAGCACATTGGTTAAACACACACACACACACACACACACACACACACTCCAAAAACAAAAACACACAGAAAATCACTCCTCTGGGGGAAAAGAAAAAAAAAGGACTCAGTGACCATCAAAAACGAAAAGGCAGAGCTGGCTGATCTGCAAAAGCTCCCAGACAAAATCACCAGCACTCTAAGAGGACTCTGAAGATGAAAAAGGTTTGACTATTTTCTCATCACTGTTTGCCAACTGAGTCTGGTTTTGCTGATGAAAACAGATAATTTCATTTACTTTCCACTTTTTTTTCATGGTCCAATGATCTCTCACATTACTAGGTTATCTAAATAATCACAATTGTCTCCTATTTACTGATGCATTGTGTTTTTCAATCCATCAAAACCAGTAAAGAAGCAAATAAATATCCAGGGTGTCAAATATAACATAAATGCTACCAGGATGTCATTCAAAATAGAGCCATCTTTTAAGGCTCAAAAACCATCCAGTGATTTGGATTTTCACTAAGGTTGGATAGCTCCCAAAATGGATTTTGATGGGGGAACATATCCATATTCTTTAATATGGAAAATGTTGGGATCCTCATAGCCCACCAAAATTCAAGTGATTGAACTAGAGAAAGAGCAGTATTTGCTTGAATGACATAATAGACTCTCCTGCAGAGGCAGCAAAAATAGCACATTCAATTGGGTATCTGAAAAACACTTGAAATTGTTGTATAAAACAACTGAGAAATTAAACAACAGGAAAATGTCTGGGCAACAAGTCCAGAAGAGGTGACTTTCCCCCTTTTGTGCAGAGCTATAACGGTTCTGAGCCACTCATCTGCTCTTTCTCAAGGAACACCCTTGAGATTTTTATCCTTTGAGGTAATAAAAGTATGAGAGCCTCATTTAACAACTGTGGGATCCAGGTTTTCTCATCCGTTAAATGAATGAGTTGGAAGGTATGTATTTTTGTAGGTTCTTTCCAGATCTAAAAAGTCTGTGGTTCAGCACAGAATACACAACTCTCACAGAGTTTCCAAAAACATTGGAGCAATTGGCCCCCAAGGAAAGAACATTCAGCCACAAAGCCCTTCACTCCTGTACTGAAACATTTGTTCCCTCTGCTTCCTATTGATGGATAGAATAAGATGGGCAATAGTGCTAGTATTTACATAAGAGTTTTTACTAATGAAAATCAAGATGAAAATACTAGAATAAAATAAAAGAAAAGAATAATGGTCAAGATCAGGACACCAAAACAGATGGATTCTCATTTGCCTGGGATACTTTAAGAGAGGTCTTCCTCTCCTAAAATGTCAGAGAGATGGGAAGACTATCCTGTACCTGAAAGGATAAAAAAGATATTCCAATAGAAGGAATGAAAGATGTCTACTGAGATTATTCTTCTCCAACATTTTTCCCCTTCCAAATTCCCAGGAGCAGGTGTCTCTGCCTTCTTTAAGACAGCAACTACTGATCCTCACCTACACCCCTCCATTCTCCAGGGATGTCTGAAATACCAGTGGGACTTCCTGCTATTCCCTGCTACCTTTCTGGATCTTAGCTGTACCACTCCCCTTCACCCAGTGAACATGGCATTCTGCAGCCAAAGTGAACCATTTACCTGGGTTTTCCCAGCTTCACATCTTGGCTCAAGCTCTTCTTTTAATTGCTCCCAAACCAATAACTACAGTTGAAGGGCCACTTTCTCCATAAAGCCACCCATGACACATCCTACAGCCCACTTTGTACCTCCCGCATATTTCTGCCATGGACTGATGAAAACCTGTACTTTTGGAGTTTAAGAAAGGGATGGTGAGAAATTAAATATTGACTGCCCAAGGGATAGAGAAAAAAACACAGTTGCCTGATGCCACTTTAGACTTCCTGGTATGGGAGGGTAAAGTCCCTTTTTTTTTTTTTTTTTTTTTTTTTTGAGATGGAGTCTTGCTCTGTCACCCAGGCTGGAGTACAGTGACACAATCTTGGCCCACTACAATCTCCGCCTCCTGGGTTCAAGCAATTCTCCTGCCTCAGCCTCCCAAGTAGCTGGTATTACAGGCACCCACCACCACGCCCAGCTAATTTTTGTATTTTTAGTAGAGACAGGGTTTCTCCATGTTGGCCAGGCTGATCTTGAATTCCTGACATCAGTGACCCACCTGCCTTAGCCTCCCAAAGTGCTGGGTGGGATTACAAGTGTGAGCCACCATGCCTGGCTAAAGTTCCTTTTTTTTTTTTTTTTTTGAGATGGAGTCTTGCTCTGTCGCCAGGCTGGAGTGCAGTGGTGCGATCTCAGCTCGCTGCAACCTCTGCCTCCCAGGTTCAAGCGATTCTTCTGCCTCAGCCTCCCGAGTATCTGGGACTACAGGCATATGCCACCACATCCCGCTAATTTTTGTATTTTTAGTAGAGATGGGGTTTCACCATGTTGGCCAGGATGGTCTTGATCTCCTGACCTCGTGATCTGCCCACCTCAGCCTCCTAAAGTGCTGGGATTACAGACATGAGCCACTGCGCCTGGCCCTAAAGTCACTTTTTTAAAACCATTTTCAAGTGGATAGTTCTGTGGCATTAGGCACACTAACATTGTTATATGACATCACTATTGACCACTTCCAGAACATAAAGTCGCTTTTGCTTAAACTAGTTTGGTGGGATTTCTGTTACTTGCGTCCAAAAAAAAATTCCTGACTAATAAATGCATCATATACATTAGTAAAGGTAAGAAATTCAGAAGGGCTTTGAGAGCTGTTTTAAAAATGATAAATAAAGCAAAATTTTCTGGCACCATGAAAGCAGACGGGACCCCAATGAAAGGTTCCCGAGGACAATCATGGTCTGCAAAGTGCAGGAAAAATAATTCACCAGATGGATCATGTGGTGTAAATCACTGATTTTTTTTTTAATTTTTATATTTGTAATAGGAGAACGCACCAGGATGCAAAGGAAGCTCAAATCTCACCTCCCAAGGGAAAAAGACATTCTACAGAGAAAATTAGAATTGTGCCAAGAGGGCAAATCTCCAAAGGCAGGGAGAGGCCTTAGAGAATACGAAGGAAGTAACAAGAGTGAGTGAATGCCTTCTAACAAAAATTTCCCTTTATTTTAACAAGCTATAGAAGGCTGTTCTTCATATTAACCTTACATATAAAAATAATTTATTAAAAGTTTAATTGAAGAATAATCAAGATCAATTTTTTCATGTCAGCAGAAAACTCTATGCAAATTACTTTGAAAGTAATCTAAAAAACTTACACAAGAATGAAAGTGTACAATATTTTTAAATGTAGAAACAAAGATAGCAGTCATATCCTAATCCTTTCTTTGTGGCAGGCCTTAATTCCCTCACAGCTTTTATTTCTTCTTTACCATGTATTTAAATTTGAATAACATTATATCCAATTTTCTCCAGGAAAGAAATTCCTGTCATTAATATGGATAAATATTTTATTATAAATTCTACAGTGTTATGATCCAATAAGGAGTTAGACTAGCCACTATGATGTTCTTGGTATCATAGTTGTTAGCCTAGAAAATGGGTTCTCCATATAACGGAAAGGTTTTTCTTATTTCTCTGCTTTTTTCTCCACTTATCAAAGTATTGTCATTGTGTATTTCAAGATGAGAAATATGATGTAAAGAAGGAAATGCAACAGAGAGTTGTCATAGGTAGACATTGGTCATTTGCTTGGTAGCCAGACTCAATCACAAATACTCTTTACCTTTGTGGGGAGGCTCCACAGCTAGACAATGAATGCTTCAATTAATTCCTATGTCTGGCTGATTATATTTCTGGGGGAAAAAAAATGGGTTATAAGCACACTCTCAGCTAAAGCATTTAGTTTGCCCACAGCAATCAGTCTCAGAAGGACTTTAAAATTTTAAAATGCTGACTTTAAATCAGCATTAAAACCTCTGAGACATTTAACAGCCTTTATTAAAGGGGCATTCAGGAATCTACTTTATGTTGACTCACAGGTAGGCTTAGAACTGATAATTTGCTATCCCAGTGGGTTTTTAAGATCATGTTATATAATGTCAAAGTCATTTTTACAAAAACAACTTGGAGAACATACTCTCCTAAGTTAACATTATTTGAATTATTGTAAAAATAGCTGCTAGAGGTCGGGCACAGTGGCTCACGCCTGTAATCCCAGCACTTTGGGAGGCCAAGACGGGCAGATCACCTGAGGTCAGGAGTTCGAGGTCAGCCTGGCCAATGTGGTGAAACCCCGTCTCTACTAAAAAATACAAAAACTAGCCAAGTGTGGTGGTGCACACCTGTAATCTCAGCTACTTGGGAAGCTGAGGCAGGAGAATCACTGGAACCTGGGAGGTGGAGGTTGCAGTGAGCCGAGATCATGGCACTGCACTCCAGCCTGGGTGACAAAGTGAGACTCCATCTCAAAAAAAAAAAAAATAGCTGCTAGATAAGGTAATTTTTTTTTTCAGAGACAGAGTCTTACTCTGTTGCCCAGGCTTGAGTGCAGTGGAGTGATCATAGCTAACTGTAGCCTCAAACTCCTGGACACAAGTGATCCTCCCACCTCAGCCTCCTGAGTAGCTGAGACTACAGGCACATACCACCATGCCCAGCTAATTTTTTATTTTTTTGAAGAAATGTCATCTCACTATGTTGCTTAGGCTGGAAATCTTTTTTAATGTAATATTTTAGTTACTCTTTGACTAGTAAGCCTGACCGCAGACTTCTGTCACAGCCTCTACAACACGGAATAAAGTCCTTCCTAAAGCATAACTTAGATTGCCTCAACTTTTCATCTCTTCCAGGGAAAATTCCCTAAGAATATGAATGCATTATCTTCACCACCCTCGGCCATCTTTCACTCATCCAGAAGGTCGTTGGTAATGGGACAGCATATGTTATACTGTGTCTCTTTTCACTGGAGATAACCTAAAGAAGCCCCAGAGTGTAAAGTGATAGACAGGGGAAGAAATTACATTCGATCAGCCAAAGCTGAGGACTAGAAAGCACAAAAAGTCAGAGAGGCAACCTGGAGTCACAGAAAGCACCCAGTGTTAAGGGTGGGAAGGCTGGGCTCTGGGCTCTTCCCCCTCTTGGGTCAGGCTACTTTAACATCAGAATCTCACTTCTGCCATCTATAAAATGTTCTACTGCACTCCATGGCTAAGATCTCATCCTACACCAAAATCCTAACATTAAAATGCTTCAATGACTCAAATACTCTCTTCTGTGATTCTGCTATAGCTAAGAACAGCACCTGGAGGAAAAGGAGAAATAAATAAAGGTTCAACCAAGAGACTGGTGTCCTAAGGCAGATAATGTGAGACTGTGATAACTGCCCTGTGTCCTGGGGTTGCCCACTAGGATCTGCTTTGTACTTTTATTTTTCTTTATCCCCCATGGTACCTGCTGGTGCCTTGTAAGCAGACTCAAGAAGAGGAGGAGGAGGGTAGGGAAGGAGGCTTCTAAACTTCTTGAGCCATAGCTGAAAACACAAAGGCAGGAGACAAAACAAAACTACCAAGAATAGTGTGTAATGGGAACTAAATATTCTCTTTAAAGATCAAAAACTTCAAAGAAGATGGAAGTTTTATTTAAGCCTTCAGATCCCCATCACTTGTGGATCACGCAGCTTTAAAAAACATTCTCTGCCCTCATTCTTCTGGAAGATTGAGACCTTCCTCTCGCCCAAGGACACATCCTCTCTTCTCTGTTTTCCCCTTGTTGGTTTTTCAGTGGGTGTGACAGTCACAAAATAAGGGTTCTGGAGAAGTTTGGGAGAAAGGGCATCATCCTCATCACCTAGGGCTGTGCTCATTCTGTTGGAGTTTGCTTTCAACAGGTTTCTTTAGGCAATCCGATCACTTCATGTTCCTCCATCAGATTTCCTTCTCTTAATCCTAATTTTTTGTTTGCTGCTATTATTTTGATAAAACTACAACAGAGTTTCAAGGTAGTTGATTTATTTATTTTATTTATTTTTTATTTATTTATTTTTTTTTTGAGACGGATTCTCACTCTGTCGCCCAGGCTGAAGTACAGTGGCATGATCTTGGCTCCCTGCAACCTCCACCTCTCAGGTTCAAGTGATTCTCCTGCCTCAGCCTCCCAAGTAGCTGGGATTATAGGTGTGTGCCACCATGCCTGGCTACTTTTTGTATTTTCAGTTGAGATAGGGTTTCACCATGTTGGCCAGGCTGGTCTCGAACTCCTGACCTCAAGTAATCTACCCACCTCGGCCTCCCAAAGTGCTGGGATTAAAGGTGTGAGCCACCAGACCCAGCTGATTTCTTTTTTATTATTAAACTATGAAATAGTTGAAGCATACAAAACAGTTTAGATAATAATGTTACAGGCACCCATATACCTACTGCTCAGATCAAGAAATGAAACATTAAAGATCCAAGCAAAGCCCTGGCCCCATTACCTACCCTTCCACTTCACAGTAAACCACTATCCTGACATCAGTAGTTATCAATCCCATGTAGGTTTTTAAATATTTTCTGGATGGGCTTATGACCATAAATAATGTAGTTTTTTAAAGGTTTACATAAATGGATTTAGAGGGCATATATATCCTTCTGAAACTCACCTTTTCCATTCAACATTATTATGTTTTGGGGATTTATTCATGTTGATACACGCATTGCTAGTTCATTCATTTTCACCCTCATATAGTATTCCATTGCACGCAAAATACTACAAGTTATTTCTCCATGTCAGTATGTGTGTTTCCTTTTTGTTTGTTTCCATGACAAACAATGTTATGATGAGCACTCTTGCATTAATTTCCTTTTACACAGATGCAAAGTTTTTCCCAGGGGATAAAACCAGAAGGGAAATCACAACCTAGAATTGTGGGGTGTGCACAGCTTCAACCTATCTCCAAATAACTGCAAATAGTTATAACAACTTACACTCCCAGGAGCACTGTATGAGGGATCCTGTTTAACTATATCTTCACTACATTTGTCACTTTCAGATTTTAATGTTTGTAATTTGATGGCTATATCTATTTGTTGTGTGCTTTCACCTATCACTTACATAATGGAAAAGTTTTTACAAGACAAAACAACTTTTAAGATATTTACTGGATGTGAATAATAAAAAGACGATTCCACGAAGGTATAAACAAACCCCGAAAAGTAGTAGATACATGTCCGTATGTGTTATAGAATGCATTTTTAAAAAGAAATTTCCATCTGTATTTATGAAATGTTGGTTTCTGAGGGGCTGGTTACATCTATGGAAAGGATCTTGGTCCCTTAAACTGTTCCCTGAAGACATTCTGCATTCTGGAAGGTAAATCGAGTCCTGGACTTCATCAGGCAGTGTGCAAGAAGCACCACCACCACATGGCACTGATGGAAGTGGCCCTCCATGGCTCAAATTGTGACCATAGTTTGAAGACACTCAGATTAAAAAAGTTAAATGGAAGAAAGAGCAGAAACAGGGAAATCAGCTTTGATCAACTGTATCCACAATTGGCTTTTTCCTCCCTGTAAATATAATAATTTTAATGATACAGCATTTAAAATTATGTAATCTTTTAGGGATCATTATTAAGACCAAATACAGCTTTTCTGAGCTTATCCCAATGGGTAAGCCTGAATAAGGGGTAGAAGGAGATGGTCTTAAGAGATGCTCTTCAAAAATCTAAGATTGTCCTTGTGTATTTTCATAGCAATCTCTCCATTAAAAGCAGATATCTAGAGAATTGTCTTTTTTCCCCTTTTTGTATATTTAAATTTCTAATGCTTACATGATTATCTGGGTGATGAATTTAAGGTCATTTTTGTTTTATTCATTATGCTTTTTGGTTTGTTGCGCTTTTCTATACAGCATAACTAACACCCAATATATCTATTTTTTAAGCCCCATAGGATTTAAAATACAAATGACTCAATTTTCTTTCCTTTTCTAGGAAAAAAGGTGAAGGGTTGGTAATGATGATAAACATTGGTTGTTTCTAAAGCACCTCTTTTCTAATTATATCTGTGTATACCTGACACAGCATGAGATCATTTATTATCCACATTTCCTAGTTGAATTATAGAATTGTTATAGATCATAGGCTCTAAAAATCAAAACACATTTGAAGTTCCTCATGGATACAGATGGTGACTTCCTGTTAGGAAGAACACAACAGTTCAGAATCTTGTCTAGATTCTTCTGACACAAAAGAGGATTATATTGCCAAAGCTTTTAATGTGTGTGATGGGGAGGGAGAAAAGGGAAGAGGAGGGAGATGACCTTGAGCTTTGGATTTACTATGACCCACTTCTAGGTGGATGACAACTGCCTTTGTGGATCTGAGAGACCAAAGATTTGAAAAGAAAGGACTTATGTGGAAAGCTTTGGTACCAGATTTATGCCACATATCCCAGTTTTCTTTTGCTATTCGAGCGTAAACCAAAAAATAATTTAGCCTAATTCCTGTAGGTTTAATAATTTGAAACTAAGTAAATAAGAACATTAAATTAATCTTATGTTTCTACATTGCATGACTTTTTCTTTTTGTTGTTGTTGTTGTTGAGACTGAGTCTCGCTCTGTCACCCAGGCTGGAGTGCAGTGGCGCAATCTCAGCTTACTGCAACCTCCACCTCCCAGGTTCAAGGGATTCTCCTGCCTCAGCCTTCTAAGTAGCTGGGATTACAGGTTCCAACCACCACACCCAGCTAATTTTTGTATTTTTAGTAGAGAAAGGGTTTCACCATGATGGCCAGGCTGGTTTTGAACTCCTGACCTCAAGTGATCTACCCGCCTCAGCCTGCCAAAGTGCTGGGATTATAGGCGTGAGCCACCACGCCTGGCCAATCTGCACTGCATTACATTTAAACATAAATCAGGTTTTGGGAAATCTGATTCCCAAGGAAGAATAATTTACTTTTAGAAGGACTGGAATTTTAACCCAGAAACAGACCTAATAATTTGGCATTCAACAAAATATAACTTTTTCCCATTGGACTTAAAAGGTGATATGGGGTGGAAATTGCTGTTTACCTTAAAAATAGTTTGCAAGCCAAACGTTCTCTTCTAGGCCTATGAACAAATTCTCCTAGCATAAACTTCTGAGAGAAAACACTTCCAATTATCTAAAAACAAATAATTCCTCTTTTCTGGCTATATTAAACTCTCTATGCATCTTTCTCCCAAACTTCAATGTCTCACTAAAAACAGGCTTTTATGGCTTTCCCTGGAGAATTATCTTACAAATCAATGGCATAGCTTCAATAACTCTTTAATAACTTTCCTGTCTTCCAAGACAAAAATGATCAGTGCTCTTCATTACAGTAAACCCATTTACAAGCTGCTGTGTCATCTATAAATCCCTTGGTTAGAGACCAACTATATATATTTTAAAATAGAATGTTAGAACTGAGTGTGTCTTAGAGTTGATCCTACTCAGGCTGCATAATCAAATCCCCTGGACAGGCTTTGGGAATACTGATGCCAGGGTGTATCCACACCAATTAACTCAGAGCCAATTAATCACCAATTACATTCATTTAAATCAGATAGGGCCCAGTCACCAATATTTCTTAAGAGTTTCCCGACCAGGCACGGTGGCTCACGCCTGTAATCCTAGTACTTTGAGAGACTGAGGCGGGTGGATCATGAGGTCAGGAGATTGAGATCATCCTGGCCAACACAGTAAAACCCCATCTCTACCAAAATACAAAAAATTAGCCAGGTGTGGTGGTGCACGCCTGTAGTCCCAGCTACTCGGGAGGCTGAGGCAGATGAATCACTTGAACCAGGGAGGCAGAGGTTGCAGTGAGCTCAGATCGACCACTGCACTCCAGCCTGGCGACAAGAGCAGACTCCGTCTCAAAAAAAAAAGTTTCCCTGGTGATTCTGATGTATAGTGAGGGTCAGGTACCACTAATCCAGTCCAACCACCTCATTCCACAGGTAAGGAAGCTGAGGCCCAGAGGTATTAAGTGACATTCCTGAAGTCACATAGGTAATTAGGCATGTTGCCAGGATTAGAACCCACATCTTCAGATTCTTTCTTCTCTATTACATTACCTTCTTTCATAACTCTATTTCTCCTTCTGAGATTACATCTCAGAATTTGATTCCAAAAAGGGACCACAATATGGACCCAATTCCCTGGGAGCTCCCAGAGACCTGCTATCTAACAGCCAGTCTGACTGCTGCTTTTACCCTAGGAGTTCACTGCTGTCAGGACAACCATATCACCCTGTGGGCTGGAACACACCTCCCTCCTGCCATCCTCAGCAGAAAACAGCATCTTAATTCTCAATCTATATTAATGGTTTTCTTTATTGCTTCTACCAACCCCTGTCCTCTGATACCTCTCTTTAAAGGAAATAATAACAACCTCTTCTAAAAAACTTCATTCGGTGGTAAACTGAATTTCCAGTGTAGTGATGAACTAAAAGCCTTCATATAAAGAAATGGCTTCAGGGCAACTTCTTGAGGAAGGAATAATTTGCTGACAGGTGGTCTGAAGCTTTGCTTTCAGCAATAGCTGGACCGAGGACTGCAGAATTAGAGCAGGGACCTGGAAGCAGGTGAGGCTCCTAAGTATTGGGTGTCCCATTGCATCGCTGGCCCCTTCCCAGATTCTGGAAAGAATAAACATAATTGACAAACTAGGGTTTAGTGAACACCTCCTGGTAAACACGACTGAAGGTGTGAAAACTCCTCAAGGGCCATCTCCTTTGCATATTCTGCCCTATCCTATGTGCACATCCCAATTCTACTAAACTATTTTAAAATAACCCAAAAAGTGTTTGTTTTACCAAAAAAAACAAAAATCCTTTGGGGGCAAGAAGAAAAAGACAGCTGACTTGTGAGAATAAGGCATCAGAACAACGGGAGAGTTGAATGATCACTGGACCAGGAATCTGAAGACATCCATTCCAGCCTTGCTGTTGCCACTCATGGCTGTGTGTGTTGGGAAAAGTCCATGTCTCTGGGCTTCATTTTCCTCATAGGTAAAGCTCAGATAATACCTAACCTGACTGCCCCATGGGCTGGGTTATGAAGATCAAATAAAGAGACAATTAAATGTAGAGATAATTTATATAAAAGCATATTTATAATAAGCTGCACATTAAGAAAGAACAAAGAAGATGAAGTCTGTATCACCAGATAAATTAAAACATTCAGCACTAAATTCCAAAACAAAAGAGCTGATTATAGAATGATTCAGCAATATAATAGCATGCTTAACATCCCAACTGTAAGTCAGACAGACCCGGAATCAAATCTTAGCTGTGTCAGTTTCCCTCTCTGAGCCTCAGTCTTCTCATCTGTACAATGGAAATTATGGTGGGATTTACCTTGGATATTTGACAAGGTTGACATTAGATAATTACATAAAGAGCTTAGCTTAGTGGCTGGCATATAGTAAGTGCTCAGCAAATGTTAGCTGCTGGTTATTGCTATCATCATAGCTGTTATTGTCATTACTTCCCCTACCTCACAGGGTGGTGGTGAACAGTTAGGAACAGATTTTTAAAGCAGTGACAAATAGAAATCATTCAAGAGATGGTCATCATTACTCTACCTGAGTCACGAGCTCTCCCTCCTGACAGAGGCAGAAATATTACTAAAGGCACATTTTCAAACTCTTCGCTTTCTCACCAAGAGATTTCCTTTTGACCTGGTCCAATTCTTTATTGACTTTGAGTAAGATCAGGTAGACTGTGAGAGTTCTAGTTAACCACCCTCACATTTCTGTCACAGGCACAGCAATCATCCATCTCTAGGGGCCCCAGATGCTAAGTGTATTTCTCAAGGCAGAAGCAGGAGTTGGTCCCCTTGGTATTAGCTCTGTGTCCTACAACTAAATTAGGGTGGCCGGCAGGGATCCAGCTGATTAGCAGAATTATCAGACACCACAGGCAAAGGAAAGAAACAAAGGATCGAAGTTATCTGAAGAGCAGTTACAGCCTGGCGCGGAGGCTCACGCCTGTAATCCCAGCACTTTGGGAGGCCGAGGCAAGTGGATCACCTGAGGTCAGGAGTTTGAGATCAGCTTGACCAACATGGTGAAACCCTGTCTCTACTAAAAATACAAAATTAGCTAGGCATGGTGGTGCATGCCTGTAATCCCAGCTACTTGGGAGGCTGAGGCAGCAGAATCACTTGAACCTGGGAGGCAAAGGTTACAGTGAGCAGAGATTGTGCCATTGCACTCCAGCCTGGGCAACAAGAGTAAAAATCTATCACACACACACAAAAAGAGCTGTTACCTGAAATGTGGAGTTATGTGCTGTGTCTGTGCATGACAAATCACTGATCCTACTGATGTGTTCACTTGAACAGAGAAAACACAGGAGGAAAGAATCACAAAAAGTTAAGGCATAAAACACTTGATGTGAAGTTTCACACAAAACACATGCAAATATAATATGAATAATATTCTCTGAAAGTGCTAGAAATGTTAGTTGAGTTCTTTGCTCTGTTAAAGTTCTATAAGTAATGTGTATAGAGACTTATTAAATCCAAATGAGGAAAAAATGAAAATGAATTAAGATCATTCATAATCAAACCTCCCAGAGATGATGCTGTTAACATTTTGATATACTTTCATACATGTTCCTATCTGTGTATGTGTAAAAATAGAAATTTTCCCCAAAAGGAGTTATAATAACTCTAGTTAATTAAGTCCTTTAAAAGCACAGGGGAAGATAGAAGACTTAATGAATTAAATAACAATAACTAGTTTCTCATTTTGATTATCATGTAAGTAAAATATATGAAAACATAGTGTTTGTCCTTTAGCAATATTGACAGATAATATTTATAAGCACTTATATTGTGCCAGGCACTTCCCTAAAGTCTATATACAAATTAACTCCTTTGGTTTTCACAACTGCTCTAGGAAGTAGGTACTGTTCTTGTTCCTGAAGACAAGGCACAGTAAGATTAAGTAACTTTCCCCAAAGTCACACAGTAGATACAATGCTAAACTAGGGCTAGAGCCCATGCAGTAGGGCTCCAGTGTCCATGTGCTTAACCACCTTCCTATGATGCTTCTTGACAGAGGTCCAACATCGATGCAGAATTGGAAAGGAGTAACTCCCTTGTGCTTATCCATATCTTGGGAGTGAATAATATAGAGTGATTGCTGAGCTAACCATAAAACTGTCAAACATGTTGAAAATCACAACGCACCCAGATCATCTAGGAAATAAATACTGATTAAAATAAACAGAACTTGCATTTCACAAGCAAAGACGGAATGATGGTTGTCTTGGAAGGTGGGATAGAGGTGTGCAATGCAGCCAACACGAGCTTTTTTCAGGGATGCACTGTCTGTGTTTAGGTTTATGACTTAAAGGTTAGACTGCCAAGAATTTTTTTAAAGGTTGACACATCTGTGGCTGCATTTCCCCAGAGCACCATAAACCACAGTCTTGCCAAAATTAAATAAAAGGATTGACTGTTCTTCTTCCTCTGCCTTAAGAATGTCACCATTTGAACTGTGTGGGGAATACAGCTACTATGAACTCAACATTCAGGAATCATTTTCTGCTTGGGTTGTAACCAGAACTCCTTATTCTGTGACTGTGGTCCTACTAGTCCCAAAGGGCCAGATGAAAGGAGATTCAAACACTCATCCCTTCCAATAAAGATTTGGAAAAGACAAACCATGTGGAGCTAGGAAGGCACATAATTCTATCACAGGAACTGCCTATGATGGGGTCTACCTAAGGTTATGCCATGTGTAGGTCACCAGAGTGACCAAAGAAAAGTAAAATTAAAAAGTATTTTTATGGCATGTTATCAGTACCCAATGGGAAAAGGGAGCAGGAGAGAGTATCTTAATCAGGAAAGCTAACAACTACACCAAATTTCCCCTTCATCTCCGTAGTATCCCACAGTAACAGTTTCTTTCTTTCTCATGTTACAGTGGGAAGCAAACTGGCACTGGTGGAGGGCTGTGCTCCACGTAGTCATTCGGGGCCTCGGGTCTCTTCTTCCAGTGGCTCTACCATCTCCCGGGACCCCAGGATCCTCTGCTAGATCCGGTGGACAAACCAGCAGAGGCAGAGGAAAGAATCACATGAGAGATTTCATGAAGGCAAGGCCAGAAAATGGCTGCATCACCCCTGCCTATATTCCATTGGCCAGAACTCAGTCTTCTGGCTCTACCCACCTGAAAGAATGGCTGAAAAATGGGCCCAGAAGAAAAGAATACAGGAAAGACAGCATTATTTCTGCCAAGAGGAGGGGAATGAAATCAATCCAAATTTTGACAAAACAAACAGATGAGCCTTTACCTAAGTCACTGGCAGATGCGGTGCTTCTTACGGATAAATCAATCTGAGGGCTGGGCGTGATGGCTTATGTCTATAATCCTAGCACTTTGAGAGGCTGAAGCAGGAGGATCGCTTAAGCCTAGGAGTTTCAGACCAGCCTGGGCAACATAGCAAGACCCCGTCTCTAAAAAAATTAAAAATTTAAAAAGTTAGCCAAGTGTGGTGGTGTGTATCTATAGTGCCAGCTAATTAAGAGGCTGAGGTAAGAAGTTCATTGAGCCCAAGAATTCAAGGCTGCAGTGAGCTATGATCGTGCCACTGTACTCCAGCCTGAGCAACAGAGTGAGTCCTTAACTCTTTAAAAAAAAAAATTGAGCTAAGGCTGAATTATCAATCAATTAAGAATGTCCTACCCTGCATATCTTTCCATGGCTCTGCCCAACATGATATGATGGTCCTATGTTCCTCTAGGCCAGTGCTTCTCGACAGGGCAGTTTGCCTTGGCAAGGGACACTTAGCAATGTCTAAAGATATCTTTGATTGTTAGCTTAAGGGAGGGGTGCAACAGCCATCTAGTAGGCAGAGGCCCGGGATGCTGCTAAGCATCCTATGATGCACAGGGCAGCCCCCACAGCAAAGAATTATCTGGCCCATAATGTCAGCAGTGCCAAGGCTAGGAAACTCTGCTCAAAGTCTTGAATGTAGGGCCTTGTTCATGCATCTGTCATGACACTTCCATTCATGGGCCATTTTTGAGTACCTGCTATGTGCCAGGTGCTTCACTTATCACATGGTCATTGAATAGTTATTTTCATATTTCTTCTTCCCCTCCCCCACAAGACTGCAAGGGACAGGGTAAGAACAGGATTGGTCTTAGCACATAATACATGTCGAATAAGTGGATGGATGGATGGAAGGATGACTTTGTCTCCTGAACCACTGCATCCCATGCTCTGACCCTTTGAGTATATGAAGGAATTTGGTTATCAAGACTTGCTATTCTGAATGCCTAACAGAACAAGAAGGTGATAATCTAGTTTGTTCTTAAGAAACCCAATGTTCAAAGGAGCACATGACCTAAGAGGCTGGTAATGAAGCACAAAGCTTCACCTTAGTAAGTGAGCTGATCACAAAACTTCACGCAGACCCAAAGATATAGGAAGTTGTATGTACCTATGTGGCAGTGGCTTGGTGAACTCCATTTGATCCGAGCCCTGTATAAGCATCTACTATTCCAGCTCCAATAACATGGCACCTGAGGATAGGCACAATCCCAAAAGTGCTTGTCATTTGAGGTCTGTCCATTCAAGAGAAGAAGAGCCCCTTAATGTCATGTCTAAAATAGAAATGTTCTATCTATTTGGAAATTTTATAATATAACTTCAGTTTCAACTCAGCAATGCCAGGTAGAAATGGGAGAAATAAGCACCACATATTTACAAGGATGTTGAGGAAAATCAATCTCTGAAAAGGACTATGTGTCAAGGATCTGTGACCATAATTAACAATTGTTTTTGAAAATCTCTTTTTAATCACTTGTGCAAGTGCTGGTTTTGTGGGAGATGACTGTCAGCTACCCCAGCTCTGGCCTGGGGCTACCTTTCAGCCCATCCCTCCTAGAAAAAAGGTTCTCTTAATGGCAGGGAGTCCATTTGATCAAAATGTAAGTTCACGAGGCTCCTTGCCTGGCTTTGTCCCCTTCTCGCCTCATTTATTCCACTGCATCTGTTTTCCCACATAAGAGAGCAGAACTCTCACGCACTTCTCACAAGCATACCAAGAAGAGATGGAAGGCATTGATACATGCATGATAATCAAAACACAACCTCATATTTGTAAAATATTTTGCAAGACAGTTCTATTATATTTGTTATTTTATTTGATCCTCATCTTTAGGCCTATAGTTCTCTCATTACACCTTTCAATGATTTGAGGCTTTATTGGAATAAAACTGGTAACTGTACAAAATATGGTCCCAATACATTCTACTCCGGGGAAGCTCTGCTACGTTGCACACCCTCGTGCTGGGTAGGAAGAGAACTAAATTTGAAATTGGAGAGCCTGGCTCCATCCAATTCTGACCCTGTCACTTAATAGTTCTATAACTCTATTTATGTCATTAATTTTCTCTAGGACTGCTTACTCCTGTGTTGAGCAGCAATTATGCTGCCTGTCTTACTTCCCCATCACTCTTAAAAGGATTCAATGGAATAAAATATGCAAGAGCGTTTGGTAGTGTGGTGCCACAATTTCTTCCCAGAAATGATCAATGTGCCTCTCAGATACTGAATGTCTCTAACCCGGGTAGACCTGCTAGAAAATACTACAAATAAATTTAATTATATAAATAATATTATTAAGCAAATTAAATGCTGCATTTTTCTTCAGCCAATATCTGAAGATTTCAAAATTAACAAAGGGACAAAGGAGAATGAATAGAAACTGCTATATTCTATTTCATATCATGGCTTTTTTAAGAGACTGTGGTCTCACTATGTTGTGTCCAGGCTCATATCAAACTCCTGGGCTCAAGCAATACTTCCACTTTGGCCTCACAAGTAGCTGGGACTACAGGCATGTAACAGCACACTGGTCACAGCTTCTTGTTGTTCAGCAATAGCTCAAGTTTAACCTCAGTCACCTTTTGCCAAGAAAAAACAATGCAAGTAAGCATTTTAAAACTACACACTTCAACTGTTCTAGCAGTTTTCTCTCACAAGACACCACAAAGCTGGGATGATGGAGGGATATCTATGGACCATTTGCTGTATTTTTCCTCTTTTTCAAATAGCCAAATAATACCTAAATATATTTTCAATCTATAGGCATAAGGTTTCAGTTACACAAGATGAATAGGCTCTAGAGCTCTGCTGTGCAGCATTTTGCCTATAGTTAACAATACTGCATTGCACACTTAAAAATATGGGTGTATATCTCGTTAACTGTTCTTAACAAAAAACTTAAATAAATTTTTTAAAGTTTCAAATAATTCAAAATTATACAGAGTAAACCAGAAAGCCTCCATAGCCCCACCCATCTTTCCTTCCCCAAAGTAACCCACTGTTTATATCCTGCCAGACTTCTTTCTGCAGATTAACTGTATGTGCAGTCATAAGTCATAGATTTTTTTTTTTTTTTTGAGACAGGGACTTACTTAGTCGCCCAGGCTGGGCAGTGGCGTGATCTCAGCTCACACTGCCTCCTCAACCTCCTGTGCTCAATTGATCCTCCCACCTCAGCCTCCATAGTAGCCGGGATCACAGGCACATGCCGCCATGCCTGGCTAATTTTTGTATTTTTTGTAGAGATGAGGTTTTGCCATGTTGCCCAGGCTGGTCTTGAACTCCTGGGCTCAAGCAATCCACCCATCTCGGCCTCACACAGTGCTGGGATTACAGGCGTGAGCCACCACGCCCAGCCCAGCCACAGGCATCTCTTATTTTGTTTTGTTAAATAATTGGGATCATGCTTTACGAATTGTTCTACAATTTGTTTTTTAAAATTTTCTAGATTTTTCCATGTTGTACATGCCCATCCACCTCATTCTTTTTAATAACAAGGTTTTCTGTTAGGTAAACACCCCCAATTTTACTTATCCCTATTGATAACAATTTGGTGGTTCCCAATTTCCACGATCACAGAGCTTTGCTAAACTTTTAAAGTTAGGTTGCTAATAGACTCCACTTTATTACCTTTCTCGGGATTCTACCTGATAACAACTTGAGCAAAGTTCTTTCCAGTATCCCCTTCCTGCCCCAGTTGCCTAATGGATAAGGCACTGGCCTCTTAATATTCCCTTCCCCACTAGTGATAAGCATGAAAACAGGGCGAACTCAATGGAGCCTTTTAAGAAGAGGCTGAAGAGAGGGTTAACAGGCTAGACTCAATGCTAAGTCTTTCAAACTACACCCTTATTCAGTGTTAACAGCAGGTGTTCAATCAGCCCTATGTTTCACTCACAGAGAGAACGGGCCTTTACCTACAGACTTTCCATGTTAAACTAAGCTTCAACACTTCTCACTCCCCTCTCTCAGACAGTGGTAAGACCAAAGGAAGAAGACAAGCATGTGAAAATCCTGGTGTGCCATAAGGAATCATCTACACATTTAAGCTAGGTCTTGGGTTCTATAAAAGAACTAAATAGATTGATATTGCTAGAGTCTTCTAAAAGAGCAAAACTATTTTCACTTGAAATTTCCGAATTCAAACATTTGTTGATTATCTACTGTGTGCTGAGAGGGGCTCAAAAGTAGTGTAAGATCCAGCCAGGCACGGTGGCTCACGCCTGTAATACCAGCACTGTGGGAGGCTGAGGGGGCAGATCACTTGAGGCCAGGAGTTTGAGACCAGCCTGGCCAACATGGCAAAACCCCATCTCTACTAAAAATACAAAAATTAGTTGGGCATGGTGGCGGGCGCCTGTAATCCCAGCTACTTGGGAGGCTGAGGCAGGAGGATTGCTTGAATCCAGGAGGCAGAGGTTGCAGTGAGCCGAGATTGTTGCACTGCACTCCAGCCTGGGTGATAGAGTGAGACTCTGTCTAAAAAAAAAAAAAAAAAAAGTAGTGTAAGATCCAACCTCTGCCTTCTAGAAACTATAAAAACAGCTGGGGAGATATATAAATAATACAATACAAATATTATACAATACAAATAATACAATACAAATATTATATACAAAGATATATAAATAATACAATAAACTAACAATGCAAAGTAGTCCATGATTAGGTACAAAAATGAATGGTGCAGACAATAAGTGCTCTAGAAGGAATTCTCAGTAGCAGTAAATTAAGGGAAGTAATAGCAAACAAGTCATTGTGATTAGGGCCCTCAGCATTGCGGTGAGGGCTTGAAGTGCAGAATTAGTTGATGAGTGCTATTTGTTATATAGTCATAAAACAGTAAATTCTGACTTTAAGAGACACCTGGACAAATGAATCTAAGCATAACTGCACACTTGATGGGAACAGGACCAGAGGAAATCGTGCTCCAAGAGATGAAAACCGGATAAATGCCACATAAAGATTCAACAAATGCCCAGGATCCCTCAACCCTACTCCTTCTGCAGGGCAAACAGGCTGCAAGGGACTTCTCTTCAAAGCCTTCTCAGAGGGATCAGAATTTAAGTTGAAAGCACTTCTCCTCTCCTGCAGCCTGACTGTGTGTAAGATACAGTCAAAAACTATCACAAAGCCCCTACTATGCCCTAGCTTCTAGTTAGAAGATAGGTAAAGAAGACACGACCTGCCCCAAAATCATCCACAAGTATCTGAACCACCCACTCAAACTGAGGCTGCCACTCACAGGTGTCCTGAACCCCAATTAGCAAATGGTAGAGCCCGGACTCATTTTAAAAAAAGGAGCAGCAGGAGAACATATGCACAGTGTATTTCTGTAGGCCAATAAAAAAGAGGGTGTTATGAAAGATTTCTTGTTTTTAACTTACTGCTATTATGTTGAAGCC
The DNA here is from genome assembly GCF_000001405.40 of Homo sapiens. NCBI lineage: Eukaryota > Metazoa > Chordata > Mammalia > Primates > Hominidae > Homo > Homo sapiens. The sequence continues at coordinate 197,236,539 of NC_000002.12, forward strand.
TGCTCTGGTCTATGGGGCCTACTAGTTGCCTACTAGTTTCTTCTAATTCTATGGCTGGAGTGTTGCCTATAGATGCCTATTATAGAACTAGTTTCCATTTTCTTTCTCCATTTAATGCAAAAATAGTCTCAATCTAAGCCCAAAACTACTCATCTCTCCCTGCAACAAACTACTCAAAAAAAAAAAAAAAGAATAAAAGAAAGGAAGGAAGGATAGGAGAAAAAGAGAAATTTGACAGTAGCTACTGAGAAAAAGAGAATCCCCGTGCCACTTCAGTCCTGAGTTTGTATAATGAGAGCACACAGTGAGGGAGAAGGTCTGAAGGCTACTGTTTTTAGCTTACTCCCACAGAAGTGGCAAAGGCATATCTGCCTCCAGAAATATTAGAGGAAAAATGGGGAGAAGCAAGACACTGAGGTTTGTCTCTCACTAGAAGTCAAGAAAATAGGAGGAACAAAGTGTTCTTTGATGCCCTGGCAGCGGGGAGAGATGGCAATGGTGTAGAACGGAGCTGATGAGAGGCAGCATAGACTCGTTTTTAGAGCAAACTCGACTCCTTTAAGTCCTTTGCCGTCAACTGTCGATCTTGTATAATAGCCGACTGTATTATTTCTTTCCCTTAAGAATAGACCTTTGTTCTATAGAGTATTGCACCCTTGAATGTTTCAGTACTAGTTACTATAATTAAAAGAAAGGCACAAAATACTATATATGTTCAAAACAAAGATGAATCAATTATTAAATCATCTTTTCTAAGAACTCACCCATCTATAAATAAAACATGTTTGGAAAACAAATATTTTCCTGCCTCTGCTGTTTTTACTTTCAGTAGCATTAACTTAAAAGATACTACTTCAGCAATACTTTTCTCAAGAAATAAAACTCGCCAACCCTCTTGCTTTTAAGCTACACTGCTGAACTCCTTCTGTGGGATTGGACTCTGCTCAAGGGAACATGTGCTCATTAAAAATATTTCATGCCATTAACATTTTCACTAGAAGATTCGGAGTGTGTGATGTCTGTAATGCCGGCTCCATTCACACCCATTGTCCACCCCATAAACGTCTAAATGACAGCTAATATACAACATGTAAATCACTACAAAAGAGAATCGCGCACAGAAAACTGGCACCTAATTACATGTCCCAGAGCATCACTCCCTAAAATACAAAAGGTCTGATTGTTTTATTTATTTTGTGATAGATTTGGAATGAAATCAGCTCCTCTAAAATAATTTTGTCATGAAAGGGAATGTTTAACGCCTTACAAAAGTGACATCCTTGACAAGTCAGCTTGGTTATTTCCATGACTTTCCTTTCCATGCAGTGCACCAGTGCAACTTCCGGATGCCCTTCCACTCCTGAAAATGCTGCAGCCCCTCCCTTCTCAGAGCTTTGGTCCAGACAATTCCCTCTATCTAGAACATCCTACCCACCCTCACCTGATTAAATCCAATTCACCTTTCACATCTCAATTCAAAAGCTACTTGTGCAAGACAGCTTTCCTGACTAGCCCTCCTACCCCAAGTCTAGATGAGATTCTTCCGTTGTATGTGTTCTGGTAGCTTCCTGTGCTCATGTCACAGTTTGTACAGTCATTATATAACTGTGTGGTCCTTTCATTAATATCCATCTTCTACACCAAACTGTAAGCTGTGTCAAGACACAGACTATGCCTGTTTGGCTCACACTGGATTCCCAGAGCCTAACACAATGGCTGGCCTATAGTAGGCACTCATTACATTTGCTGAATGAATAAACAAACCATATCACATCCTGACACTCTACCGTAAAAAAAAATGGTCAGGTCAAATAAAGGCACAGTGAGGAAGATATTTAATAGAAAGTCTGTTCTGAACATTGCCTAGTCAACTGGCTCTACATACTATCAGCACTAGTAAATTGATTGTTCTCAGGTGAATCTGGTTGTATCTTGATCTGTGCTATGATGACAACCTTGACAAAAAAATCAGTCTAACCTAAGGGTAGCATAATACCATAGAAGGATTAGGTTCAGCATCATGTTACAGAAAACCCAAAATAACAGTGGCTTAATCAAGAAAGATATATATATATTTCTCCCTCGTTGTAAACAAGGTCTATAGAAGTTACCCAGGACTGGTATGGTGCTCGATGGTGATAAGGACCCAGGTTCCATCTATCTTTTTTTTTTTAATTTATTTTTTAGATGGAGTCTCACTCTGTCACCCAGGCTGAAGTGCAGTGGTACGATCTCAGCTCACTGCAACCTCAGCCTCCCAGGTTCAAGCAATTCTCCTGCCTCAGCCTCCCGGGTAGCTGGGATTATAGGCATGTACCACCACGCCTGGCAAATTTTTGTATTTTCAGTAGAGACGGGGTTTCGCCATGTTGGCCAGGCTGGTCTTGAACTCCTGACCTCAGGTGATCTGCTCGTCCTGGCCCCCCAACCCGCCTGCCCTGTACCCCTCGGCTGGGAGTACAGGCGTGAACCACCGTGGCTAGCCCAGGTTCCATCTGTCTTGCTGCTCCATTCTCTGTAGCATCTGCTTCTACTTCATGATCCACAATGGCTGCTCAAGTCCAGCAATCTCACCCAATTCCAGGCATCAGGAAGAAAGAATGGGATAAACAAGGGTAATGATCCCCATTTTGTGAAATTTCCACATAAATCCTCTTGCCAGAATACAGTCACAAAGGCATAACTGGCCAAAAGGTAAGCTAGAAAAAATTGTCCTTTTTTCTCTTTGAGACATGGTCTCAGTCACCCAGGCTAGAGAGCATGGCTCACTGAAGCCTTGGCCACCCGGGCTCAAGCAATCCTCCAACCTCAGCCTTCCAAGTAGCTGGGACTACAGGCATGAGCCACCATGCCCAGCTAGTATTTTATTTTTTGTAGACATGGGGTTTCACTATGTTACCCAGGATGGTCTCAAACTCCTGGGCTCAGCCATCTGCCCACTTTGGCCTCCCAAAGTGCTGGGACTGCAGGTGTGAGGCACTGTGCCCGGCCAAAAAAACAGTCTTTAATCCAGGAGAAACATAAATAACTTATAAAGAAAGGAAGATGATATTGGGGAACAGTCAGCAGTTTCTTCCACAGATTACTCAATGCAAGATAACCAACTGTCACTGAGTTCTGCAACGTGTCTTGGTTTTACTTTTGTTTTCTATCTTGATAAATTTTTGCAACATTTACACTGTCCCAAAGGCAGACTTAACATTTCACATTTTATAGACCTGCCAGTTCTATTGCATACCTTTCTTGCTTTAGTAACTAGTTTTTGGGAGTTTCACTATCTCAATGGATTTCATACTCTGAAAAACATAAAAATATGACCAGGTGAACACCTATGTAAAAACTAATGCAACCAATCTGCTTCTTCTCAAATGTCTTCAACGTAGATTTTCAATCAGATGAAGGGCCTTGCATTTTTCTGCAAATCTCTCTAATATATTCCCTTATAATATATGCATTTTTGGTCATATAATTTCTACATTTCCTAAAATAAGAATAGTTGAATTAATGTTTATAGAAGAAAATCTAGATATAAATATATATATATTCAAGAGGTAAACCAGGCATGATGGCTCACGCCTGTAATCTTAGCATTTTGGGAGCCAGAGGCAGGTGAATCGCCTGAGGTCAGGAGTTGGAGAGCAGCCTAGCCAACACGGTGAAACCCTGTCTCTACTAAAAATACGAAAATGAGCTGGGCGTGGTGGTGTGTGCCTGTAATCCCAGCTACTCAGGAGGCTGAGGCACGAGAATCACTTGAGCCCAGGAGGCAGAGGTTGCAGTGAGCCAAGATCGCACCACTGCACTCTAGTCTGGGTGACAGAGCAAGGCTCCAGCTCAAAAAAAAAAAAAAAAAAGAGCCAAGCCAAGACCTTCTTTTAAAAAAAACAAAAAGTTGTTCAGACTTCTACCACTAAGCTCTTGGCATTTCAAAAATTAAGAGAAAGAGCTGGGTAGGAAGCAAGATGGAAATCCCTAAAACTGTTCTAAAAACAGCAATCTAGTGACACTAGCAACAGTTGCTAGAAGCTTAAAGAAAACCTCCACAAAATTGCTAGAGATGCTTCCTCACTTGTTTCTAGCAAGTCTCTCTCTGTGGGTGACAATGTTGGTGCCCAGTTTAGATTCAGTGTCTCTACAGCAGTCTTGAAGCAAGTTTTTTTTTTATTAGCCACAACATGTAAGATTTTACTGTGAACAAAAGTCATCTCAGAAAGCCAGATCCAAGGACATGGCATACTAGATAATAACCAAATCTCACAGTTCGATAGCTACCTCCCCACTTCCCCACACCCCCAACACCCTCTCTTAAAAGTAATTGTCTGCTCTTTGCAATCAGGAAGTTCTACAACAACCCAGCCTATGATCAAAGGCCTCTCCATCAGCTTTCCCCAAATGCATAATCCACAGCTGGCAAAGTCTCAGAAGCATCTTACTGAACATGAATAAATTTGATTTTTGGACTGGGGGTATGCAAAATCTTGTAATGCAGCCCACAGTAATCATGCATTTTAAGTCTATTCCTCCTTTCCAGGGCACATCTTCTCTCTTTTTGGCTCTGCATCCTCTTTCTGAGGCCTACCAAGAGATCGGCCCTGAAAAATTAAAGGGGAATGTCCTATAACCAGAATAGACTCCCAGAAAAGCTAACATCTTAAAAGAAGAAAAGGAAAATAGAATTAAATTTGTCAAAGTATGAGGATGCTAATAAATTCTACACACACATACATACACAGAGGACTTAGTCGTCAAATAAGCTTAGGAAACACTGATTAAATAATGCAAAGGGTTTCTTTCTTGCAGACCTTCTCAGAGCCTTTAATACTGCCACTATGCATCATGGATCTCCAAGAGGGGCACAGTAAATAGATTTTCTACTTGAACTCTTGTTCACCAGAACATCTTATATTAGGCAAGCACTCTGTAGAATACTCATGGAAAAATGCTGGACTGGTAAGAAATATATCAAAATTAAATAGCAACTATCTTGGGTCCAGAAGTTTATGGTAATTTTAATTATTCTATTTCCAAGTTCTCTATAATGAACTTGTATTGCTTTTGCAATCTGGAAAAAGTTATGTAAAATTTAAAAAAAACATTTGAATCTATATTAACATTTTTAAAAATAAGAAGTTTCAGAAGGTAAGATTTTTCTTTTTTCTAAGAAGTAGAGGTACTTATTGTTCTTTAAGATTTATTATATGCCTCCATTGTGCCAGGTTTTGATAGTAACATGAGAATAAAAAGGAAGAATCATTTCAATGATTCACTACATAGTGCTGGTGGCCTGAAAGAGGAAAAGAAACTCTTTAAAGAGTTCCTCCTCTGCTAATAAATAAGCCAAAAACCTTCAAACATAATAAAAATACTTGTACAATATTAATCTTAAAAATACATATTACTGTGCTTTTCTTCCCAAACCATTTAAAAAAATCTCCCTTTAGGTTTAATGTCTTGATTAATCTTTTTTAAAATAGTCTATATATAAAAACTTGCTAGGGTGCATTATAAGTAAAACTTTATCAGTAGATCCTTGTTAAACTTTATTACTTATTATTTCATCAATTTATTGAATGCCTTTTATGTGCCAGGAAATGCACTATTATTGAAAAATTCAATGAAAACAGGTCCTTCCTCATGACTAGTTTATTTTAGTAGCTGATTATCTAAATAAATTTAATACCATTTACTAATTGATAAACAGTACAGAAAAGTTATAACAGATCTATGTAGCAAATATTTTATAATATAATGGTATTTTATAATATAATGGTACTTCATTTCAGTTTGATAATCACAGCAACTTGGACAATCTAGAAAAGCAAAATCAAATTTTAATTCTGGCCAAAGGAAAACCACGTTCAATATGCTTGATCCTAAGGCTCCCCACATTTCCAGTTATACCAGGTTTCTCAAAAGAGACAGGAGGAGCCAGACATCAAAGTCCATCTCCAGCCAACCTACAAACCACTTTCTTGCTAAAACATTTCTATCCCCAATTATAACCACAATGACTAGATTAAACTGGTATGGCCACCTCTCTAGGTTCACCTTAAAAAAAGGGCTCATCTTCTAACCTTACCAGGCTGTTCCCCCTATGGAATATTCTTAGGCAATGCTGGAATGGTCCCCGTCTTTCCAGCTGAGACGAAAGTCAAGAATGGTTAACAGGACACTCTAGTCTAGGAGAGTTGGGACTTGACTCACCTATCAAGAGAGGCAAAGGACATGCTTTTATTTACCTGGGCCTCAACACTCAAGATGAGACCAGAAAGCCTCAGAGTCATCTCTCTACAGCCCAAAGGGGAGAAACAGGGGAATTAAGTCAGGAAAAGCTCAACTGTCAGACCTGTCAGTCCGCCAGGCTAACCACAACCAGATGTAAGGGCCACAAATAGGCACAAGTTCCTTTGCTTCCAGACCTGGATAAAGAGATCACATTCTGTGACTAGCAACTTAATCGCTTAGGAAAATTATGTTGCCCTGCCTAATTACAGCTCTGCTGGAACTCAGTTTCTAGAAAGTGTTGAGATTTCCTCCAATTTCACTGAGCAAGTGCTCTAATGATTGCAGTAGATACACAGAATAATATTAGAAAAGCTCTTTATTTAGAGGAGTTTCCATGAATCAAATCAAAACAAAACAAAGTCCACCATTTTGAAGCATTTACTATACATATATGGTGACTGCATATGTAATATGTTTCTAGTTCATACTGCTGAATGTCTTAAGAAGTCACTATTCCAGCCAACAGCAGGAAGAAAGACTTTAAAAAAATAAAATAAATAAAACCCTTAAAGAACCTAAGAAACAAGGAATCCAATGTCACAGGAATACAGCTTTAGGACAAAAAAAAAAATGTCTTAAAGAGAAACTTGGGCCTGAACTCTACATTTTGTATGTGTTAACTGAATCCATGCTAATAAATTCAAGTGAGTTGGGCCTTCCTAAAACTAACATAATTAAAATATAACTGAAAACTCAGAAAACCTGTAGAGGACTATCTTAGTCCACTTGAGTTGCTATAACAAAATACCTTAGACTGGATATAAGGTTAACTTATAAACAACAGAGATTTATTGCTCACAGTTCTGGAGACTGGCAAGTCCAAGATCAAGGTGCCAGCAGATTTGATATCTGGTGAAGGCCTGTTCCTCACGGATGGCACCTTCTTGCTGTGCCCTCATGTGGCAGAGGGGGCAAACAAGCTCCCTTGGGCCTCTTTCATAAGGGCACAAATCCCATTCATGAGGCCTGAGCCTTCATGACCTAATCACTCCCAAAGGCTCCACCTCCTAACATGATCACACTGGGGATTAAGTTTCAACATATGAATTTTGGTGGGGACACAAACATTCAAACATTCAAACCATAGCAAGGAAGGACATAGGACATATGTGTGGGCTCCAATCAGGGGAGTTAAGAAATCGTATAGTATTATGAATAGACATTGAACTATTATTCTTCCACCCAGGAATGCAAACATAAGATGACATATGGATAAAAGTTAGCGAACACTCATCGCTGTCATCCAAAACAAAAGTATCAAAACCAAATACTCCTCACAACTGGGAGACCCATCTCAAAGCACAAAGAAATTCAACCCAACTTAGGTAGCTATAACTGGCAGAGGAAGCAGCTGCTACTAAAGTTTCAACTTTCTTAATAGCTCATGTCAGCAGCAACACAAAAGGTACAGTGATTTTTTAAATGCTTGGACAAGACTCTATTAAGCAACTACGTATAGTGTAATGGGAAAATTGAGTTAAATTTGTGCATCACAGAATACAATGGCAATAGAAGAAAGCCACTTCCCACCTTCTTATTAATTTAGCAAAGAAGAATGTGTCATCAGCCTCCAGACTGGTCAGTATATAAGCAGCAGGCAGTATTTTTTGTTTACCTTCCTGTCTTTCTGAATGATCACCCAAACATCCATTTACAGTGTTCCTAATATTATTTGCTAATATCATGTCTATTTATGGTCACCAACCACATGTTGGGATAGAATTGGTACAAAATACCATGTGTTTCATGTGTCAGAACTCATCTACCAGTTGAAACTGTTGCAGGGGAGATAGAAAAATGGAAGATGGGAAAAATCACAACATTTACAAAGACAGCTCAGCTTACGATTATTCACCTTCTACCCTATCAAATCTAACTAATGCCAGGCTGTGGTTTGACAATCTTTTAAAGAGAGCTGACTCTACATCTCAAGCAGTGATGCTAATTTTCTGTTTAGCTATGTATCTCCGTGTTCTAGCAAAATGACCTATCATATTCCATACATAGTAAAAGCATGTGTATAAGTGGGTGACCCTGTGGGTAGCCAATTTTGAATTTACAGTTGGCCCTCCATATGATGGGTTCTGCATCTGCCATTGGTTTAATTCAACCAACCGCAAATCTAAAATATTTAGGGAAAAAAATAAAAAATAATAATACAATAATAAAGGCCGGGTGTGGTAGCTCATGCCTGTAAATCCAGCACTTTGGGAGGCCAAGGTGGGTCCGGATTTTGAGACCAACCTGGCCAACATGGTAAGACCCATCTCTACTAAAAATACAAAAATTAGCCAGGAATGGTGGTGCAGTCCTGTAATCCCAGCTCCTGGGGAGGCTGAGAGAGGAGAATCACTTGAACCCAGGAGGTGAACATTGCAGTGAGCCGAGATTGTGCCACTGCACTCCAGCCTGGGCAACAGAGCAAGACTCCATCTCAATAATAATAATAATACAAATAAAAAGATATAGTATAACAACGGTTTACATAGCATTTACATTGTATTAGGTATTATAAGCAATCTAGAGATGATTTACAGTATATGGGAGAAAGTACATAGGTTATGTGCAAATACGACACCATTTTATGTCAGGGACTTGAGCATCCCTGGATTTGGATATCTACAATAGTCCTGGAACCAATACCCCATGGATACCAAGGGACAGCAGTATACATACTCAACTTAGTTTAAGAAAACATATGAATATTCTGATTTACAAAGCAGATAAAATTGAGGGTACTCATTTACCTTACATAATAAAAAGGCCATTTGCTATAGTCTTTTCCCACCTAAAGGGGAAGGGAGAAACTTAACAGCAAAGCTGTTTGTAGGGTTATTTTTCCTAACAGTGGTACAAACTGCCTGTCCCACGGAATTACCATGAGGCCACATTCCTTATCTCTATGTATTACTCTATTACTCTAAAACCTCTCGCATTTAGGGAAAATTAGAAGGCCAGGAAAGTGAATCAAGACTGATCAAATAAAAGCTCAACCTAAATTCTTTCAGAAACATTCCAAAAACTAAGAAGGAAGAGAAATAAAATATATTCCCTAATACAGTTCTCAGCTATCATGTAAACCCTTTTACCAAATTGAGAGTAGAAAACAGATAACAGGAAAAGGGAGGGGTGAATAAGCAGTTGAACTCTATCCCAGTGCTTCATCCCTAATGACCTGCTGTGTCCCCAAACCAGAAAATGACATCAGAGACATGAGCACAACATGGCCACATGAGTCCTGATGAAGACCAGGCTTTGAAGAATGAAATGTAAGGAAGACATGGGGTGACAGAGGAGAGTCCTCCTATAATCCCATGAATGACTGTGCCCTGCCTACCTAACTCCTAGATTTTTATTTTTATTTATTTTATTTATTTATTTAGACAGTGATCTCACTCTGTCACCCAGGCTGGAGTACAATGGCAGCAACATAGCTCACTGCAGCCTGGAATTCCTGGGCTCAAGTGATACTCCCGTCTCAGCCTCCCATGTAGCTAGGACTACAAGTATGCACCACTACATCTGGCTTTTTTTTTTTTTTTTTTTTTTTTTAGAGATGGGGTATCGCTGTGTTGCCCAGGCTGGTCTTGAACTCCTGACCTCAAGCAAATCATCCTGCCTCAGCCTCCCAAAGCACTGGGATTACAGGCATGAGCCACCTCACCCAGCCCCATAACCCCTGGATTCTTAAATCATTCTGCCCAGCCATCCCTACAATGGGACCTTGAATTCCCAGGTCCCTGATGCTGCCAACCATCTCGCTTACACTCAACAGTCTTCCCAACCCCCTATGCAATCTTTTCCCATTGTAGCCACCTTACCCTGTGTTGCTGCTAGATTTATCTTCCTGACACACATTTTCTACACTTAAAACACCTACAGTCATTCCCCAGGATCAGTCACTACTCGGAGTGACGTTCATGCATTCCCTCATTTCATCCTCACTATAACACTATGAGGTACGTACAATATTATTGTTCTTTCCATTTTAGAGATGAGGAAACTGAGGTACAGCATGGTTGGCAACTTATCCAAGATGACACAGCAAGGAAGCAGCAGAGCCAGAATTGGAACCCAGGTGACCCAACTTCAAGCCCAATATTCACACTCCCCATGTTCTAATGTCAACAAAATAAAATCCAAACATTCGAGCCTGGCAACCAGGTATCTCTGTATCTTTCCAGTCTCGTTTCTCTTTCTTCCCCTTTGTTCCTTCCTTACTACCTAGGGTGATGCTGTCCATGTGGTTAATATGGGTTGACTGAATGAATGTCCAGGCTAATGAACGAGCAGTCAGTTTTTATTTCATTCAAGCATGGTCCTTATTTGCAATGTCATAGAAAAAAATTGTTTCAGCTTCTGCTCAGGAAGTCTCATCTCTGAACATGACGCCAGGCAGCAAAGAGATCGCACGAGAACTTATTAGGTTAATTATTCATCTGCTCACTGTCAGTAAGGGCTTCCAAGCAAGGCAGCGCTAACAGATCTGCATCCCAGATGTGTAACAAGTCACATTGGGTGGGGTAGCTGGGCATAGGTTGCTGAAATATGGCTTCCCAGTCCAGGAAACAGATTCCTTACAATGTACCCTTTTGTTCCCTGAAAGAAAATTTAGCAACCCTGTCATAGGGAAATCACATTGACAGAAGTCCTGGGTACTTAGAGAGCAAAACCAATTCTTCTATATAAATTAGGCTTTGTCCAGTGGCAAGAAGTGGGATAAAATCAAAACCCAAACTTAATTTGTATCGTGCATGAGAGGACACAAACCATTTACACAAAACTTCTCACATAATTCCCATAGCAATGGACTGAGGCCATATTATTCCCATTTGGCTGATGAGGAAACTGAGGTTTAAAGATGATGGGAACACCCAAAACCACACAATGGAGGCAAGACAAGAACCCAAGGCTCTCTCCAAATCAGGCCCAAGGGTCCCAGCTGTGAAGAGTGGTCACTTTCTACAGTCTCTTCCCCACACATACAGACTCTGTCATGATAGAGGAAAGTTCTGCTCAGTTCAGACCAAGAGTCCAAACTAGGCTGGCTGAGGAATGGAGGAGCCCAAGGTGAAGCGGGAAATGGCTGGGGACAGGGCTCCCCGTTGGACTTAAAGACACTCACTCCAACAAGTGTGTGCAGCAACTAATCACTAGGGACACGGCCTCCCTCCTCATCATTCCCCTTCCCACCTCCACCCTCCATCCCAAAAAACTACCCAAGCAGCACAGAAGCAGAGAAAAAGAAAGTAGCAATATCCACACTTGTCCCTCCTGGCTGCCTGCCTACTGCTGCTGCAGGGACAGAGTGCAAAACGCAATTATCTTTAACCTGGTTCGCTTTATGTGTCAAATTGGAGAGGGGTTCTGGATAAGATTAAATTTAAATGAATGAACTTTGGGTGAAACAGGTTGCCCTTTATAAGGTCGGTGAGACTCATCCAATCAGTTAAAAACCTGAATAGAAAAAAAAAGACTGGCCATCCCAAGCAAGACGGACTTCTCCAGCAGACTGCCTTGGGAGTGGAACAGCATCATCAGCTCTCTGGGGACTAGAGCCTGCTGGCCCACACTACAGATTTGAGATTTCCTAGCCTCCATGATCATGTAAGCCAGTTCCTTACAATTAAAAAAATTATATATATATATTCCTTATAGTTCCTCCGTGATCATGTAAGTTGATTCCTTATAATTTAAATACATACTTATATATATTATACATATATGTATATGTGTGTGTGTGTGTGTGTGTGTGTATATATATATATAAAGAGAGAGATTGAGAGAGAGAGGAGAAAGACATAGAGACATAGATATAGCTCCTATTGGTTCTGTATCTGTGGAGAACTCTGTCTAATGCAGGGACCAACTTGCTATGGAGGACTGCTGTGGGAACTAATCCTTGCTGCAAACATAGGAGGCTCTCTGGGGAGACGAGGGGGAGGAAGTCAAAGCAGGGGTAGCATGCGGTGTCCATGTGGCAGGAGATACTGAAGTATGTGTAGTTCAGGAAGTGGTGATGGTGGGGGTGCTGGAATTGAGTAAAAGTTTTGTTTAGGGAGAACTAATAGTTTTAGCTATGCATGAAGAAAGACTCTTGAAAATTCTGTAATATATAAGAAAAGTGTGGTATACAGCTGATCTTGGTTATGAAAATCCCACTAGCTGGCCGAGTGAGGTGGCTCATACCTGTAATCCCACACTTTGAAGGCTGAGATGGGAAGATGGCTTGAGGCCAGGAGTTTGTGACCAGCCTGGGAAACACAGTGAGACCCCATCTCTACAAAAAAAATACAGTAATTAGCTGAGCATGGTGGTGCACACCTGAAGACCCAACTACTTGAGAGGCTGAGGCTGGAGGATCGCTTGAGCCCAGGAATTCCAGGCCAGAGCAAGCTATGATTGTGCCACTGCACTCCAGCCTGGGCAACAGAGTGAGACCTTGTCTCAAAAAATGTACAGAAATAAAAAAAGAAATTTTTAAAAGAAAATCCCACTAGAAAACACATTTGACAAGTAATTTTTATCAAGTCACTAAACCTTCTTGAAATAGGGCAAGATCGGTATTATTAAAGAGGAAGAGCTTCCCAGTTTTGCTCTACATGTGGGAGAATGTGGTGGCCACCAACATACTTTTATTCAAACAGTACACTGGGAAGCAAAAAGTTTTTGTAACACAGACAAGAAAATACACAACATCTTATTTATTTTAGAGATGTAATTTCAGCAAACACACTCAATAAAACACATAATCTCCTCATCAGCTGCACTAAAGTTTATTTTTAAACAGAAATTCAAAATATTTAAGCCATAATCCTATCACAGCTGCAGGAGGATCGTCAATGTAGAGTTATAGGTTTACATTCACTCTCACCAAAATGTCTTTCATTACAGCATTTATTTTGAGAATATTTATCATGTTGATAATTAAAGCAAAAAAGTCCATCTACATTTTACTTTCATTATCAAAGTAGTTTTCAAAGAAGCGTCTAGGTTTAAAATACATAAGACAGTTATTAAGATTAAAATTTAAAAGCATGTAATGAAAATCTTAACATGGAAAGTGAAAGGCTAATAGAAGAGTGCTGACTTATTCCAGAAATCATAATCTACTCATGAAATTCTTTGTGGTGGCATAATTTTAAAATTGCATTAGACAATGACAGTCTTATCAGGCAGGGTGTTTTCAACTGCAAATAACAGAATAGCCAACTAAAATTTGCTTAAGCAATTTGGACATTTGATTTATCTCTCTTAACAAAATCTCTAGAGGTAGGTGGTCCTAGGCTCAGTAGGTCAGTGACCAGGTAGTTCAGTGGCTTGGTGATGTCATCGTAGGTCCAGGCTCTGACCATCTTCTCGCTCTGCCAGCCTTGGTTGTTGGCAGCCATCTCCTTGTGATTGCAAGATAGCTGCAGTAACAACACATCATCACACAAGGATGTCCAAAGCAGGAAAGCTGGGGCCAGGGAGAGGTAATGGGTACATATCTCCCTGCACCTGTTTCTTATAAGGGAGGAATATCTTTCCCAGAAGACCCCAGTTGACTTCCATGAAGTCTCATAGACCAGAACAAAGGCACACGCTCACTTCCAACCAACTTGTGGCAAATGGGAATAGGACTGCCACTAGCAGAGAAGCCTTCATTCATTCATCCCGAGGCTGGCCACACCGCAGCTGAATGCCTGAATAAAACTGTGGTCTGTTAGCAAGGAAGAAAGTGTGATGGGCAGTTAAGAGTGCCTCCCAAATGTAGGTGAGGAATAATAGTTTATATTGTTGAGCACATCTAGTACCAGGCACCTTACTATACACCTTATGTGCATTCTCTCATTTAATTCTCACTAGCTAGAGGCCATTATTATCTCTATTTCTCAGATGAGGAAACTGAGGCACAGAGTAGTGATACAGTTTCTCCAAGGTCTACACCCAGATAAGTGGTAGAAATAGGATTTAAATCCAGACAGTCTGACCCCAGAGCCAGCTAAGAATTTACATGGGTAACTGCAAAAATGTAGAAGCAGAAAAGACAGGTGACAAAGGCTACAGAATTCATTTTGGGTGGTAAGTTAGTTAAAGGATGGTAAGTTAGTTAAAGGAGAAGAGTTGTAAAGCCCTTCAAATTTCAGATGAAACACATCTCTCTTCACCCATCTTCACTGCATTATGCTAAGAAAGAAGAAAAACTCTTGTTAACAAGCTTTATACTTTTTCTTTTAAAATGTATTTTATTTATTAACAATATATTTTTAAATGTTTTTTAAATTCACATATATTGCTAAAACCATAACAAAGATGTTTATTTCTTGATAGGTCTTTTATGTATTTTATTATAATACACGTATTTACATTTTACTATGCTTTTTTCCAAACCTTTTTATTGGTTTACACTGTCTTTCTGAATATGTTTCTGAGTAGCTTAAAAACATTCCATATTTTGTCTGTTGTTGTCTATCCAAATTCTTTCTCATTTATCATCATCGAAATAACAGCACAATAAATATCTTTGTTCTTACAGCTTTTTTTTCCTTTAGAATAAATTCCAGGGAGTGGGTTACTAGGTCAAAGAGTCTGGACAATTGTGTGACTTCTTACATCCACTGCTAATGTGTTCTCCAAAAGAACTGAACTAATTAACATTGCTGCCAGAAATGTAAGAATATACTCGTTTTCTGATATCACATCAGCTTTGTTTTATTTATATTTATATTAGTTTAATAGCCATAAAATGGTTTCTCATTATTTTCTTCCTTCCATTTCTTTGATTTGGAGTGGAGTGTTTTTCTATAGGCATGCTTGCAAGTATTTCCTCCTTTGAAAAATCTGTTCTTACTCTTTGCCCATTAATCTTTCTGGATCTTGGTGCTGTTGTGATTCACATATTTCAAAACAAAGTTGGCTTAATTTTATTTCTGCAAACTGAATGCAGACTGAATGACTGGTTCGTCTAGACTTACACTTGGGCGGACCCAAATTCCAGCTTGTTTCCTCAACCTCCTAAATTTCAACAACTGAGGCATAAATGTCAATCTTAGCTATAAAAATATGAAAACGAAGGTTTCCACTACTTATTTTTTTTCTTCAAAAGACATACTAGGACTGCTATATTTGAAAATTCTAAGAGTAATATTAACGTTTATGCATCAGTCCTTGTTTTCATAAGCAACTACACTCTCTAAATGAAGAATTATTCTTTCAGTATGGGAACAATAGCCATGATAAAATATCTTTTGTGTCTTTATCCTAAAATTGCTAAGTACAAAATCAGAGGGGGAATAAAGCAGTATCTTCAGATTTTGTTTTGCTTAAATAGGAAAAAAACTCCTTAAAATAACACATACACTAAAACTATTTAATCTTTCAGCAAAAAAAAGAACAGGCATTGGTATACAAACACTTTTGGACTCCACCACTCTGCCTGTTATCTATTTCTGTTACCTAAATATTTTTTCCCAAACCAGAATCCCTAAGAGAAACTTAAAATACAGATTCCTGCTCCCCGCTACCCGCCCCGCCCCGCCCCGCCAAAGGTCTAACAAATCAAAATCCTTAGGGTTGCATCCTGAATATATATATATGTAATTTTTTTTTTCTTTTTTTAGACGGAGTCGGAGTCTCTGTCGCCCAGGCTGGAGCGCAGTAGCGCGATCTCGGCTCACTGCAAGCTCCGCCTCCCGGGTTCACGCCACTCTCCTGCCTCAGCCTCCCGAGTAGCTGGGACTACAGGCGCCCGCCACCACGCCCGGCTAATTTTTTGCGTTTTTAGTAGAGACGGGGTTTCACCGTGTATAACCAGGATAGTCTTGATCTCCTGACCTCATGATCCGCCCACCTCAGCCTGTCTCACGCCAGGCATAAGCCACTATATTTTTTAAATATTCCCCCAAGTGTTCAAATATTTTAGCTGCAAAATTCTCTTTTTAAACTAAATCTTTATAAGAACCATAAGACTAATATTTATATTGATTTTTAAATGCTGCTAGGCAAAAGACCTGTATTTACTCTTGCAGTGCTTTGAAAAGAGTTTCTGAAAGATAATTTACACCCTTAATTAATCCTTTACCTAAAAAAGAGTAGAGGCCAGAAACAAATATTTTTGACTTTTTATAGTACCTGACTGCTTTAAAAGCTCTTTGTAAGCTGACCGTAGGCACAGATCACGTGGCATCCACTATCAATACTCATAAGTCTAATTTATCCTCAGGATGTTCCCTGAAGTATTCAGGAATTCTTAGTCCTATTACAAAGATTTTGTTGCTGTGATAGTGGTTTTGTTTGTTTATTCAGAAAAATAAAAGTCAAAAAAACAGCTCCTGTATAACGATGGTACAACCATGAGTAATTTTATTTTTTCAAGCTTTTCTTTAACGTCTTGAGGAAATGATTTTTATACTTCAGGGAAAATTAAAAGGGGGTCATTAAAAAACCTGGTGGCATTCCCAATTTATCTACTGATGGCTTTTGAATTCTTCTCACTGTCAGTTAGGAGACTGACATTATCTCAGTCATTAAGATTATTAGAATCTTATTCTAGGATATCAATAAACATAGTGGATAGTTTATTAATGTATTCAATAATGTCAATGTCCACATTATCCTACTGCTATATATTATCTACACACACACGTACATATTCCACATACGTCAATAAAAATAGTAGGTGGTTTAATAATGTCTTCAATAATGTTGATTTCTGCATTATTCTACTAATATGAATTATGCTATATATATTTATTGCATATATATGTAGAATATACATATAAAAAGAAACCTGTAAGAACTTGAGACCAGAAAGATATTAATGTAGACATCTCCATATGTCAATTCTTTCCTAACTCTCCAAGATATTCCCATGTAGGTGTTTAAATCACAGAAAAGTACTTCTGCTGGAATCTCACCTAGGTAAAGAGAAAGCTCTGCAGTTAGTTTTGTCTTCTTTCTGTGGCCCAGAAAAACAAAGTCATACTATGTGAAGTGGGCTATGAGGAGATACAGACAGGCGACTCTATGTGGGCTGCAAGTGAAAGAGTTAACTATTTACAAGCCCACTGATGCCTCCAACACTGGCTAAATCTCATTATTCTGCCTTATTCCAGAAACACACTCATAATCCGCACAGGGTTCTTGAAAGATTACACTAACGTTTCTTAGCCCAGCCACCCACAATGGGAGTATTCTGTACACAATTCTGTAATACACAAGCAGTGAATCTTCTGGCCTCACGTAACTAAAACAAGAAAAATACTCAATAACTCAACATGGTATCATGCTAAACTTCCAACTCCAAGACGAGGCACGGTGGCTCACGCCTATAATCCCAGCACTTTGGGAGGCCAAGGCGGGCAGATCACCTGAGGTCAGGAGTTTGAGA
Source organism: Homo sapiens (assembly GCF_000001405.40). NCBI lineage: Eukaryota > Metazoa > Chordata > Mammalia > Primates > Hominidae > Homo > Homo sapiens. The sequence continues at coordinate 197,254,195 of NC_000002.12, forward strand.
CCAGCCCGACCAACATGGCGAAACCCTATCTCTACTAAAAATACAAAAATTAGCCGGGCGTGGCGGTGGGTGCCTGTAATCCCAGCTGCTCGGGAGGCTGAGGCAGGAGAACCTGGGAGGCGGAGGCTGCAGTGAGCTGAGAAAGCGCCACTACACTCCAGCCTGAGCAATAGAGCAAGGCTCCATCTTAAAAAACAACAACAACAAAAAAAACTTCCAACTCCAGCCTGTAATTGGCCAGAAATGTCAGTACTTTCTGAACTATCCTACCAAAGTGTCCTAACAGCGGAGGAGCATCTCTTAAATACAAAATTAATTATTCTCCCTTATGGTTATCTTTAAAATTCTTGCAAATGTTCTACCTTAGTGTGTGTGTATATGTGTATAGACACACATACATGCATACACACACACACACACACACACACACACACACATATATATATTTGCTTTAATATTAAAATCATGTTTCCTCTAAAAGTAGGGGGGAAATTGATACTGTAGGAGTATGTTCCACCTTACTGTGTGTGTATATGTGTGTATAGACACACATACATACACACACACACACATATATATATATTTGCTTTAACATCAAAATCATGTTTCTTCTAAAACTAAAGGGGAAATTGATACTCTAGGCGTATGTACTAGTTGTACTGTGGCACTTCATCATGTCCCCAGAGGGGTGCACACCTATCAGATTAACTGCCTTTTCCAAAATGCTCTCCTTCCATCCGTGAAACACATCTACAAATCAAGTTCCTAAGAGTTATTTGTCCAAGGTGCTGCCCTGAGGCCCAAGGCAATAGTTAACTGAACCAGAGAAGTATTCAGCTCAGGGCAGCCAAGGAGATTCCCTGTCCAGAGAATGTGAGAAGGAGATGAAGAGTGAGGGTCAGTCTCTCTTTGGCTGAACCTGTAGCCATATGTTCCACAACTATGGTCCAAGAAGTTGGAAAGGCGGTCTTTAGAAAAGGAAGGAATGAAGAAGACACTCAGAGAGAAGCAGACACCAGAGGTAGGATGGGAATGCTGCCTGTTCCTCACAGAGCCCTGTCTATGGGGTTACGCTTCCTGGGGCTGGGCTCCCATCATTTGGAAGCTCAGCTTCCTGAGTAGTCACCTCAGCATACACAGAACACTCATGTGAGAAACACAAGCTAAGTGACAAAAAAAGGCAGGCACAATAGAGCAGCCTGGGGCCTTATTCACCAAGAGATAAATCACTTGCTGTGGGCACACCCCAACTCTGAAAGAAAAACCAAATTAACAACCGTGCAAGCTCCTATTTGGATATAAGCTAGGTATCCCTTCTTTTCTAGCAAGAAGGAATAAACCTAACATGACTTGCATTAAACATCATAGTTTTGGAATTGAGAATCTGTAAATTGTAAGTTATGGCCCCAAAACAAAAGAAGAACTACAGGCCTGCCTGTGAACTTCCTTTTTTCTAGGCTGTTACATGCTTTGCTGTTGCCACTGACAGTGTGGTAAGAGGCGGCCCCCTGGGTTTCCCCAGCCAGGCTGCCCCATCGAAGGCAGCTACACAGCGGCCAGGACAAGCCAGCCAGAGCCAGTAGGGCTGGAGCCCTGACAAAGGCAACGACGCTCCTGGAGTCAGATAATGAAAGCCAGAGCAGGAAGGACCCTGCGCTTCATGTAAGACGTTCACCAAATAAAGAAATGTTTAATCACGCATCTGTGCTGTACATTGCAGGAGCCTTTGAAAAGCGTAATGCCTGGGTGCAGTTTAAAAATAAGGAATCTTAATCTATCTGGTCTAACTTTAGAAAATTGTTTGGAGGGGATTCTTAAGATACTCTGAATTTATACTTTCTTAACAGGGGCTGTCTTTTGTATATGTGGTTTGTGAGAAAATGTGTGATTGATCTGTAATTTGAGCCTCTTTTCAAAGCTTATAGTATCATTGGATTCAAACCATTTTCATTTAATGCTCTAGATGGCAGAACACTAAGACCTAAGCAATTAAAAAGGGAAAGATTTCAGATAATGAACTAGTTTCTAGTGACTGTCCAACAGTGGACCAGGCTCATTTCTAAATCACTAGGTGTCTAAACTTGACAACAGTTAAAACTAGATCCCTAACTGTCAGGAGCATGAGTACAAAAGATTCCTGCTGTTCTATGATGTGTTTCTGACTATGTGTCTTTGAAAGGCCTTTCAACTTTAATGCTCCAAAATTTAGATGTTCTCCATATACCAACGGCTTTATAAAAAGTAAATGTAAGCACACAGAGCCAAAAGACAACTTGAACACAAGTTATCTACATCAAAGTAACAAAACCAAAGTGCATTTGTCTTTACACCAGGAAATAAATCAAATTGAGACAGATGAACAGGAAAAAAAATATGTCATGAACCTGAAGTTAAACATCTACTTTTCAGGCTTGAATTTTTAAAAAATACACTTCTAAGATTCTTTCCCAAGAAGGCTTCATGTATATACAAATACATTAATCCCCCTTAGAATAGATTTAAAACAAAGGCCTTGGTGTTTCAGAAAATGGCATACAAAAGGGGAGGATGTAAGGCCCTGTGTATAAACAAGTCAAGAGGCTCGTATCCTAAGCTAATCGCTCCTGTGCAATGGGAGGCAGCCACATCACCCTAGTCCAGGACTTCCATGTACTCCCAGTAAATTGTAAACTGTCCTGTAAGGGGGCTTCAGCCTTCTCATAGATCACAGATCAAAGACCAAGTCTATAAAGAGAGAGGAAGAAGAAAAAAACTGTATTCATGCTTTGGGTGCCTCAGGAGGTACAGAAAAGAGAGAAGTCAGTTGATGTCTCCAAACCTCTACAAGCAGCTCATCTTCAAAAAAAAAATGGAAGAATAGGTGAAAACACCAATCCAATCCCCAAGAAGAAAGCACTCTCCTTGCACAGGTTTAGTGTTTAAAATTTCAGGTGCCTGAGCTTAAGCAGATTCCAGGACTCTCTTGGAGGTGGCAGCTATCACTGTGTAGGATTTCTTTATAGTAAAGGTGATTAGCTCTCTTTCAGATCATTTTGCAAAGGAAGTCAGTTGGACAAATGTGAGTACCATGTAGACCCACCTGGGAAAGCTAAATATTTACCAGTTCAGTTTGGTATGACAGTAGTTTTTAAGAGGTATTCTTTAAAAAACAAATTAAAAGCACACAGAAACACAGAAGTTTTTTTTTTTTTTACTTGATTAAAAGAATCAACAGGCAGTAACAGTCAGCTTTTTAGTGATTATTATAAAACTTCGGGGAAAAAAACAATCATGACTTTCTTCAGTTCCTTTTTCTTTTATTTAGTATCTTAAAACAATTCAATATTTTTGGACAAATTTTTTATTGTGTAAAGTATACATAAAATTTACCATTTTATAACTAAAAGAGTATAATTGGATTATTTGTAACACAAAGGATAAATGCTTGAGGGGATGGATGCCCCATTCTCCATGATGTACTTATTTCACATTGCATGCATGTATCAAAACATTTCATGTACCCCACAAATATATACACCTACTATGTACCCACAAAAAGTAAAAATTTTTTAATTTACCATTTTAACCATCTTTAAGTGTACAGTTCACTGGGATTAAGTACATTCACATTATTATACAACCATTACCATCATTCATCTCCAGAAATTTTTCCCTAGCCCATACTGAAACTCCGTGCCAATTAAACAATAACTTCCCATTGCCTCCCCCCTTTATCCCTGGTAACCACTATTCTACTTCCTGTCTCTCTGAATTTGACTACTCTAGGTACCTTATATAAATGAAAATCATACAATAGTTGTTCTTGCATCTGGCTTATTTCACTTAGCATAATATCTTCAAGTTCAGCTATGTTGCAGCATGTGTCAGAATTCCCTTCCTTTTTATTTTTTCTTTTTATTTATTTATTTATTCATTTATTTATTTTTGAGATGGAGTCTTGCTCTGTCACCCAGGCTGGAGTACAGTGGTGTGATCTTGGCTTCCTGCAACCACTGCCCCAGGTTCAAGCAGTTCTCTTGCCTCAGCCTCCCAAGTAGCTGTGATTACAGGCATGTGCCGCCACACTTGGCTAATCCTTTTTTTTTTTTTTTTTTTTTTTTTGTATTTTTAGTAGAGACAGGTTTCACCATGCTGGCCAGGCTGGTCTCGAACTCCTGACCTCAAGTGATCCACCCACCTTGGCCTCCTGAAGTGCTGGGATTACTTTGGGAATTCTTTACTAGGCCAGAATTTCCTTCCTTTTTAAGGCTGAATAATATTCACATATATCACATTTTGTTTATCAATTCATACGTCATTGGACGTTTGAGTTGTTTCCATCTTTTGGTTATTGTGGATAATGCTGCTATGAACATGAATGTACTAATATCTGTTCACCTCTCTGCTTTCAATTCTTTTGGATATATACCCAGACGTAGGATTGCTAGATCAAATGGTATTTCTATATATAACTTTTTGAGAAACCACCACACGGTTTTTCATGGCAGCTGCACCATTTTACATTCCCAACAGCAAAGCACAAGGTCTTCAATTTCCCCACATCCTCACCAAGATTTGCTATTTCTGGTTTTCAGATAGTCACACTGATGAGTATGAAGTGGTATCTCATTTGTGGTTTTGACTGGCATTTCCCTAATGATCAGTGATTGCTCCATTTTCTTCTAAATGGTGTTGCAAAATGTGTCTTCTTGTTTTGTTTCAGTATCTCTTTCTGTAGGATAGAAATGTAATGCTTGCTCTGAGTAGATATTCATGAAGTGCTCTGGGAGTTCTGAAGAACTTCCAACACACTAAAACTAAGAAGCCAGGGATTCCGTTATTCAGGTCTCAACCACCTACCAAATCTTGCAGCCTAGACAGAAAGACATTGCCAAGTTTCCTTCTAGGCTCTTAAAGACTAGGTAAAGCAGCCTTAAGCACAGTCCTCCTACAAAGGCAATAATGTAAGTTTTTATTGTCTAGGAAGATTAATGAACTGGGTGAGTAAACATGAAAAGCAGGATGGTCCCAGGACTCTAGACCCAGGGATGCAAATTTGGGCCATTGAGTCCAGCATTGCAGCTCCTACCAGAGGCCTCCCCTGAGTAGCTCCTGCTTACTTATATACATCTGTGTCCCCCTCCCAGAGCTAAACACTAAGAACACAACATAGCAACAGACTCAACCTTAAGAATAACTTTGTAAACCTAAGAAACAAAAACAAAGTTACTTGGAAGATATGGGAGTTAAAAATCCAGTTTTGAGACAGGTCCTTGTTAAATTCCCCCGATCTAGGTTCCTCTTGTCTAGCCCACCATGATTTCCCAGACTTCTGCAGATAATCTCTTTCCCTTCTGCATCTAAGCTGATCCAACACTCCTTAGGCTGCCTGAGAAAACTTCACTTTCAAATCTTTTCTCCTTTTTGTTAAACTGTCGTCCTCCAACTCATAGTCATTAATTCAACAGCCAACAAGCATATGCCGCAGACTCCAACGTGCCAGGTGCTGAGCTTGGCACTAGAGACACCATGATGAATAAGACCAGGCCCCAGCAGGAAGGACTTGCTGTAGAGGGAGCCTGCCTTCTCTAGGTTCTTACTTTATCTAAAATGCTAATGTATCTCCTGGGGCATATAACCACCTTTTGGTCATCTATAGAGTCACTTGCTATAACTCATTGAAAAGAATATGGTTGAGGAGTTTCACATTTGTGTGGGATTCCCATGAGTGTGACTGTTAATTTGAGGGGGGAAAAAAAAAGAAAGAAAGAAAAGAATGTGGTCCAATAAAGAACACAGGCTATACTATCTTATATGACCTTGAGCAAAATCACTCATCAGTGGCCTTGCCTGAAAAACGGTAAGACTACTTTTCCTAGAAACAGAGACCTAAACCAAACAATATTTTTAAAATTTTATTATTATTATACTTTAAGTTTTAGGGTACATGTGCACAACGTGCAGGTTTGTTACATATGTATACGTGTGCCATGTTGGTGTGCTGCACCCATTAACTCGTCATTTAGCATTAGGTATATCTCCTAATGCTATCCTCCCCACTCCCCCCACTCCACAACAGTCCCCGGTGTGTGATGTTCCCCTTCCTGTGTCCATGTGTTCTCATTGTTCAATTCCCACCTATGAGTGAGAACATGTGGTGTTTGGTTTTTTGTCCTTGTGATATTTTGCTGAGAAGGATGGTTTCCAGTTTCATCCATGTCCCTACAAAGGACATGAATCATCATTTTTTATGGCTGCATAGTATTCCATGGTGTATATGTGCCACATTTTCTGAATCCAGTCTATCGTTGTTGGACATTTAGGTTGGTTCCAAGTCTTTGCTATTGTGAATAGTGCCGCTATAAACATACGTGTGCATGTGTCTTTATAGCAGCATGATTTATAATCCTTTGGGTATATGCCCAGTAATGGGATGGCTGGGTGAAATGGTATTTCTAGTTCTAGATCCCTGAGGAATCTCCACACTGACTTCCACAACGGTTGAACTAGTTTACAGTCCCACCAACAATGTAAAAGTGTTCCTATTTCTCCACATCCTCTCCAGCACCTACTGTTTCCTGACTTTTTAATGATCGCCATTTTAACTGGTGTGAGATGGTATCTCATTGTGGTTTTGATTTGCATTTCTCTGATGGCCAGTGATGATGAGCATTTTTTCATGTGTTTTTTGGCTGCATAAATGTCTGAGAAGTGTCTGTTCATGTCCTTTGCCCACTTTTTGATGGGGTTGTTTGTTTTTTTCTTGTAAATTTGTTTGAGTTCATTGTAGATTCTGGATATTAGCCCTTTGTCAGATCAGTAGGTTGCAAAAATTTTCTCCCATTCTGTAGGTTGCCTGTTCACTCTGATGGTAGTTTCTTTTGCTGTGCAGAAGCTCTTTAGTTTAATTAGATTCCATTTGTCAACTTTGGCTTTTGTTGCCATTGCTTTTGGTGTTTTAGACATGAAGTCCTTGCCCATGCCTATGTCCTGAATGGTATTGCCTAGGTTTTCTTCTAGGGTTTTTATGGTTTTAGGTCTAACATTTAAGTCTTTAATCCATCTTGAATTAATTTTTGTATAAGGTGTAAGGAAGGGATCCAGTTTCAGCTTTCTACATATGGCTAGCCAGTTTTCCCAGCACCATTTATTAAACAGGGAATCCTTTCCCCATTGCTTGTTTTTGTCAGGTTTGTCAAAGACCAGATAGTTGTAGATATGTGGAATTATTTCTGAGGGCTCTGTTCTGTTCCATTGGTCTATATATCTGTTTTGGTACCAGTACCATGCTGTAACCAAACAATTTTTAAAGGGAAGTTCATCAAATGCTTTTTTGCCAACCAAAAAAAAAAAAAGAAGTAAAAAAGATAGACAATCTTTTCTTAAAAAAAAAAAATGTTTCTTTTCTAATTGTTTTCTTTTCTAAAAACATAAGTCTATATGCCAAAGATAAAGCTTTGATGACTGTACACACCCTGTCTTCTTCCATAGTAGCTGTTATTACTGCTGAGCCTTCTGAAAAGTGTTTAAGGAGTGATAACAAGGGACCCTAGAGAATCTGAGACTTTTCGTTGCTAAACAAAAAATCAGAACCACGCTTGAGATGTTATACTACTAAGACAACAGGAACATTTGTCACATATCAAACAAGAGACAGGGTCTGCTAACTGCAGCGATGGCCAGAAGAGACAGCCTGCAAGTCTAGTTCATCCTTATGAAGAAAACAGGATCTGAAAAAAACTCACACCTCGAAATCATCTCTTCTGTGTGACGGGACAAGAGAAAAACCGAGGGCAAAATGCAAATTCACATGCAACTAGAAATCACAACTAAAAATCTGTAATGTATGATATGTGCTAGGCTTTACAATAAGAGTCTATGAGAAACAGCTTACTTCCTACCAGCCAGGACAAAATATTCGCACACTGTTATACAAACAAATCTTCCTAGCCATACGGTAGTTCCCTCTGATACAGCACTCTGGGCAGAGAGCAATAAACAAAATCCAGACAGGAAGTAGCCAGAAAGAATAAATGGCAGAGCTTTCTGGCAGTATCTTCCTGTAGAGAAACAAGAGACAGCTTTTTATTTTAATAAAATTATCTTAGAACCCAGGCCCTAAAATTACTTATTAATATGATTCCCCACAGAGGTGGGGAAGTTATAAATGAGGTTGTAGTGTTTTGGCTCCACTCCTAGAGTCAACATCATGAAGTGAACTCTATTTACTGGCCACTGACAACTCCAGAATCAAATTCCCATCCAGAATGAACAATTTTGACCTACCCCCTAGTGGGTGCCCTTTCTGAAGCCTTTTCTCATTTTAAGGCATATGGATTTGTGCTAACGGAAATTCCACGTAAAAATTTCAACCTACCAAAATGAGTGCATTCTTTCCACAGAAGAATGTTTGAAGAAACTACAGTTGCTTTTAAGTTAAGATTGACAGGTCAGGCATGGTGGCTCATGCCTGTAATCCCAGCACTTTGGAAGACCGAGGCGGGTGGATCACTTGAGGCCAGGAGTTCAAGACTAATCTGCCCAATATGGTGAAACCCTGTCTCTAATAAAAATATTAAAAATTAGCCAGGCATGGTGGAGCACACCTGTAATTCCAGTTACTTGGGAGGCTGAGACAGGAGAATCGCTTTAACCCAGGAGGCAGAGGTTGCAGTAAGCCGAGATCACGCCACTGCACTCCAGCCTGGGAAACACAGTGAGATTCTTTTAAAAAAACAAAAACAAAAACAAAAAACGTTAGCAATACATTCAAAATTTACTTTCCTAACATGGATATCTAAACAATACATTAAGCAAGATATCATATTGCATGATATGCTCTGGTGCTGTCTGTGAATAATAATGCCTCTTTAAAAGGTGTTGTGTCTTCCCTGCACTGGGCCCAGCTCTCCTGCCACAGCCCCTCACCCCCTGAAAATGTACACCTGCTCCAAGTTCGTCTCCACTCCCTCCTTGGTCAAGAGCGCCTCACAGCTGCTAAGCCATCTGCTACCTGCAGTGGTGCTGAAATGACCAGAGACACTGACAGGTGAGAACCTCAGCAGCTTGGTAGTCTCACGTCCCCTTACCTCACTTGTCCCTGGCCGCAGCTTGGAAAGCAGCGCCATTTCAAGGGACATCGACACAACAGCCAAGTTCATTGGGGCTGGGGCGCCACAGTTGGGGTGGCGGGCTCTGGGGCTGGGATTGCGACTGTGTTTGGGAGCCTCATCATTGATTATGCCAGGAACCCTTCTCTGAAACAACAGCTCTTCTCCTACACCATTCTAGGCTTTACCCTCTAGGAAACCATGGGGCTCTTTTGCCTGATGGTGGCCTTTCTCATCCTCTTCCCCATGTGAAGCAGCTGTCTCCACCTCCCATATTTCTTTCTCCCATGTCTTGTCAGCCCTGTATGTTTCTTTTCCTGCACCTCCCCAGATGGCCTGGGGAACATGGTTGGCTCAGGGTTTGATAGAGGAAAGACAAATACTGTATTAATAAGAAAAAGAAAAAAAAAGGTGTCAAGTTTGAATTTGCCTGAAAGCCACAGCAGTACAGGAACACTGAAGGGCAAATGTCACTATTCCGGTGTAGCAGAGGCTCCTAGCTGTCTCCCCAGGATCCATCTTCTCTCTCCTCTATAGTAACAGAAGCCTTAGCTAGGCACATGGCTGCCTCCCTAAAGATTACATTTCCCAGCCTGCCTTGTAGAAAATTAATTATGTGATTGATTCTGGCTAACGGAATAAGATGTTTTCAACTTCCAGGTCATGTTCTTAAAAGAAAGGAGGCCAGAAGCCCGGTACAGTGGTATGCATCTGTAGTCCCAGCTACACCTGAGGCTGAGGCAGGAGGATCACTCGAGCCTAGGAGCTTGAGACCAGCCTGGGCAACATAGTGAGATCATGTTTCTTATTTTAAAAAGAAAAGAAAAAGGAAAAGGAAAAGAAAGGAGCCTGCCCTCCTCTTTCCTACTTCCTTTTCCCATAGTGATAGAAGATGGAGCAACTATCTTAGCTGAAAGATAGAAGCTATGTGGTAGAGATGGCATAGTAATAAAAGAAAACTTTATCCCCAACATCATGGAGTCATCTTCTCAGTCTTGGTTTGTTTATGCTCAGACCATTATAGATGAGAGTAAAATAAACTTCTGTGTTCTAATTTTGACCAAATAAGTATCCCGACTAATACCTCTCTTGAAGCACTTTGAATTCAACCGCTATCTTTTGTTTTGATAGCCATTCCTTACGCAGAAAGCATCCTGGATTTCTTGAAAGGAATTTCCCAGCATGTTTTCAGCAGGCACTGTCAGAGTTTGATGATAGCATCAACGTTTTTGAGTTTTTAGTATCATTTTTCACAATCCTTGAAGTCAGAGCTGCAACAAATAGTTCATAACATGGGGTGGATTTCCTCCCTTTCCCTCAGGGCATCCTCACAGAAGGAGAAAGTCTTCGGCTCTAGCACCCATCCAGTAAAGGGCTAGTCTTGTCTTCCCCATCTCTGTCTCTAGCCAGAGATGGCAGGATGCTCCTGGGCACTAGAATCCTTCACATCATTTATAATATGGGAACCTTTCTTTAACCTTTTCCAGACTCCTGAGGGTGATTAGAAAATAACATTTCCCAAGTTCAAGAAATCAAAACCCATGACTCTATATCCCTGACAAAATGGACAAAATACTTAGGTCAAAGTTACCAGGTCAGCTTTTATAGGCTCCTTAAAAATTATATGGTTTTCTTTTAAAAGACACTAAAAGTTCTCAATTTTTTAATGGTCATTGCCATTTACAAAATAAAAACGATAGTTGGCTCAATGACAAGGACAGTAAAAGAGTCAGCAGCATCTTGGGCACACTGAGAAAACCCAGTAAACCTCCCACAGAATTCCGTCCTCATAGAAATATTCTGTCCAACATCAACCCTGAATCCCACTCTAGCCAAAAATTCAAATAAGTGCAAAGACATCATGAGCCCATTCCACATGCCAGGTAGCTTTTTCTTATTTTAGACAGAGAAATGCTAACGTACTTCCTTAAGTAACAGCACTTTTTTTCTTTTTTTTTTTTTTTGGTGGGGAGGGGGTGGGGAGACAGAGTCTTCCTCTGTCAGCCAGGCTGAAGTGCAGTGGCATGATCTCAGCTCACTGCAACCTCTGCCTCCTGGGTTCAAGTGATTCTCCTGCCTCAGCCTCCCGAATAGCTGGGACTATAGGGGTGCGTCACAGCACCAGCTAATTTTTTGAATTTTTAGTAGAGACAGGGTTTCACCATGTTGGCCAGGCTGGTCTCGAACTCTTGACCTCAAGTGATCTGCCTGTCTCAGCCTCCCAAAGTGCTGGGATTACAGGTGTGAGCCACCATGCCCGGCCAGTAACAGCTTTTTAAAAATGAAGTTGTGGGCTACCTCTTTTTTTTCTTTACTGTCTCTGCCTTGTCTAATAAAAATGACAGAACATTTTGTTTCATGATTCTCTATCTCCTAAGTGTAGAGTTTCTCATATGCAGAGATCATTATAATTGAGACCATTTATGAACAAAGCATATTAAATGTTACCATGAAAATACTGCAAACCAATGGGTATCACTTTCCTTTAACACTTGAAAAAGCACATAATTCCATGATGTTAAAAAGAGAGACAAAAAGGAACGTTTTTAATAATATTTCAACCCTTTGGCTTTATTAGCAGTATGACATAAGAGTTCTAATCCGAAAAACCTATGTTTTCACAAATTGAAATCGAGTAGTAAAAGCCTTTTGTCACATCCTCCAAGGGCTAAAATGTAAAGCATATGACATAGCCCTATATAAAAATGACCTTCAGTAAAAATAATAAATCAAATGCTCACTCTCCAAGCAGAACGTCACAAACTGAATACCAGGTAAAAGGAAAGCTGTACATGAAGGCGTTGTGCTTTCGTGGGAAAATGATTGCTCATGCAAGCAGAACCTATTGGAGGAGAGGTAGCCGCCTGGCCAGGCTGGAACTCATAGTCTTTCAGGGGTTCAGCTGGAGGTGAAGACTATCTAAAGAATTCGCCACCAAGAACCATCATTTTCAGTCCTTTCTGATTAAGGACCAAAATAAAAGCTCAGTAGCTACTTCATTTTGATAATTTTTAGAAAGCCTCAAATAACAGCTAAGAACTTTCTATAAGGATGCCAGAGGAAAGGGGGAAAAATGGAAAATTACAGTTGAAATTACATCCTTAAGAGAGCCAGTTAAGCCACTAATATACAAACAGATCTCAAGTCTGCTGTCTGACCCAGAAAACCACAGATGAGGAATTCATTTTAGGACTAATTACACAAACATTAAATCACTCAATTTTTCACCCTTTATATTTAAAATTTTGGCATTTTCCTCCCTTTTTCTTTACACGAACTGAATGACAGTCCCTAACCAAAAGACTTGACCTTGGAAATGAGAAATCATCTAGTATGGGCATGCAAGAGTGTCACTAAACTCTGTATAACCTCAGGCAAGTCATTGCACCTTTCTATTCTGCCATTTCCCCACCAGCAAAAAACAAACCGCACTTCCTACTACCTGTTGCGATGAAAAATGAAATACTCTAAGTAAGTCAAGCACCTCAGAGGCTTTCAATGTGTTTTATGACATTCATAGAGTCAGTTTTGAGCATCTGAGAAATAATCTCTTCCATTTAATCTTCTATTCACAATATAGAAAAATGTCCTATACGGTCTGTTAAAAATAATAAAGGCAAAAAGCTTGACCGTCTCAGGTCATGGAGAATTACTTTCTCTGAAAAGCCCAGTCTTCTAGATTAATATCCAAAAGGACAGGGATTTTGTCTGTTTTGCTCTGTAACATATTCTCAGCACCTAGAACAATGCCACATCAAGGCATTCATTAAATATTAGATGAATGAATGAATAAAGGGAATAAAGGTTTAGCCTGAATAAACATGGAAATCTTTTTATTCTAGCTATTTTAGGTAGACATCTTAAAATGTATAGTAGCATTCTTCCTTACCATCTTGAGAAAATTATAAGGACATTTTGCAGATGACTAAGGGTCGCCATCATGCACATTCTGTATTTCAAGGATGCTCTCAGTGTCTTTTAAAATGCTAAAATCACTCCAGAATCTTTAATGTAATTTTTCAGCTCCTTTATGCATTTATCATTTTTCCCATCCTCCTCCACCTTTCTAATAGGTTGTCATTTCTCCCTATTGTGAACAATTGGCTGTTGCTAATTTATTGTGCACGTAAAAGCCAATTAGCCATGTGTCTAAAGTAAGAGTACCTGCCTCTGAGGGCCTAAGGCCTTCTCCTAAGAGGAAAAAATATGATCCTTAGACTTTGCCACATCTATGTTTGGCTCCATTTTTTAATGTTTCTTGATTCTCCACCACGTTCTAGATAGGTAAAAGGCCAGATAGCCAAGTTCCAAATAAGTGTACCCAATCAATTCATGCTGAAATGACATGCTGTGGTACTAAGAGGCACTTGCTCCATGAGACAGGGTATCTGAAAACAATGGCTCCAGATAATGCTGGTTATCTAAGTAAGCAGCTGTTTCAATGCTAGAGTAGGGTTGTCCAAGACAAAGCACCAGGAGTGGAGGGAAGACTGTCTCTCCGTGCTGACTGTCCAAGGGAAGAAGCCATTCCAGAGGAGCTGGGGTCGGGGTAAGACACCAAGGCAGGAACTGAGAAAGTCACCAGAATCAGGGTCAAGGTAGAAATCACAACTTGGGAACAAAGCCAAAGCCCAGTCTCCCAACAAGGGACACAAAGGCAAGGCCAGACCTGACTTGACACAGAGTTTCAGGGTCAGGCTGGAGCTCCTTAAATCCTTGGATCCAGAATGGGATCTCCAGGAAGGAGCCAAATGTCTTAGATTGTGGCAAGGCTGAGGAACTCAGCACAGGTTTTACAATAGAAAAAGAAGGGCACAGCATGGCCAACTACCTCCTTCACCATGGCCCAAGGGCATCACAATGGGAAGGATAAGGTGAGGGATACCCCAGAAGCTGTGGAGCTGATCTATGAAGCCCTTCTATGCCCAGCTTCAGCACATGTGCCATGAAAATCTATCAGTCTTGTTAATAGCAAAGGTAGAAAGAGTGGTTCAGGAAGATAAATCTGGAGAAAGAAGCATCTGAGATGCACTGGGGCACGGGAAATAGGAGGCAAAGAGATGACAAGTTATCCAAGAACAATGTGATGAAGGCTCTGACAATTTCCAACTTTGGGTAAGAAAAGAGAGAAACTATCATTTTTTGTGACTTTCTGTGAACCAAGCACAATGCTGGCATTCTTCACATTCGTTATCTCATTTATTCCTCACTTTAAGTCTGCAAGAGAAGTATACTGTTCCCATTTTATAGGTGAGGAAATTAAAATCCAGAGAGGAAAGGAATTGTAGTCACATGGCGTGGATGACAGAGATGCGATTCACTCTGGAATGATCTGATTCCAAAAGCTGATTCCACTTGCACCAGCCGATACCCAGGTGACTTTTTTAAAATGGAAGAATGCGGTGAATGGGATAAGGAGGGGGTCTGTATGTCTGCATGCATCTGCTTTTCATGGGCTTAAGGAATCAGCCTGGACTGAGACCTTCCTCATATGCCCTGCCTTCACTCCGCAGAACTGGGAATCCATCAGACTGGAGGCTTTCATCCCTAAGATGCCTCCCTAACACTGGGGAAATCATGTTTTAAAATGTTTTTTTAAATTGTAATGATCTAAAGCTACCTATCTAATCTGTGTGTTGATTGCTCAGCGTTCTTAAATCAGGATGTATCTCGTGGAACCTTAGATTACAGCTGGTTTGGGGAAAAATATGACTCAGATAAAATAAGAAATGCATACTCAAAAAAAGTCCAACATTTCCATGAAAAGCCATTAAGCTTTGGGGTGCTGGTAATGTGTTTTTGTTTTTGTTTTTGATCTGGTTGCTACTCATAGAGTGTATTCATGAAGATATATACTTATTAAATGTGCTCTCTTCCACATGTATAGTATGCTTCAAAAAAGTTTTTTAACTGCCAGAGCAGAGTAACATTTTATCCCTGCCCTGTTCCAGTGTAAACTGGCCTTTTATAAATAAGCAATAAAGCAGGGAAAGTTTGAATATGGAGATAGGAGCAGTAAGGCTCCTCTCTCCTAATGGAGATCCACTAAGAGAAGCACTCTACTCATAACCAGAAGGCTGTTGCCTTGGAAACGGGAGCTGTAACTACTGCAATCACACCTCAGGAGCAAAGATGGCCAAGATCTATTTCAATTCTTAGATATCTCGAGGAACCGCAGATGACTGTAACTATGGAAGATAGCCAATCTGTAGTAATGAAGAAGCGCATGCTGGAGTTAGAAAGGCTGCAATTGAGAAAGGAAAAGAGGGGGCAGGGGAAGAAGGAGAAGATAGAATTGAAGTATAACAAGGAAAGCCTAATCCAAGAACTGCAGAGCTGAGGGGCTCTTGGTGGCATTTCTTTAAGCCATGCCACCCTCTAGTTTATTGCCCACCTACTACCTGCCAAACCATGCTAGGTACTGGGAGGACAAAGCCAGGAAAATACACACTCAAAGTGGCCCATGGGAGGTATAAGTACCCTGGGACCAATTAACCTCAGTGTGCAAAATGGGTACAGGAGGCTTCGGAGAGACAGTGGCATTTTTAAGCTGGAACTCAAAGAACATGTAGGAATTTCCCAGGCAGAGAAGACTGAGGAGAGACATCTCAGACAAAGGGAGGTGCAAAGGGCAGAGGCATGAAACAGCATGTTCTGTTTTTCAGCAGGGTGGCTACCTGCAATTCTGGATAGGACACTTCCATGTCTGGTAGATTGTCCCACACACTGCAGGACATTTGCTGTCTCAGACCCCACCCACTCATTGCTGGCAGCAACTCCCAGTCATGACAACAGCTAAAGTAATGCCCCTCCCACATTTCCAAATGTCCTCAAGGATGGGGGGATGCTATTGTTCCCAGTTAAGAAGCCTGAGAACCTAGGGGAACAGATGTGTGGCTGGAGCAGGGATTGGGGGACAGGGGTGGGAGGTGAGGATGAGAGTGCAGGTAAAGATCAGAGTTAAGGCCTTGCACATGCCACTCGGGAGTCAGACTCTGTGCCAGATGTGGAGGAGAGAGAACAGACTCTAAAGCAATTATGGAGGAGGTCAAACTTATAAGACTTGGCAACTCATGAGATCTGAGGAGGTGGGGAAGAAGAAAGAATGAAAGAATAAAGAATAATCCCCACAGTTTCCAGCTTGAACAACTGAGTAAACATTCATGGCACCAAGCAAAGTGACAAATATAGGAGTAAGAGCAGCTTTGGACGGGGATGGAAAGGTAAGGTGGAAAATGAGTCTGAAGCCCTTCAGGGACATCCAGGTGGAATTTCTAAGAAGTAATAAACAGCAGACTAAACGCAGAGGAGAGACATCTGGGTCAAAGGTAAAAGAAACCTTAGCATTTAATTGTAGGCAGTGTCTGAGCCATTTCCCAAGGGCCTCCAGTCTCACTAGGAAAGTCAGGGAAAGGGAGAGCTGGAGACGAGGAAGCTGTAGCACTGGAGCTGGGCATAACAAACAGGAGCCAATATGGCAGAAAGTGGGTACCGGCAGGCAGGAATGGAGGGAGCGGAGCCAGCTGGCAAGGTGCAGATGAGCAGACCAAGGAAGAGTGGCTGAAAGCTCATGGTACCCCACACTGGTGTCCACAACCAGCCTTTCTGTGGATCTTGGCACACATCACTACAGTGGCTTTAGAAAATAATCTTCCATCTCAACCCAGGTCATACACATATATACACACACCAGGGCTGGCTCCATGAGCAAGCAGACCGTGCAGCTGCCCAGGGACCTGTGCTGGGAAGAGCCGCATTCTTGGTTAAATGCTCTGCTACTGCCATCTTGAAATTCTTAAAGATTTTTTAACAAGGAGTCTTGCATTTTCATGTTGCACTAGATCCCACAAATTGAGGCTGGTCTGGACACACAAAAACATAGCCTTAACAAAAGTTTCATGAAACCATATCTATCTGCTATGGTCTGAATGTTTGTGTGCACCCTCAAAATCCATATGTTAAAACCGAATTCCCAATAATATTAAGAGGTGAGGCCTTTAGGATGGGATTAGTGCCCTTATAAAACAGGCCTGAGGGAGCTTGTTCCTTCTACCATGTGAGGACTGTGCAAGAAGGCACCATCTACAATGCAGAGAGTGGGCCCTCAGCAGACACTGAATCTGCTGGTGCCATGATCTTGAACTTTCCAACTTACAGAACTGTGAGCAATAAATTTCTGTTGTTTATAAATTACCCAGTCTAAGCTATTGTGCTATAGAATCCTTAACAGACTGACATTATCTTACTAAATGTGATATAAAATTATATTCTCTGTTCTATTTTTTAATGTAGCCATAGCCCATTAAATTCACAATCCACTAATGCATTGCAAATCAGGTTTTTTTGTTGTTTGTTGGTTGCTTTGTTTTTGAGACAGGGTCTCGCTCTGTTGCCCAGGCTGGAGTGCAGCCTCAACCTCCTGGGCTCAAGTGATCCTTCTACCTCAACCTCCCTAGTAGCTGAGACTACAGGTGCATACCACCATTTTTTAAATTTTTTGTAGAGATGGAGTTTCACCATGTTGCCCAGGCTGGTCATGAACTCCTGGGCTCAAGCGATCTGCCTGCCTTGGCCTCCCAAAGTGCTGGGATTACAGGCATGAGCCAGCACGCCCAGCCCAAGGTTTTAAAACTGTCTTAGAGGGCTGCTATTGCCTGAATGTTTGTCCCCAACAAAATTCATATGTTGAAATTATATCGCCAAAGTGATAGTATTAGAAGTTGGAGCCTTTGGGAGGGAATTAGAGATTACGACCCTTATAAAAGAAACTGCAGAGAGCTGGCTAGCTCCTTCCATCATGTGAGATCGAGATCACAACAAGAAGTCTGCAGCCTGCAACTAGAAGAGCACCCTTATCAGAACCTTACTAGGCTGGCACCCCGATCTGGGAATTCCTAGCCTCCTGAACTGGGAGAAATAAATTTCTATTGTTTTATTTGTTTGTTTGGTATTTTGTTTTTGTTTTTGTTTTTTGAGATGGAGTCTCACTCTGTCACCCAGGCTGGAGTGCAGTGACACGATCTCAGCTCACTGCAACCTCCGCCTCCCGGGTTCAAGCAATTTCCTGCCTCAGCCTCCTAAGTAGCTGGGACTACAGGCACGTGCCACCACGCCCAGCTAATTTTTGTACTTTTAGTAGAGATAGGGTTTCACCATGTTGGTCAGGCTGGTCTTGAACTCCTGACCTTGTGATCCGCCCGCCTTGGCCTCCCAAAGTGCTGGGATTACAGGCGTGAGCCAATGCGCCTGGCCAATTTCTATCGTTTATAAGCCACCCAGTTGATATTTTGTTTTAGCAGCCCAAATGGACTAATACAATGGGGTAAGCCAAGACTAAAAAGTTTGTTTTGTTTTGTTTGGAGAGTGGAGCCCTTAAAGTGGAATTGCTGCCATTATGAAATAGACCCAGAGAGCTCCCTCACCCCTTCCATCATGTGAGGACGCAGCAGGAAGACAGACATCTATGAACCAGGAATTGGACCCTCACCAGACACCAAATCTGGTCAGCGCCTTGACAGCAGCCTCCAGAACTGTGAGAAATAAATTCCTGTTGTTTATGGGCCACCCAGTCCACGGTATTCTGTTGGAAGCACCAAAGCAGACTAAGACACCCTCCTCCCACACAAAAAATAAACTAACTTTAATTTGGGTTATAAATAACTATATATTAAGTTGACTTATAAATGATTAGTTGACATCAAGTTAGGTCTTATAGGTATTTGATTGATTAAATACACATTAACTTAGATTTTGCTATTTTCTTTCAGTATTCAAAGAAGCCAATACAAACTTTTTTTTCTAATTTCAGACATATTTTGGGGCCATTGAAAAGCTCAAAGGCCCGAGGCCCAAGGTTCCTAATTCCTCAGTATTCACCAGGCCTGCATCCTCTGGGACTGAAGGAAAGAAGTCGCAGAGTGAAAGAGACTGAAGAAAGATGAGGAGAAATTTGTCAGGACATTTAAGAAGCCATGGATTCTGATAGACAACAAGCTCCTACAAACTGGTCAGAAGAGGATAGTTAACCCGATTTTTTTAACATCAAATTAAATGAATAAGCAATTCAAAGAAAAGAAAGATGCAAAAGGTCAATGAGCATATTAAAAAGGTGTCTGGGAAATATCCATTTTCACATAGCAGATTGGCAAAAACAGTCATTCCCATTTGATGTGCTAAAAAGCCAAAATTATTCTAACACACAGTCGCCAAAATGCTTTGCCTTTGATTAAAGATAGCACTTCCCAGTGGGGGATCTAGAAATGGTTTGAACCCTTTTTCAATAGGCCACTGAGAGCCTAAGCTGAAGCTGCCCAGGAAAAAGAGAGGAAGAGGGCGCAGGGCCTAGGAGCCAGGCCAGCACCTGCGGCCTGGGCTTCCTGGAGTACATATCAGATTCCCGAGGCAGCTGCCAGCTGGCTGGTTCACCCACAAACACCAGTTGGCTGGAGCCTGGGAAGTGATACCTTGAAGGCCTAAGGCCCTAAATCAAATGTCCTTGTCTATGCTAGGAACAACCTATAAGGAAAATCTTATCACAAAACAAGCAGCTCTCAGGCATGTCAAGGATTTTAAAAATTAATTCCTTAAGCTGATCCAGTGATAAAAGCTGTGAATAAAAGGATTCAGATGTTTCCACCTCATCATGCTAATCTACCTGTAAGCTAGTCAACCAACCACAAAAAAAAAAAAAAAAAAAAATATATATATATATATATATATATATATATATATATATATATATATATGAATCAGACAGGCTTTTGAGCAGCTCAGTTGCCCCACTGCAGCATGGAGTATGTCACTTCACACCAACCAACCAAATGACTGAATGAATGAATGAGAACTGTCAAGTCCATGTGGACATCACTAAGGGGACCTGGCACTTAGAAGTCATGTTCCTGTTCTCACTGAGACACTAACTAGTTAGGTAATTAAATCAGGGAAGTTAGTGAAAATTCTCTCAGCCTCAGTTTCCTCATCTATAAAATGGGAATGATAACTATACCCACCTCTTAGGGTTGCTCTGAGGCACAGTGAGGGTCTCTATGAAAGCCTATGGCAGACTGAAATGACCTCTCTTCAGATAAAGGCTTGCCGCCCAGCTGTGCAGAGTGTGGTCAGCACATGGCCTCCAGCTGCCAGCTCCTTCAGGGTCTGCCCCTGCTGCAGAGAGCCACCTCACCTGAGATCACACCATTCCTGTGACAACCTGCCTGTAACTGAGAGGTAAGGATATAAAGGCCCACGATGGCCCAAAGCAGGACACGGTGACTGCACTCACTCACTCCAGGGCTTCCTGCCAGGTGTGCTGAGGCCTTTTCAACTTTTCCCTCGGCCCAGTCCTGCGTCCTTCCCTTCCTACATGTTGGTCCCTAACGAGCATCTCACACCCCAGATTCCATCTTAGCATCTTCTTCTAGAGAACCCAACCTGCACCAAAGCCCTTTTTCAGTTTTAAGTACTTTAGGGTTTCTTTAATGGGACAAAGAACAGAGGCCAATTCTGGTTTAGAAAAAAAATCACACTCAGTCTGGCATGGTGGCTTACACCTTGTAATCCTAGCACTTTGGGAGGCCAAGGTGTGAGGATTGCTTAAGGCCAGGAGTTCAGGATCAGCCTGGGCAATATAGAGAAACCCCATCTCTATGAAAAAAAAACAAAAACAAAAATTAGCCAGGTGTGGTGGCATGCACCTGTAGTCCCAGCTACTTGGGAGGCTGTGGTAGGAGGACTGCTTGAATCTGACATTTTGAATTTTGAGGCTACAGTGAGCTGTGATTGTACCATGACACTCCAGCCTGGGTGACAGACTGGGACTTTGTCTCTTTTCTCTTTTTTTTTTGGAGACAGACTCTCGCTCTGTCACCCAGGCTGGAGTGCAGTGGTAGTGGTGTAATCACAGCTCATTGCAGCCTCAACCTCGCGGGCTCAAGCAGTCCTCCCACCTCAGCCTCCTAAGTATCTGAGACTACAGGCACATGCCACTACACCCAACTAATATGTGGATTTTTTGTTGAGACAAGGTCTCACTATGTTGCCCAGGCTGGTCTTGAACTCCTGGGCTCAAGAGATCCTCCCACTTCAGCCTCCCAAAGTGCTGCGATTACAGGCATAAGCCACTGTGCCCAGGTGACCCAGTCTCTTCAAAAAAAAAAAAAAAAAAAAAATACAACACGCACTCATAAAATTTTAGAAGGGGGGATCCATGCCATTTACTTCAAGTATTCAAAGACTGGTAGTTCATTCATTTACTTATTTAACAAATATGTACAGAGCACCATGTTGGGGGGGTGGGCAACCTGCTGGGACCACAAGGGCTCTGTACTGATGATCATTTAGGGCTATTGCACTTTCTATGTCCACAGCAGTGGTTCTCAGCGGGGTAGCACTGCCCCTACAGGCTTTGGAACCGGGTTGGGGGCTTTTGGTCGTTACAATGATTACAGGGCTCTGCTGGCATATGGGGGGTGGGAGCAGGAACGCTACAGTCCTACAGTGCTCTAGAAAATTTCTTTTCATGGTGGATTGGCCCACATCCCACATGATTTTCATAAAAGAGGGGGAAAGAGTTTATATAATTATCTAAGTCTAGATCTTAACTATGCATTTCATAAAATATTGTTTAGTTTTAAATACACTAAATTCTCTAGGAATTTGATTACCCTATAAATTGAGGGAAGGATGTAATGTATTTTGTTCAGAACTTTACTAGCCGGGCGCAGTGGCTCACGCCTGTAATCCCAGCACTTTGGGAGGCCAAGGTGGGCAAATCACCTGAGGTCAGGAGTTCGAGACCAGCCTGGCCAACATGGTGAAACCCTGTCTCTAGTAAAAATAAAAAATTAGCCAGGCATGGTGGCACGCACCTGTAATCCCAGCTACTTGGGAGGCTGAAGCAGGAGAATCACTTGAACCTGGGAGGTAGAAGTTGCAGGGGGCTGAAATCATGCCACCGCACTCCAGCATGAGCAAAAAGAGCGAAACTTGGTCTCAAAAAAAAAAAAAAAAAAAGGAAAATTAAAAAAAGAACTTTGCTAAGAGTTTTTTACACCATCTCTAAAAATGATGACTCTTACAGAAATGACATTCATGATTAATGAGACATCTCTATAACACACCTGTATTGCTCTATATTTATAGTTGTCATATTCTTAGTGATAAACAAGAAAAGACTTTTTTGCCCTTATTTCTAGGGTTATATATAAGAGTACTAATATATAACTAAAACTATTCAGCTGAATATTTCTTAAATACAAACTGATTTATGAGCAAAAATGTAACTATTTCATTAGGTCTTCAATATAGCTGTCCCCATATTGAAATACATGCTACTTTATTATAAATTATTTTCATGTTGTTTCTCCTTTATATTATAATTAGAGTATTACATTGATTTATTTTTAAATATTGTGTGTGAGTTCTATTATCTGTGAGTTTCCATTTCAGGAAGAGGATGTTACAAAATATATAAAAGAGGATGCTGGGTTTGATAAGGTTGGAAACCACTGCCTTATAGAACTGATTCTAAAACTGGGGTCTGAGGCCCACCCACAGCACAAATACCTGTGGCATTCATAAAAAATCCAGGTGCCTAGGCTCCAGCCTGTCTCATAAGGATGCTCTCTGGGGCTAGAACCCAGGAATTTTTTTTTTTTTTTTTTTGAGATGGAGTCTCGCTCTGTTGCCCAGGCTGGAGTACAGCGGCGCAATCTCGGCTCACTGCAAGCTCTGCCTCCCACGTTCACGCCATTCTCCTGCCTCAGCCTCCCAAGTAGCTGGGACTACAGGTGCCTGCCACCAAGGCCAGCTAATTTTTTGTATTTTTAGTAGAGACGGGGTTTTACTGCATTAGCCAGGATGGTCTCAATCTCCTGACCTTGTGATTGGCCCACCTCGGCCTCCCAAAGGAATCTATTTTTCAAAGCTCCTCAAGTGATATTGATCCTCTTCTCGGTTTGGTACCCACAAGTATAGAGGACACGGAGTGCACCAAGCCCTTCCCTAGCCTAGAGGTGCTCAGAGTCTCAAAGGGAAGGTAAAATTTTAACCATCATGTCAGGCACATAACTGTTAAGTGCTAGAAAGAAATACCAGTGAAGTGCTATGGGAATTCAAGAAAGGAACAGCTGGGCTGGAGGAGGTGTCTTGCAAAGGGTGCATTCCAGTGAGGATCTGGAAGACAGGGAGTAAGAGCCTCATCTCTGGAGACCGTGACTGCAGAGGCCTTTACATACATTATCTCCATCCAAATTCAAAGCTACTGTCTGGGATAAATACCACTCCTATCCAGTCTTTCAGAATAATGAGGCCTAAAGAAGCAGAATAATTTCACTCAAGGTTTTAAACTTAGGCCCTGCAGTCCCAGATGATAGAGCTTAACCACGCAGCTAATACTCAAGCCTTGACCAGAGGGAAACAGGTAGGGGTGGTATGGAAGAGGTCCCAAGGAGTTTCAAGACATAGAATTTCTATCCAAAGCTTCACTTCCATCTTGCTATTAGCGCTGTCACCAGCATTCAGGAGGACAAGAGGAAATTATCATAATTAGAAGGGACTCTGAGCATGTATCATTCACATATGGCTGGAAAGACTCAAGGATGAGAATAGGCAGTTAGGAGTCACTGACGCTAATGAGCCACAAATCATAGAAAAGTAACTTAATTGAGACAACAGCAAAATGAGAGGAGGCTCAGAATTAGGAGCTCTCACACTGCTTCGACAGTTCTAGTAACAGCGTAAAGCAGTTTCTGCTTAATCAATTCCCACCTAATCAGAGAGCCATCTTAACGCAGCATCTCCCAAGGCAGCAAATTAGCTAATAGTGAGTGACTGCAGCAATCAGGACAGTATCAGTGGGGACGGGAGGGATGGAAATATGCTAGGAAGAAAGGCAATTGGCTGGTGCTAAGGGGTTAAGGGGTGTTTAACTGGCTGTTAAATTGCAAAGTGCTAAGCTTCTGTGTTCTAATGCAGAAAGAGTTAACAATGAATAGAAATAAAGATGAAATCCATCTTTTTTTCTGTTTTTTTTATTCTGCATCCTAAATGTGCATCCAGGTAGTTACAAAACTTACTTTTTGTTTGTTTTGTTTTGACAGAGTCTTGCTCTGTCGCCCAGGCTGGAGTGCAGTGGTGTGATCTCGGCTCACTGCAACCTCCACCTCCCGGGTTCAAGCAATTCTCCTGCCTCAGCCTCCCGAGTAGCTGGGACTACAGGCACGCACCACCACGCCCGGTTAATTTTTGTATTTTTAGTAGAGACGGGGTTTCACCATGCTGGTCTCAAACTGCTGGCCTCAACCTCAGCCTCCCAAAGTTCTGGGATTTCAGGCATGGGCCACTGCGCCCATCCACAAAACTCACTTTTATCCCTACAAAGGTAAAGATGGAGGCTCTTTACACCCATGTTACAGGCCACAAGGTCTTATTGGACAGTAAGACCAAAAGACCTCCCTACCCACTTTCTCTTCCCCACCACCCCTTTCCTTTCTCTCATTGCGACACGTAGGTCGCCAGCAAGCAAGTGCCTCAAATCTCTGAGGCAGAGACTTTTCGCTTTGGAAACATTTGGAGCAGAAACAGGCGGTGTGGTCTGGAGCAAACATGCAAGAGAAGAAAATACCAAGAAGTCAGAGAAGAATCCCTCCACGTGGAATTCTCATTTGCATTTTGTGCAGTCAGCAGTTCTCCAGTTTTTCCACATCCTTTCAAAGGTTGGGCTCTCATGTGTTGTGAGAAGGTCAGACTAAGCGGGTTTTTCTTATGGTTTCAGGCTGGATAATATTTCATAACCACATGATTGCAGGGCTAAGCTTAGCAGTGCTGTATTTAAGAGTGGATCGCATATCCATCATTCAGTCCACATTTCAAAGACTGATAAAATATTGCCCCTGAAGATTTAAGAGATGCTGGTGATAGAACATTTCCCTCTCCTAACTAATAAAACTGTGAGGGTCAGTTCCTAATACAATACCAGGGAGCCTACCTGTATACAATAAAACGTCATTTGTCCTTGGAAGATGGCCTGAGAAACAGCATCACGCAGTCCAGGCAGTAAACAAGCCATTGAGTCTCTATATACATCATGGTTAGATTATTCATCCTAAAACACCACTTGGCACACATCACAACCTCTGATCAAAAGTCGTCATGGCTCCCCACGGTCACAAGATAAACCCCAAACTCCTTAGCGGGTTTTCACAAACTGGAACTCCACAAACTGGCACTGTCCATTCTCTCCCATCCAATCTCCCACTGTTGCCCATACACACCCTCTGCTCCAGCCAAGCTGCTCGCTTCACTGTTCCTGGAAGCCCTTTGCAAGGCTTCCTTTTTCTCTCTTCCCTTGCTGACCTCTGCTCCCAAATGCACCCTTCCTCCTTCTTCCTAGTTTGTCCTACTACGAGACATTTAAAAACCAACTCAAATCCCATGTCCTCCATAAAGCCACCTTTCAGAAAGCTTCCTGCCTGGATGTGCTCACTCTCCTGCACTCCAATGAGAGCCATCAGCTGGCACCCTAAACACAGACCGCCCTGCATTGGGATTGATTTATTTCCATGCTTCCCACCCCACCCAGTTGGACCATAAAGTTCCTGGGTACAGTGTCTTGTCCTGGCTTCCCAGAATCTCACCTCTTCGCCTCACAGCAGATGCTCTGCAAAGCTTTGTTGTCATCATTTTTGAGCCACCACTACTATAAGAATTTCGTCCTCCCTAGTATTAATGGTTTATGAGACACTTCTGCCTTTAAACCACCTTATCTCTCTCTTTCTGTCCAATCTCTCTTTGAGCTCGGCGTGTGACAGGACTGCCAGTTCATTCTGTCCCTACTGCTGTCACATACACCTAAGAGTGTTTAACAGAAAAATCCTAAGAGGTGATTGCAAGGTCGGAAAATCACCTTAAGCCCCCCGGGGCCATGTGCAGTCTACAGACAGGAAATAGGCAACAGGAGAATGAAATTAGCATAAAGAAAAAAGGGGCTATGGCTCCTCTCCACCCAAGTCAGCAACACCTACCAGAAACAACAAAGAAAGCATCTGGATAAAGCATTGGCAAGCATTGCTGAGGTCGGGAAACTGCTCGTAACAAAAGCACAAAGGGTTTGCAAAAGGCAGCTCCCCTTCCCTTCCCAAATTACCAAAAGCTCAACAAGAAAACGAGCAGAGTTTTTGCTCTAAAAACATCTGTTTTCAGTTACCTGTGCCTGAACCACAAACTTAACAGAGAAACACAGAGATCCCAAGCTGACTCCGTGGTCTAAGATCTGTCAGGACAAATTATGTGGAGATGGAGGAGCCAAGTGTGGGATGCTTGAGCAACCGCTGTACAATAGCCACGGTCTTGATAAGCCTCGCGGATGAGATTTTGGCGGACTAGGGATTGTACTACTGAACTTGATTGCTGAAAATGTAAAAGCCCATCAAAGAGTATTATTACCCCTTGATAAACCAGCTACCCACAGTGGTCAATTACTAATGAACAGACCTCTTTCACCAATTAAAGTCACATGTTACCACTCAATTCCCAACATATTTAGTCTTTTTCTCCCAGTAGTCCATCTCACTACTGTCTAGCTAAACCTCTCCAACTAAGATGTTGTTTGTCTTTACTTAAAAAACAGTCTTTCTGGAGTCTGGTCAGTGGGGCCCAAAAAAGAAAATAAAATAAAAATAATTTTTAAAATAAACAGTCTTTCACTAGAATGTTCTTTATATTAAAATCTTAAGCTCTGCTTTTTTTTTTTGAGATATGTCTTGCTCTGTTAACCTGCCAGAGTCCTGACTGACCTTCATTTGTTCATTCTCCTTGTGCAGTTCTTCAATGTTCTTTGCAAATGGATTTCACTAAAGTGAGTTCTGTCTATTAATGTCAGTAGGTATAAATGCCTGTCCATCTTTGGAGGGACTTTGGGAGATGATCTTATACCAAATGAACATGTTACATGCCTGTTGATAGGAGGCCTGATGCTTTATTTTCTCTAGAAAAAATAGATATTTCAATATTGTAAATTCCATTAAGGCATCCTGCTCCCCACCTCCTGATCCTCCATCCCCCACCCCCCATCACCAACAAGCTTTAGTTTCCCTAACCTCTCAATCTGGCAAAGAAACAACATCCCAGACCTTTTTGGTAGGTAGTTGTCCAACTCTCTGTCCATTTTCTTCTTGGCAAAATGGGAGTAACTTAGCTTAAACTGAAAAAACATCGTCAGTCCTTGTATAAGGCATAAGTCCCTGAGTAATTTACATCATATCTCCTTTTTGGGCCTGGTAATTTACAAAATCAGCAACAGGGAGTAAAGTACCTCTTTTGATGAATCTATCAGCAGATGTGTTTGGAAAATGAGGAAATGATGTTGCTAACTTGCCAACTGTATTTTGGCAGATAATGTAATAAGGTGACGTTTACTGCATTTCCTCTATTAAAGGAATACAGGCAAATTTTTTCCTTGGAATTAAAAATCTATATATTACCCTAAAATCCTCCCAGAAATTTAAAACTGCTCCTTTCTTGCTTATAACTTTCCCTCATTTTCTTCCCAGCAGTGGAAGAGAAGTTTAAATCTTGTTTAAATCCACAGTGAACTTTTTATATTGTGAGGCTGGTTGGTAGGTGTTAATGTAAAATTAGTGTTCTGTCTGAAGCCACGTAAGATGATTCTGGTATAAATATGGTAACTGCAGGACAGCCGTGGTGGCTCACACCTGTAATCCCAGCACTTTGGGAGGCCGAGGCGGGCAGATCACGAGGTCAGGAGATAGAGACCATCCTGGCTAACAAGGTGAAACCCCGTCTCTACTAAAAATACAGAAAATTAACCAGGCATGGTGGTGGGCACCTGTAGTCCCAGCTACTCGGGAGGCTGAGGCAAGAGAATGGCGTGAACCTGGGAGGCAGAGCCTGCAGTGAGCGGAGATCATGCCACTACACTCCAGCCTGGGTGACACAGCAAGACTCTGTCTCAAAAAAATATATATATATAGTAACTACAGTGTCTACTGTGTTTTGCCATTATGTTTTCTTTTTTTTTTTCTTGGAGTCTTTGGAGAAAGATTAAAAGGCTTGGTGGCGTATGTATGTCTTGAATGCCAGACTGAGAAGTTTATAGTAACAGGCTGGTCTGAGAGGCGGTGTGTGTTTAAGTGTTTGAAGATGAGCCTGGCATTTGGATATAAGGTACTTTAGAGAGCTCCAGTTGGGGCTGTTGGAATGGTTTTGATGTGGTGTGATGAGGACTTAGGAGTCTATGGCAGATCTGAGGGCCACCCTGGGATGTTGAGAGGTGAAACAGAGAAGATGCTTGAAGTTGGGGATTTTATTTTATTTTTTTGAGACAGGGTCTTTCCATACTACAGTGTTCTTTATACTAAAAACTTTAATCCCTCCAGGCCGGGTGTGGTGGCTCACACTTGTAATCCCAGAACTTTGGGAGGCCAAGACGAGCAGATCACCTGAGGCCAGGAGTTCGGGACCAGCCTGGCCAACATGGCGAAACCCCATCTCTACTAAAAATACAAAAATTGGCCAGCATAATGACATGTGCCTGTAATCCCGGGTACTCAGGAGGCTGAGGCAGGAGGATCATTTGAATCCGGGAGGTGTCCTCTCTACCTTAGTAGGCACAGAGTACACTGTTATGAATTTAAAATATACCAGCCTGTGGATTATTACTTGGCCAGTGAACTAATGGTATTCTATATCTGTTCAGAAACTTGTATTTTAAATTCCTTTAGAAGAGTCTCTGGAAGAGTTTTTAAGAGAAGAGAACATCATAGGAATGCTTTTATAGATATGTATGTTTGTATAAGCTTCTAAGCCTCACTTAGATTCTCACTGACCCACAGGATAGGTTAGTTTCTCTCACCAGGATGTGGAGGCTGGAGAGAGAAGTTGATGTCTCTGAGTTTGGTTACCCTTGTCCAGCACAAGACAAGTGACACCATACTGTACTGGTTATATTTTATTATAGCAAAACCTATTAAATTTTTTAAAGCCCATTATGATAAAATCCCCTAGGGACAAACAAAATGGAATGTAATTCATTTTTCAACCAATAAATATTTATTGAGTTCTATTAACCTTCATGCCAGTCTCTCGGCAGAGCCCCTGGATACATCTTTTAATACCTGCTCTACTGAAATCTCAGTATGAATCTCCATATAAAGCAATTTCCATATAAAGCAATTCCATAAGTTTCTATATAAAGCAATTCAAGTAAAAAATAGTGAAACAAATGCCAGCATGTCTCTTTAATTATGGTAAATATTTAATGTTTCCTTATAAAATAATTACAGCCTTAATAGAAACAAAACTGTTGAAAGTGTACCTGGATGACAATAATGGTTAAATATACACTTCAATAATTTAAAGTGATGAGTTGTTTTTTTTTCACAAAAGTTTAAGGTGGTAATGAAATCATTGGAATCCCTTTTACCAAAGTGAATTTTAAAAATTACATTTTCCCTCTTGCAATCATGTTTGTAGCATAAAGAAGCAATAAATGGGGGCAGGGAGTAAAGCTTGGGAACTATTCTATGTTAGGCTTGAGTAGTCTAGCGCAATGTCTGATAAAGGAGGGGTTTGAATTTTGGTATGGAAGGCTTTCTAACACTGCATTATTTTAAAGAATAGCTCAGTGATATCAGTATTCAGTTACTTAACTAGGCACGAGGTACCAGATACAGAGAGATTGTGTAGAAGAATGAACACTGTTAACTACTGTCTCCTCTCCCCGTTTGCTGGATCTATCTATGAATAGGGTGCTGACCTCTAATTTACTGAAATAAAAGGAACATTGTTCCTGGAAATATTTATGAGGCATATTGCATCTTCTCCACGTTATGGATAAGATGGAAAGACATCTATACCTATTGACATTAATAGACAGAACTCACTTTAGTGAAATCCACTTGCAAAGAACATTGAAGAACTGCACAAGGAGATGAAGAAATGAGGGTCACTCCCGCCTCTGGCAGGCTAACAGGATTTCTCTGGGTATTCGCTGCATTCCCTATCATCCCTCAGGACATTCATGTTCTATGACCAGGTCCAAGTTGCCTCACCATGAAAATCAAACAATGGAGGCCTTTTCCCAATTCTTAGAAGGAAAAAAACTACTTAAATGTGACATATACTCTTTTTCCCATTAATTTCTCCAAACCCTAGCACATACCACCACATGGTCAAACAAGAACTCACGGCAACAGAGAGTCAAACACACACACACACACACACACACACACACACACACACATAATTTGTGTGTTTAAACAAAATTCTAGAAATATGACTCATTAAAATTTTTACATTATTAGAGCCAGGCGTGGTGGCTCATGCCTATAATCCCAAAACTCTGGAAGGCCTAGGTGGGTGGATCACTTGAGGCCAGGAGTTCGAGACCAGCCTGGCCAACATGGTGAAACCCCGTCTCTACTAAAAATACAAAAATTAGCCAGGTGTGGTGGTGTGCACCTGTAATCCTAGCTACTGGGGAGGCTGAGGCACAAGAATTGCCTTAACCCGGGAGGCAGAGGTTACAGTGGGCCGAGATTACACCACTGTACCCCAGCCTGGGCAACAGAGCAAGACTCCATCTCAAAAAAAAAAAAATTAAATTTTTTTTTACATTATTCAATGTTAAGATACGAAGAGCTTCACTACTTACAATAGAAATATATCTTCTGCTTGTTAAGATAATAGAAAGAGTGATAGCCCTCTCTCAGATGGCAGAAACAGTCATAGCCCAATTTTGTGGCACTCTAGAAGGCTCCCTAAAAGATGTTCCCTTTGAGCAAGTTTAAGTATCACCCACTAGTCTCTACTTGAATCCCTCAGCCCACCCACATCACATTCTGCAGGAAGTGATGAAAAGTCAGGGAGTTTAGGTTATGTAAGGCCTGTGGACCCATTGAGCCAAACTGCAAAATGTGCATCAGTGAGCTCCACAACCTCCCCAGCCCCAACCCACTGCAGGAAAGTGTCTGGGGATGGGGCAGCCAAGAGTTAGTCACTGGAACATGTCTGATGCTATAAAATGCTACCTGTGATACCCAGATCCCAGGTTCTTTTCTTCTGGGTTCTGATCAAAACACAGTAGCCTGCCTGCGATGGAGCAACTAGAGGAAACAGGTTCCAGGTGTGGGAAGCCATGGGTTAAAAGGCAACTTGCCAAACTATGGGAAATATTCTAGTTGACGCTGAAGCCTTAATGCTTGACTCTAATGGAGGAGTCACTCCATTTTCTCATAAAAATGCTAAGTAGATTTCTGCTTTCTCAAGAAGCTAAATCCTTTTGTGGCTTTATGACTTACTCCTACAACCAAGAGCTTCTTAAGCTATTAACAGCCAAGTGTCACAGCCTTAAAGATTTGCACCGTTTGCTCATCTCAGGCATGCCCCCAGTCACAAATTCCTGCAAAATAAACCTTGGTTGGACAGATTGCAGAAAAACAAAAAGGAAAGAAAACATAAAACCTCATTATGGTTGACAAAGAACCTGTACAAAGCTTAAAGAGATCAATAAAATGATATAGGGTCAGATTCTGAAAAAAAAGAACAGATTTCACTATATGGTCACCTCTGGGAACCCTCTGACAAAATCAGAATCAGGCCTTCCAGTTTGATTGCTAAGTGCCCAGTGGCAGTAATTCAACCATTCCATCTCTCACACAAAATGCCTGAGCCCCAGAGCTAACTCTGGGTGAGTCTGACAATGGTACCACCCAATTTATAAAGTAAAGAGACAAGCTGGCCAATTTGGCACAAGGAAGAAAGCCTTTCCATTTGACCATTGCAGCTGGTGGGCCAGTGTAGTCATTTGCTGCTCTATAAGGGTCCCCCATGACACTATTAAGGCATATTACCCTTTCCAAACATCTTTTGCTTCAAAAGATTCCAGTCCCACTCTGCAATAAAACTGAGCATATTTCTATTTAAATTAACTGTCTCAATTTGAAAGCAATTTGGTTTTATTTAATTCAAAGATTTCCCTAAATGCTATCAAAATAGCAACCAAAATTGGCTTTCAAATTCTTTAAAGAGTATCTAAGGACAGAAAGAATTTTTTACCTACTTCTTCTACTTTTTTTTTTCTTTTTTTTTTAAGAGACAGGGCTTTGCCCTGTCACCCAGGCTGAAGTGCAGTAGCAAGATCATATCTCACTGCAGCCTCAATCTCCTGGGCCCAATTGATCCTCCTGTCTCAGCCTCCCCAGTAGCTAGGACTACAAGGACGCCACAATGTCTGGCTAATTTTTTTTTTAATTTTTTGTAGAGATGGGGGTCTCGCTATGTTGTCCAGGCTGGTCCTGAACTCATGACCTCAAGTGATCCTCTCACCTGGGCCTCCCAAATACCTTTTTAAATGCTTCTCTTTACTTCTCCCAGGAATATTAACTTAATTTTTAATGTAATTTTTTTTTGCTTATGAAACTGTACGAATTGGTTTCTATTCAAACTGTCGAAAAATATGTACCTTTGGTAAGCATGAAAAAAGGCCACAGAATGAAAAATCTCTAAGATCCCTTACAGTTTCAAAATTCCTTTATCCTGCTAGATCCCTTTTTAAAAGAATTTATCCAACGGTATAACATTCTGGAAAAGATAAAACTACGGAGATAGAAAAAGGATCAGTGGTTGCCAGGGGTTAGGGGGTAAGCAGGCATGAGCAGGCAGAGCATGCAGGATTTTCAGGGCAGTGAAACTACTCCGTATGGCCCTATAATGGTGGATACATGTCATTATACATTTGTCAAAACCCACAGAACGTACAACACCAAGAGTGAACCCTGTCAACTATGGACTTTGGGTGATGATGTGTCAATGCAGGTTCATCGATGGTAACAAATGTACCACTCTAGTGGGGATGGTGACAGTGGGAGAGGCTGGTTGTGGGGACAGGGGTATATGGAACTCTCTGTACTTTCTGCTCAATTTTGCTGTGAACATAAAATTGCCCTAAAAATTAAAGTCTATTTTTTAAAAAAGTATACCTTCTAGATGTTCTAAATAATATCATGTATCCTCCAACTGATTAAAAAAAATGGGTAAAAGTATGAAGGAAGAGATTAATTCTCCTGCAGCCAGAAAAGAAAAGTGTAAGAAAAAGCTGCTGCACTGTAGGAGCTGCCTTGTGACGTCACAGAATACTTGGCAGAGAGGACGTGTGTTTCTGTTTGTTCTAGAGATGAGCAAGAGAGGAACAAGCAACACTAGTCATCAGACTAGTATTCTCTCCAAAGAACCGTTTTTAATGCTGTTGAACACTACACAGAAAAGCCAAACAAATCCATTCAACACACAGACAACCACACATCATTGTGAAGTTTATATCTAGATCTTTTACCCTGTTTTTTGTAAAGTAACTGCTGAGATATAATACCTATTTTCTATTTAGGAGATCTGGGGACTTCTTAGCTAATTCAGGAATTAGCAAACCAAAGTAGACACGCGCTGGGTACGGTAGCTCACGCCTGTAATCCTAGCACTTTGGGAGGCCGAGGCGGGCATATCACTTGAGGTCAGGAGTTCAAGACCAGCCTGGCCAACATGGTGAAACCCTGTCCCTCCTAAAAATACAAAAATTAGCCCGGTGTGGTGGCACACACCTGTAGTCCCAGCCACTTGGGAGGCTGAGGCCAGAGAACCACTTGAACCCGGGAGGCAGAGGTTGCAGTGGGCCGAGATCACATCATTGCACTCCAGCCTGGGTGACAGAGTGAGACTCAGTCTCAAAAAAAAAAAAAAAAAGAAAAAGAAAGAAAAGAAAAAAAGATATCTGATGTACTCCCTCAAGACCAAAAATTTAGGGTTTGCCCAAAAATCAGTTATAAAAGGAGGATCTGGGTCTTTAGATATGAGAAATTAGCTTTCAAATACCATGATATTCTAAGCAAATGTTCAAATCCAATGAGAAACACTGTTACTTACATCCAGCTATTCAACCAGTTGCACAGAGTGGAATATAAGGAAAAGCACATAGAAACTTCATTCACTACATCTGAGAGGAAACTTCATGGGCGGTATATAAAGTTTCACAGATGCTGGTGAGGATGCAGAGAAAAGGAAACTCTTATATGCTGTTGTTGGGAATGTATACAACCTCCATACAACCACTATGGAGAACAGCATGGCAATCTCTCAAAGAAAAAAACACATATAAATAACTTCTATATGACCTAGCAATCCCACTGTTGGGCATCAGTCCAAAGGAAAAGAAACCACTATGTAAAAGGGATAGCTGCACATGCAAGTTTATCACAGCACTATTCACAAGAGCAAAGTTATGGAATCTAAGTGTCCATCAACAGATGAATGGATAAAGAAAATGTGATATATATATATACACATACACACGTGATATATATATATACACATATACACACACATATACACATACACACACACACACCATGGAATACTATTCAGCCGTAAAAAACAATGAAATCATGTCACTTGCAGCAACATGGATAAAACTGGAGGTCATAATGTTAAGTAAAATAAGCCAGGCACAGAAAGACAAATACCATATGTTCTCATTCACATATGGGAGCTAAAAAACTTGAAATCATGGACCCAGAGGATAGAATAACAGATACCAGAGGCTGAGAAGGATAAGTGGGTGGGAGGAGGATATGAAGAGAGGTTGGTTAATGGGTACTAACATACAGTTTAGGTAGAAGAAATAAATTGTAAGTCTGGTAGCAGACTAGGGTAATTATACCTAGCAACAATATTTTGTATATTTCAAAGTAACTAGAAGAGAGGCTCTAAGTGATACCAACGTATAGAAATGATAAATACTCAAAGTGATGAATACCCCCAAATACACTGGTTTGGTCATTACACATCCTATGTATGTCTCACTCATATAGACTCCATAAATATGTAAAATATTATGTATCAGTAAAGAAAAAATACCAAAAAACTCACAAACATTACTACATAAATATTAGTATAGCTAAAATTTAAAAGACTGCTAATTCCAAGTGTTGACAAGGATGTGGAGAAACTAACCCATATGTATTGTTGGGGGAGTGTGAAATGGTACGACCACTTTGAAAAACAGTTTGTCAGTTTCTTATAAACATGCACTTATCAGGTATTATACAAGAGAAATTTCTTTATGTTTAAAGAAAAGACTTGCACATAATTATTCATAATAGATAAATGTGGGTACAACCCAAATTTCCATCAACAGATGAATGGATGAAAAATTATGGTATAGCCAGACATTGGAACACTATTTAGCAATAAGAAAGATTTTATCTCCTTATACACAAAACATGAACGAATCTCAAAATCCTTATGCTGAGCAAAAGAAGCCAGAAACTAAAGAGGACAAACTGTATGATTCCATTTGTGTGAAATTCATCTGTAGTAACAGACAGCAGATCAGTATTTGCCTAGGATGTAAAGTAGGGAAGACAAAGAAGCAGAATAGAACTCTTTGGGGGTGATAGAATCATTCCATATCTTGATTATGGGGGTGATTACACAGGTAACTTTTGTCAAAACACATCTACATGTCATTAAAGTGGATGCATGCCATTTCATGTAAACTATCCACAATATGGTCAATTTTTCTCTTTTTTTTTTTTTTGAGACGGAGTCTCTATCACCCAGGCTGAGTGCAGTGGCGTGATCTCGGCTCACTGCAACCTCCTGGGTTCAAGCAATTCTCCTAACCTCAGCCTCCCAAGTAGCTGAGATTACAGGTGCCCGCCACCACGCCTGGCTAATATTTGTATTTTAG
The DNA here is from genome assembly GCF_000001405.40 of Homo sapiens. Classification (NCBI taxonomy): domain Eukaryota; kingdom Metazoa; phylum Chordata; class Mammalia; order Primates; family Hominidae; genus Homo; species Homo sapiens. The sequence goes on from NC_000002.12 coordinate 197,290,042, forward strand.
GAGAGACGGGGTTTCACTATGTTGGCCAGGCTGGTCTCGAACTCCTGACTTCAAGTGATCTGCCCGCCTCAGCCTCCCAATAGTCTATTTTTCAAAAAGAAAAAATAAAATGAATAGGTGGGGCACTGTGGCTCATGCCTATAATCCCAGGTTGTACTAATTTACATTCCCACCAACAGTGTAAAAGTGTTTCCTTTTCACCACATCCACACCAACATCTATTGTGTTGCAACTTTTTAATTACGGCTATTCTTGCAGGAGTAAGGTGGTATCTCATTGTGGTTTTAATTTGCATTTCCCTGATGGTTAGTGATGTTGAGCATTTTTTCATATGTTTGTGGGCTGTTTGTATATCTTCTTTTGAGAAATGTCTATTCACTTCTTGATGGGATTATTTTTTTTTATTGCTGATTCACTTGAGTTTCCTGGTGTCAAAGAAAAGACCAGTTGAAAACCAGGAGATTCGAAGTCAGAACTTTTAACTCCCTCTGTATCATCCCAGCAATAAGCCATGTTCTTCACAAATACACAAACTCATTTTAAAAAGAAAGAGCCTCATCAACAGATCAAGAAATTCATTCCAAATAAGCATGCTTTACTTTGCATGTATTATTACTAATTTATCAAATTTTATATTTGTTTTGATACATTGTTAATAATCATTGGAAACTCAATCCAGAAATTTATTTAACTCTTAGCATCTCAGGATCACATTTCTATTACAAAGCATTGTAAGATAATCAGTTTTTTTGTTTGTTTGTTTTTTGTTTTTTGTTTTTGTTTTTGTTTTTGAGATGGAGTCTCAGTCCAGCCCAGGCTGGAGTGCAGTGGTGAGATCTCAGCTCACTGCAACCTCTGCAGTTTTTTTTTAATGTAGTACATTTGTGCCAGGCACAGCAGCTCGCACCTGTAATCCCAACACTTTGGGAGGCCAAGGAGGGAGGATCCCTTGAGGCCAGGAGTTTCAGACTAGCGTGGGCAACATAGGGAGACCCTGTCTGTACAAAAAAAACAAAGATTTGCCAGGCATGCTGGTGTGTACCTGTAACCCTAGCTACTTAGGAGGCTGATGTGACAGGATCACTTGAGCCCAGGAGTTCCAGGCTGCTGTAAGCTATAATCACACCACTGCACTCTAGGCTGGGTAACAGAGTGAGACCCTGTCCCTAAAAAATAAATAAGATGTGGCCAGGCGCGGTGGCTCATGCCTGTAATCCGAGCACTTTGGGAGGCCAAGGCAGGTGGATCACCTGAGGTCAGCAGTTCAAGACCAGCCTGGCCAACATGGTGAAATCCCGTCTCTGTTAAAAACACAAAAATTAGCTGGGCATGGTGGTGGGCCCCTGTAATTCCAGCTACTTGGGAGGCTGAGGCAGGAGGATCACTTGAACCCAGGAGGCGGAGGCTGCAGTGAGCTGGGATCATGCCATTGCACTCCAGCCTGGGCAACAGAGCAAGACTCCATCTCAAAAAAATAAATAATGTATAATATTTGGATAAAAGTGCGGTAATTTACAGGCATGAGCCACCACACCCAGCCAAATTCTGCATGAGAAAGTGGAATAGAAGTATAAGCTCAAGGAGAAAAAGGAACAATGTAAAATTTCCAACTATCGAATAATGCTTGCTCATGTATTTTTTTTAAATTATACTTTAAGTTCTAGGGTACATGTGCACAATGTGCAGGTTTGATACATATGTATACATGTGCCATGTTGGCTTGCTGCACCCATTAACTCGTCATTTACATTAGGTATTTCTCCAAATGCTATCCCTCCCCCATCCCACCACCCCACGACAGGCCCCAGTGTGTGATGTTCCCTGCTCTGTGTCCAAGTGATCTCATTGTTCAATTCCCACCTATGAGTGAGAACATGCAGTGTTTGCTCTTCTGTCCCTGTGATAGTTTGCTGAGGATGATGGTTTCCACCTCCATCCATGTCCCTGCAAAGGACATGAACTCATCCCTTTTTTATGGCTGCATAGTATTCTACTGTGTATATGTGCCACATTTTCTTAATCCAGTCTATCAGTGATGGACATTTGAATTGGTTCCAAGTCTTTGCTATTGTGAATAGTGCCACAATAAACATATGTGTGCATGTGTCTTTATAGTAGAATGATTCATAATCCTTTGGATATATACCCAGTAATGGGATTGCTGGGTCAAATAGTATTTCTAGTTCTAGATTCTTGAGAGATCGCCACACTGTCTTCCACAATGGTTGAACTAACTTACACTCCCACCAACAGTGTAAAAGCATTCCTATTTATCCACATCCTCTCCAGCACCTGCGGTTTCCTGACTTTTTAATGATCGCCATTCTAACTGGCATGAGATGGTGTCTCATTGTGGTTTTGATTTGCATTTATCTGATGACCAGTGATGATGTTGCTCATGTATTTTTTAAGTGAAGGTGGGACACTCAAATCACAATAGTGTTTAAATTCCATTCAACACATTTTAAACAGTGATATAATGTTTCCATTTTAAAAGTCAACATTTGTATTATGCCAGGAATTACATCCTTTGTATCTTTCCAACTTTGTGATGAAAAACTTTAGATGTCAACCCCCCAAAAAATGTGCAAGGGAATACATAGCGTATAAAAATCTTTTGGTGGTAGGGGTTGGGGATAAAAAATGTTGCCATGAGCTACTTGTAAGCATCAGTAGATGGCCCAGCATGGCCATCCTCTCAGTCCACCCAGGATCGGTGATGGAAATCACACTCTGCCTCCTTTGGGCCCTACTTAGCAAGATGCTTTAAACCAAGAGTGCACATTAACAGTGACTTCCTGTGCAAGTCTTTAAAGAGCTGTCCCAGTTAAAGCCTGTCCAAAATCTCCACAGTACAAAAAAATGGTGAGTAAAACATTTCTTCCCATACTGTTTCCTTGACTGGAGAAGTTGTCCCAGATCTGTTCATGTCATGACACACTAAGCCATCAGCCACACATTCTTGACTATACATATTTATCAAGACACCAAGAAGAAAAAATCCACCAAACAAATATTAGCAATATTTTATATCACCAATCTTTTTACTAGGGTTATTTACATAACCAAAAATTAATCACTTCCTGTCCTTCCTCTGTTCATGGTAAAGATCCCAAGAGGAGAAAAAGAAGGTAGATAAAGTAGATAAAAGAAGGGAAGGATGGTGAAGGAAAAAACACAGCAGCAGAGACTGGCACTACATCATTCACTTATTCAATAGTCACTGCTAATCTACTACTACTGAGTTAACCAGAGTCTTAGATACTAAAAAGTTGGGGTACAAACATTTTCCCCCAGAAGTGAAGAGAAATTCAGTGGCTTAGCTCCAACCTTCCCAAGACACACACTAATCAAGGGGCTAAAAATGGACTGAAACCAGAAGTGAGAGCCTCAATGAAGAAACTTTCCCCACTCCATGTAAGCAGGAAAATGAAAGAGTTCATTAAACATATCTGCATTTACACACATCTAAAGATTAGGCAGTGCTGTGACAAATGTTCCCTTCAGATGGCCAATCTTAAATACATCTCACAAAATTCTAAAAAAAGAAAACAAAGCATATTAGAGAGGAATTTTGGGGATGAGGGCATGGGAAAGCCTTAGTATTTCAGGATTATTACCAGTCACAAGTGTTTTCAAATAAGAATGAAGTTCCACGGTCTTCTGTGTATCACAAAGATCTTTACCCACAGGGGAACGATGAGGCAATATCCTTATGGCCTTGCACACAATGGGCTCCTTCTTCTAGACCAGCTTAGAAGTGGGTGATACATTCTAATCTGGATAATGCAGATGATACGATACTAGAACCACATGATAATTACCCAGGCGGCAGCCTTCAGCATTCTATCACAGGGTGTTTATACAGCATTTTAGGCTGTATCCTAAATATAACTGCAGAAATGACACGTGATTTTATAAGTGCTGTTTAAGAACAGGATAGGCAAATGAAATGCACCTCAGACTGAGCCAGAAAAAATAAGAGCTCTACCTCCACTAACAATCAACAAGCAAAGTAACAGCCACTGGCCTCGGTTTCTCCCTATGAAAAATGGGGATTCTAATGCTCATCTCCTGTCTTCACCAGACAATTTATAATATTGTTCAGAAAATGCTGGAGGTCCCAGACAGCTTAGGTACTCGGTCACTGTCCATGTTTTCTAAAGTTGTACACTACATTAATTTCTTTACAAATCTTTTAAACAAGTTTCTTTAGTCTTAATTCTCTCTGAAGGATAGAGAAAAGGAGGTCAGTCAACACGTGTCATCTTTCATATAGAAGTTAGTTTCACTTCTGAGAAAAGTGAACCTTTATATGAAAGATGACATGTTGACTGACCTCCTTTCTGGCCTCGCTAACCAGTTCAAGGTGCCCATCTTCATCCAAGATCAAACAGAACTCCAGGCCTAGGAGGAGTTTCATAATAACTCAAATGACTCTGGAAGTACAAGAGCAAGAGTCAGATGCTCTTTATAATTCTAATGAAATGAACACTGGAAACCACACACACACATATTTTCATTCTCTCTCTGTCTCTCTGCACCACCCCTCCGCCCCAACACACACACAAACTTATAACCCACACAGAAATTACCAGACTTAGCTTCAGAGAGAACCTTCTAGAATAATGAGCAACATTAGATTAGTAGACAGCTTTAAGATTTATTTTTAATTGTATAATTTCCATTTGTAATACTTGACCTTTAAACTGTGTTTGCTTAAAATTAGCCTCCTACAAAATTAAGGCTATTTCCATCCCCATATTAATCTAGAGTCTCTACTTGGGGAATAGAAAATATTAAGATTTCTGTTTTGCTCTCATATATAAGAAGTAAAGATCTCTCTTCCCCCATCTTGGCTCTTTGAGTGCATCAAAAGTACATATTAACTGTTTCTGAGTCCACATCTGGAGTTTAAAAATCCTATAGAAAAGGCAAGTGATTTAAAATATAAACATATGGCTTCCTTCTCTACAGTGATTCCTAGGCAGAGGGAAAAAAAAGTTGAGTACAAACAAAACTATTGTTTTAAGGAGGATTGTTTCTAATTGAAAGCATACCAAAAAAGCTAACTAAGCTTCTACTTTCTCCTGGAGAAAATAATAAAAGCAAGAATTCCCACCTCAATCTAATTAAATCTAGATCAAAGTGCAACTTAGGTAACACTAGGACTGTAAGAGTGTAGCACTCGATTTCTGAAGAGGATGGCCCCAAGTCTGCCCTTGAGTTAGAGCAAGAGGTTGGCAAATTTTTTCCTGTAAAAGGCCAGATAATAAATATTTTCAGCTTTGCTGACCCTATAGTCTTTGCCACAACTACTCAACTCTGCTGTTGTAGCGCCCATAGACAAGACGTAAACAAATAATACAACTTTATTTATGGACAAAGAAATTAGAATTTTGTTTAATTTTTATGTGTTGCAAAGTATTATCCTTTTGATCCTTTTCAATCACTTAATATAAAAACTATCCTTGGCTCACGGGCCATTTAAAGCAGGCAGCAGGCCATATGTGTCCTGTGGATAGTAGTCTGCAACCCCTGGGTTAAAACTATAGAAGACTGGAGCAGCTGCAAGAATAAACTCTAAAACAATGTCCTCATTTCTTAAAGAAAACTGAGGCCCAAGGAGGTATAATGACTGGCCAGGATCTCACAGCCAATTCATGGCAGGAATGGAGTTAAGAAAAATACTATTCAGCCTCTGGAAGAGCTGGTTGAAAAGGTAAAAGCAAGGCTGGGCACGGTGGTTTGCTCTTTCCTATAATCCCAGCACTTTGGGAGGCTGAGGTGGGCAGATCCCTTGAGTTCAGGAGTTCAAGACCAGACTGGGCAACATGGTGAAACCCTGTCCCTACAAAAAGTGAGCCAGGTGGCATGGAGGTACATGCCTGTAGTCCCAGCTACTCAGGAGGCTGAAGCGGGAGGATCACCTGAGCCCAGGAGGTCGAGCTATGATGGCACCACTGCACTCCAGCCTAGGTGGCAGATTGAGACCCTGTCTCAAAAAAATAAAAAAGAAAAGAAGAAGAAATAAAAAGAAAAGGTAAAGCAGTAATGAAGAAATGTCCTGCTTGAGTTCAACTCACCAGGACAGGCAGTGGGGTGCTTAAAACCAGAGTTGTTGCAGGAACCTAGTCACTAGTCATAGAAGCTCCTAATACCTGACTTCCCACTGTGTAAAATAATTTGTTACCTGCCTGTCACCTACACTCATTCTGAAGGTCCTATATCAGCCACTAGGACCTTTTGAGGGGCCAAATTACCTGTCAGCCTGATTCTTTTCAGCCTTCTGAGTGACACAGCTCTGGTTGTTTCTTTTGCAGTGTAAGTAACAACCTCCACTTTTGTTAGTCCAATCCTAGAACTCCCAAGATATAAGTGTCAATGTGGCTGAACAGCAAGGATCAATGTCAATTATTTCAAAGAACAAAGGACAGCAGGTGACCAATTAAGCTTAAAGTTCAACAGCATCTCCAACACTCACCTAAGAAACTAACAGTCAATCTCCTTCCCGCTCCTAATTCCTTCCCTCTAAAAGAATAAATAAATAAGTTTCTTAATGGTTTTCTCTTATTTTTCCTTATTCCACCTTTTCTTATACCAATTCTCATTTTCATTTCCTGTGACCCTTTTTACTTTGCCCTACATCTCAACCAAGAATCACCTCAAATTGAAATGCTTTGTTAGAATTAAGATACATACACATATCCAATGATGTTTAAATTATCTGCTCTTTAAGTAGCATTCTATAGTTTTAAAAGGGAAAAAACCCCAAATTAAAGTAACTTTTTACAATGTATCTTTCATCTAACTTTTTAAGTCACATTTTATCAGAGAAGTTTGTTTTCTACCGTTATAAATTAATTCGAGACTTGAAATTTTACACCAATGTTTTTTAGACATTCTGCTGTGATGATTTTTTATGAAGATTACTCTATCAACTTTTGTTTTTACACACTTCCTCAAAAAGACACAGTTTTATATTTCTGTGAAGAGGAAGTGGCATTCTTATAAGTAATTTTCAAAGTTCTTTTTGACAACTTAAATAAAAAATGACTGCAAACTCCTGAGAATCTTTTCAACACAAATTGATCCTCCTAGATCTATCTAAACATAAGATTCTTTGGTCAAATAAACTAAGTCAATTGATTTGATAAAACCAAAATGAAAGAAAAATGTAATTCCTAAAGCTGTAGGAACCAAACACTACAATTCATACCGAAGTATGGAAATTCCATACAAAAATAAAACAAACAAACTCTTTCTACCAATGTTGTTTAAGTGAGAGAGAGAAAGAAGACTAGTTAAAAGGTCATAAATATAAAACAAAAACAAACTCAAATCATATTTTCATAGAGCTGAAATTGACCTGAGAAAACTGGTCTCTTTAATGTGACAAATGAGGAACCAGCCCAAGATTCAGAGACTATTTATTATAGAGTGCCAACCAAGGACCACCTGCTATACAAAGACTTTTCCCACTTGATTATCACAACTTCCCCGTAAAGCAAGTATTATTTTACCCATCTTACAGTCAAGGAAAGTTGTGTCACAGGAAGATGGACACAGCTTGTTAGGAGTAGCGCTGTGCACATAGCCCAGGTCTCCAGACATCAACTTTAGTATTCTAAATATACAACTCACACGGAGCATTTTTGGAAATTGTTCGGTTAGATGCCACAATATTTTAAAATATTATACATAAAATACAGTACCCTGAAACCTTGATAGAAGACTCCTTGCTACAAAGCAGAGCTACTTAAAAAGATTGTTTCTTCTTGGCTGCTACGAAAAGGAGCATTAGCAACTAAACATTGCACTCATCTCATGAGCCCCAAGACCTAATTATACTAAGGCTCCAAAGTACAAAACCCTTAGTCACATGGCTTCTAAATTACTCATGACAGTATCATTTACTCAAGTCACAGCTGGCCACTTCTTATGCTTATGGTCTATTCTTAAATCTGGACTCCGTTAAGAAGGATATAGAAAGATTTTTACACTTGTAGAAATAAAGGAAGATATTTCAGCATGTCTGAAGCAATGGTGAAACCACTCAAGGCAACAACAAACACCTACTTCCTGTTCAGGTAAGAAGAGAGGCATGGCAGCCAGGCCCATTAGAATTGAGACCTTGTAACTGTTTGCTGCCTTTAAGAACTACACGGTATAATTAAAAGCATAGTTTAAAAGTCAATGTAAGAAAGCGATTTTTGGCAACTCTAGTATCTAAATTCCCTTCCAAATATCTTACACTGGACAAGCCAAATCCAGGTCTTCCTAAAAGCACACAAGATGGGATTCTAAGACCAATGCTCAAGTATTTGACTCAAGTTATGGAGCCACTTAAACTAAGTCAATAGATGTGTGGACCACACAACTAGCTCAGAAGCATATTTCCTTGGGCAGCAAAACCAGAAAAATCATGTGCTTTTATGGACAAACAGAAAGGATTCTAACAACTTTACTGAAGGCATTCTATCAAGCGAGAGTGGAGGCCTTAAGAGGGGCACAAAGGTGGCAGGAAGAAGTAAAAAGAAAAATAGTTTCCAAAAAGAATGTATCACTTAAATAGGTGCCCTGAGAAAATGCTAAAGTAGGCCAAGCATGGTGGCTCATGCCTGTAATCTCAGCACTTTGGAAAGCCAAGCAGATCACTTGATTCCAGGAGTTCGAGACCAGCCTGGGCAACATGGTGAAACTCATCTCTACTAAAAATACAAAAACTAGCCAGGTGTAGTGGCACGCACCTGTAGTCCCAGGTACTCAGGAGGCTGAGGTGGGAGACTCAACTGAGCCCCGGAAGTCAAGGCTGCAGTGAGCTGTGATCGCACCATTACACTCTAGCATGGGTGACAGAGTGAGATCCTGTTTCAAAAAAAAAAAAGAAAGAGAGAGAAAATGCTAGAGTTTTATAGTTTCTAGTTTTGTAAAAGGACTCTCTTTTTAAACATAACCACAATATCCTATTCACACTTTAAATCATCAAATATCCAGTCAGTATTCAAATTTCCCCAATTATCTCAAAGAAGTGTGCTTTTTTAAGTTTGTTTAAATCAGAATCCAAATCTATTCACTGCAACTAGTCTGAATGTATCTTAATTCTCTTTTAATTTATGGATTTATATTTCCTCTCCATCTTTTTTTTTTCCTCTTACAATTGATTTTTTAAATAAATGAGGTCTGTTTTTTCTGTAGGCATCCCATAGTCTGGATTTTGTAATTTCTTATTTAACAAATATGTATAAGATTAAAAACAAGTCATCTCTAGATCCGGCAATCCCACTCCTGGGTATCTACCCAGAGGAAAAGAAGTCATAAGAAAAAGGTACTTGCACATGCATGTTTACAGCAGCACAATTCACAATTGCAAAAATATGGAACCAGCTCAAATGCCCATCAATCAATGAGTGGATAAAGAAAGTGTGGTAGATACATACCATGGAATACTACTCAGCCATAAAAAGGAATGAAATAATGGCATTTGCAGCAACCTGGATGGAATTGGAGACGATTATTCTAACTGAAATAACTCAGAAATGGAAAAACAAACATCATATGTTCTCACTCATTAGTAGGAGCTAAGCTATGAAGACACGAAGGCATAAGAATGATATAATGAGCTTTGGGGAATCAGGGAAATGGTGAGAAAGGAGTGAGGGATAAAAGACTACACATTGGGTACAGTTCTTTAGTGGTGACAGGTGCACCAAAATCTCAGAAATCACCACTAAAGAACTTATTCATGTAATCAAACACCACCCATTCCCCAAAAACCTATGGAAATAATTTTTTAAGAAGGAAAAAAAAGTCATCTTTAAACATACTACATTATTCCATCAATGGCCTACATCACCAAACCATCTAGATCCTTTCAATGAAGTCCTTGCTACTCCAAAATACATGTTTGTTCACAAAATGTTGCCATGGTACCTCATGCAACATTCTATCCAAGCCAGGGGTATCATGGACACAGAAGGGCCCATAAGGCAACACCTTACTTTAATGCTTCAATACTTTTTGGAACAAAGTAAATACAAATTAATTTGTAAAAAGTCATGTGCAACAAATGGAAACAATGAGTTTTGCTTAGGCACAAATTCATCAATTCAAGTTTTCAGGCAGAGGGCATGTAGTACCTATCAAAGAACTCAACTGAGAAAAATGTGTTAATATGCAAACACCTCTCCTATCCAGTTTGCAAATTGGATATTTCCTTACCTCTTCTTCCTACCTAACATGAACCCTATGACTCAGTAAATTTAGTCACCAGGTTACCTGAAAGGGACACAACACGTCACTCACCTGGGTTCTACCCACATCTGCTGCCTGAATCATTCCCTTCCTCAAGTACCGCTTAGACTCCCTCCAGCTCCCTTCTTAATGACTTTGCCCATCTCTGGACTCCTGAAGTCCCTAATCAATACCCCTAAGCATAGTCTAAACCTGCACTATATGTGGATTGATAACTGTTTCATATGCCACATGAACTCAATAAACTTTAAAGAGGGCCTTTCATGTGCAAGGCATTCAGTATCATCTAACTAGACTGTGAGCTCCATGGGGAAAAAGGCCTCTTGTGATACTGCACCTATTTCAAGAATCCTAATGTGTGATGGCTAAGAATGTGCACCTTGGAGTTGAGCTTGCCCAGATGTGACTCCCAGAGTCATGCGACCCTGAAAAAAATTACTCGACCTCTCAGTTTTCATTTTCCTTTTTTTTTTTTTTTTTTTTTTGAGACAGAGTTTCACTCTTGTCGCCCAGGCTGGAGTGCAATGGCACAATCTCGGCTCACTGCAACCTCGTCCTCCCAGGTTCAAGCAATTCTCCTGCCTCAGCCTCCCAAGTAGCTGGGATTACAAGTGCTTGCCACCACACCTGACTAATTTTTGTATTTTTAGTAGAAATGGGGTTTCACCATCTCTAGCCATCTCTGGCCATCTCTCTGGCCAGGCTGGTCTCGAACTCCTGACCTCAGGTGAGCCATCTTCCTCGGCCTTCCAAAGTGCTGGGATTACAGGCATGAGCCACCGCACCCGGCTTCATTTTCCTCATCTTTAAAATGAAATGATGATAGCCATCCTCTCATAAAAATATTAGGATTAAATCACGTAAAGCATGATTCTTGTCTTGTCTCCTTGTTCCCAATTCTTTCTGTCTGGTTTCTATTTTATTGTGCCTGTTCTTACCTGTCCTTCCCTTTTGTGGAGAAGGGGAGAGCAGAGAGCCCCAGCAGAGCTATGCTGTATCATTGCTATGTAGATGGAGCTCATTAAACACCCCTCGATTGCTTGAATACATGGGAGATCCACTCTTAGAACATTTAGGGACAATATTTCCTGTCCCCTCATGTCACCTTGATACTTCCCCTGAAAAGAAATGGAACTGAGAATTACCTACGACTGAGAATTACCTACAGTGCTAACCATCCTCACAACCAAAAGCACAGTTTAAAAAGAGGGAAAATATAACCAGAAAATAGGACAATATGTGATCTTTTATCTTTTCATAGGGCAGAAAACTTTCTCTTAATTTTGTTTGAATGGAAATTTGACATCCCAGTGTAAAATGAAAGCTGTTTATAGAAGTGTTTCTCTTTTCTTTGTTTGAGTACTTCATGAGTAAAAAACATTTGAACATGTACATATACAGATACATATACATATTTATATTCAATCACTTAACAAATATTTATTGAGCATTTACTATGCACCTTACCCTGTTTTAAGTGCTAAAGACACAGCAGTGAATGAACCAAACTAACAAAATAATCTTTGTCCTGTTATCTATATCTTAGCCACATGTAAGTTTTGGTTTTTAAAATGGGGGGAGTCAAATATATGGTATGAGGGATTTACACTGTGGAGGAAAATAAAGAAAGGCAGACAGGAAATGTGGAGTGGGCATTTTAAATAGTGTGGTCAGAAAGGGACTCACTGAGAAGGTAACATCTGAGGAAAGACCCGAAAGAGGTAAAGGTGAGCCATGCAGATATCTAGGGAGGAGCTGCACAGGGAGCAGGAACAGCAAGGGTCCCGAGGCAGGAGCGCAGCTGGTGTGTTCACTAAATAGGAGGAGGCCAGTGGGGCTGGAGCCAAGGAGCCAGGAAGAGGTGGACAGCAGACAAGGCTGGACAGTTGAGTGGATGAGCTGAGTGCAGAGGTCACTCTAATGACCTTAGCTTTCACCTGGGTGAAACTGGAAGTTTTTGAGCAGGAGTGACAAGTTCTGAGTTCCATCACTCTGAGAGCTACGTTGAGAGTAGAGTGCAGGGGCCAAGGTCAGACGGAAGGAGACCAGTCAGAGGCTGCTGTTATAACCCAAGTGGTGATTTGGCCAGGTGGCAGCCAGTGAAAAATACAGCCAAAAAGATGACACAGTACTAGCAAATAAGATGTACTAAAACTACATAAAAATTAAAAGTTTAAAAGAATGATTTAAAGAAATATGAATTCCAATATTCTCTTTCCCAAACTCCAACTCAATAAAGTATTGTGTTCATCCTTGGGGTGTAGGCCACACCTACTTTTGGAGGCCATTGTTTCACAATAATTGGTTGGTTGATTTGTCCCGGCTGACCTGAATGTCTGCCTGGCTTTCTGTCTTTAGACTTCTCTTATGCTCACTTTCCTTTTTCCTGATCTTGCCAGTCTTAGACACCAAAACAAGTCTCCTCCACAGAGACTAACCATACAGAGGCTGGTGATTACATGTAGGAATTTTCTTCCTTTCTTGAGAAAGTCTGTGGTCACCATGTCAACTGCACCCAACTCTGGGCCAACCCTTCAGAAATAAACTTGTTAGATGCACATGTTATTTGGGTTCAATAAAATAGGATTTTGCCTGGGAGGACCCAAGGTATTTGCTAAAGCAACACCTCTGAAGAAGGCTAAGGTGGGCCCCAGCTCACAAGAGACAAGCATGGCCTTTGTAAGGATTGCTCCCTTTATCCTGTAAGAAGTTCAAGAGGATTCTCAAAGAACCACACTGAGAACAGCCCCAGGGGTTCTGTGTCCCCACAGCCAGGCTCCTGGAGATGCCAGAAGACAAACTTCTTGGAGAAAGGACTCCTCACCCTTAGACAAAACTCAGGATGTGTTTACCAAACCTGGGAAACTTTAAAGCTGCCACAAACACACTTGGGAGAAAATCAGAAGTTCATAAAAGGCAGATACTTTTTGAACTGAGATTCCACAAGATGAGAAAAGACTGACATTGAAATATGTGAGGAGCTATCTTAGAATGTTAGAGCTTGGAAGAATTTAGAGAATTTTCTACCTGTTCCCATTTTGACAGACAAAGAAACGAAGGCCAGGACTTACCCCAAACCATACAACAGTTAGAAGAACCATGAGTAGAATCCACGTCTTCTGATTCCCAATCTAGTGTTATTTTTAAAACAAACTAAAGCAAAACAAAATTTTTTAAATAAAAAAAGCAAAACTTTTAGAGACAGGTTAGAATTGTAATTAATTTCCATGTCTAGGCTCAAACAGATGTTTCCACAAGTCTCCCTAATTTTACTAAAAGCTCTGAAAGCTTTCTTAGGGGAAAATGGTCTTCTGGTATAAAAGATATCCTAGAAAGCTATGCTTGGATGCTTAAGACTCCCCAGGATGGGAGCAAGGGGACTCTAAGCAAACAAAAACCAAGAAATGCAAACAATTATCGACTTAGTAATCCCTGAAACAGCCCAAAGTGGACTATATATTTATTTGCTTAGCTCACTTTATAGAATATAAATTTTAAGTTTTCAAAAGAGGAGGCAAGTGAAAAGATCCTTAAAAATTATGAATATCATAATTACAAGCTGGATTCATGAATCATTAATTTCAACCTCTTAGGCTACCAACATATTTACAAACATAAACACTGATAAGGGCAAATACCTGCATTCCCGACCTCTGAAAGCAGCCAAAGCCAAATAATATATTGGTTAAAAGGTTAAAAAGGAGTAATCTATAAAGAGGGCAATCTTAGGCCAGGTGTGGTGGCTTACCCCTGTAATCCCAGCACTTTGGGAGGCTGAGGCAGGCAGATCACATGAGGCCAGGAGTTTGAGACCAGCCTGGCCGACATGGTGAAACCTCATCTCTACTAAAAATACAAAAATTAGCTGGGCGTAGTGGTGCAAGCCTGTAATCCCAGCTACCCGGGAGTCTGAGGCTCAAGAATCACTTGAACCCCAGGAGGGGGTCGGCGGGGGTTGCAATGAGCCAAGATTGCACCACTATACTCCAGCCTGGGAAACAGAGCGAGACTCTGTCCCAAAAAAATAAAAATACAGAATAAATAAAATGGGTAATCTTAGATTATCTATGAATTGAAGTAGGGTGGAGAATAGGAATTAGTCCTAAGTCATTGACATGGGTTAAAATCCTTCTCTGGAACTTGAAGCTGTTTGACTTTGTTACCTGGAAAGCCTTATTAGAGCTCATCTGCAAATACACCCTTCATAGGCACATTTGTAAGAAATGCTATAACACAAACCATGTGAAGAGCATCGGTCTCCATTACAGGCACCAAGTCACAGAAGGGAGAGGGCAGAGCTGAGGCACCATAAAGGCATCCAGTCCAACCTCTTCATTTTACAAAGAGAAACCTGAAGCCTACAGAGGTTAACATGTCTTGCCAAGGGTTGGCTAATGTACAACATATGTCACTTCTCCCTTCCCGTGTACCCATAGCAAACACTGGTAATCAATCACACTTTCTCGGATCCTTGACTGCAAGAGTCAGAATGTTTCTATCACATTACACCTGCAAGTCCTGGACCGATCAGAACTCATGTGTGACATGGAAGCTGTTTCCCAACTCTGCACAAGGTCATAAAACAATCTTTGTAATACCTGCACCACTGTAGACCTGACTCAAAAGAGACAGAGTAGTCTGCTAGTCAAACTAGTTTACTGTCACTGTCAAGCCTGTGGTGAGCAAACATGGAGTCTATGTGAATATATGATGACCACATATCCAGGTTTACCCAGGACAGTCCTGGCTCACGTCTATTTGTGGCTTCATATTGAGTAGTATCACCTATGATTCTCAAACGGATAAAAATGATATAGTCATCCTAGTTCTGTGTAGTTCCTAATCATTCACAAACATTTATAAATGTTGTTTCATACATGATGTGTCAGGAAAAAAAACAAAAACAACAACAAAAAACACTTAACCAATCACCAGGAGTTTTCTCATACAAAGGGGCTTTCAAATAATACTAAACCCAACCAGTTTTCAAGAGGGACTCAGGGACCACTGTCCAAGCCAATCTTTTTTATATATTGAGCTTCAATATGAAATTTCTTCGGGGGAAAAAAGGAGTGTCATAGCTTAAACAAATTTGGAAATCACAAAATTATCAGATCTCTGTAGCTCTGCCTGTTTTTAAATTATTTCGTGCTATACTTTAGCCTATAAAAATTCACATTATCTTGTAGAAATACAAATCTTTTTAAAGAATCTTTCATTTCTGTTTCTGGTACAAACAATTTGTGCCTTTTTGAGTTCGTATTTGCTCTCTGTTTACAGCAAAAGAGGAAGTAAAAAGTTGAAATCTTAAAAAAGAAAGAAAGAAAGAAAAGAAAAAGAAAAAAGTTAGTTCCATTAATCCAGAGCTAGAGCTTATGTGCTGGCGTTGGCTAAAGAGCCAATCATATATGTAAGAGAAGAATAAGTTTATTTGGAAAAGTCATTGGTGTAGAGAACACAGATATCAGCTATGTGCACAAGTGAAAGGTAATGATATTATCACACGAAAAGTTTAAAAATTTTAACTGGCTACCCAGACAGAAGACTAGAAGGAAACATATCAAAATGTCAAGAATAGTTATCTCTTGAGTATACAGGCTTCAGATGGTTTTAAAATTTTTTGGTTTGCTCATCTAGCTTTCTGCTTTTCCTATAATGACCGCAGTTCGTTTTATATATATATATATATATATATATGAAAAAAATCACTGAACTACCAACACATCATTCACCGGGGTGAGGAAATGGAGAGGCTAATGGGAAAAGCCAGGTATAAGCCAGGCAGGGGCAGAGGCCTCAGAGCAGCTCCTTACTATGTACAGAAATGGGTCTGGCCCAAGAGGCAGAAGGAGTTCAGGGAACGCTGTTCATCCAATGGCTTCTCTGTAAACAAGATCAGACACCCATTAATCCCATGGCTGCACTGCCCTTTCAACTATGAAAAGTATAGCCTTGTGGTCAGAGCCCCACCTGTGCAATCAGACTGCCAGGGTAGGACAGTGTGCTAGATCACTTACTGGGCGTATGACCCTAAACCGGTCAATTAGCCTCTCTATTCCTGTTTTCTCATCCATAAAATAGAAATCACACCACCACCTACCTCCTAGTGTGGCTATGAGGATTAAGACATGATTCACTGCAAAGGCCCAGTATACAATAAGAGCACAATAAATGTGTGACATTATTAGGTCTCTGCCATGAAACACCAGCCTCAAGTGCACTCTCAAAACCATGTGATTGGGTCCTGAAACAACCAGAAAAGGTTCTAAATAAAGCCTTTCTTTTCCCTTCTTCTATGCTGAAGACAGGACTACAGCATACTGTTTGCTTTAACACCAGTGCTCTAGGGAGCCATGGAAGAACAAGGGCAGCCCAGTAAAATATGTAACACGTCCCAAGGCCCCACACTATGGGCTAGAAATCCTGCTCCCAAAGTTACACAGGATTTCTAGTCTCTTGCCACTGCCACCGCTGCCAGCCACTGCCTTTGGCAAGAAGGTAGGTGACTCAAGTGTGAACTAGGACTTGGCAAGGGAACACCAAACCAGAAGGCCTCCAGGCAGGAAGCTCCAAAAAGGCCACCTGCTGAAACAGTTTGTCTGCAGGCAGCCTCCGAGATGAAAGTAGTGTTCTGCCATCATTAACAAATGCAGGTAAGAATAGTGGACACTTTAAACATGCAACAGAACTTACCATCCTAGCTTCATAACTCTGAAAATAAATTTCGGGTAGAGATCCAGGCTGAAGATACGACCACACACTTAAAATGACTACAGTGCCTTTAACTATATGACATAAAGAACACCCTAAAACAGTCAATATCAAATCAATTTTCAAAAAGGTTTCATGGCTATCTTTGAGTCAAATGCCTTAGATCTGTATTTAACAAAATTTTCTTTCCCAAACTTAAAATTATCTCACTTTACCAAAAAATATAAAACTCCTAATGTCCACATACAAGGAACTAATTACATTATTATATTAATGACATAGTTGAGGATGTTCTATGTTACACAGGGTAACCAGTTCCTCCCAGTTTGCCTGGAATTTTCCCGGTTTTAGCCCCATATGCTGGGACACCAGTCAATCTGCACAAACCAGGATGGTTAGTGCCCCCTAAGGCTGCAATAAAAATTATGTGTGCCCTGTGAAGAGGAAAACAGAAGGGACACTGTTACAAAAGTTACAAATGCAGAAGTGCTAAATGCCAAGTTTGTTTGTTTGTAGTGATAGCTCCCAGTTCCTTTTTTACAGTGAAAAAAAAAAAAAAAAGACTAAAAATTACACTGGTCTCTCCCTTTTTCTTTTTACTCTCCTGAAAAAAAAAGAGTTAGGAAAAAACATTTTCCTTCTCTTACAAGATTGAGAGGTCACTACAGGACTGACTGCTGAAGTAGTGTCTGCTTCACCTAGCAAGCTCCTGCACCCAGCTTTAGCTGGAGAGAAAATGTCATCATCTGTCACCCCTGACTTTTGCCACATTTAAAGACAAATCCAGACAATTTGTGTTTCAGGTTATCAACAGTAAAAAATCCAAGAGGCCTAGCAAAAATCAAGATTCACTTCACAAATAGGGCATTCAACAGATGAGGTGCCAGGCACAGTGGCTCATGCCTGTAATCCCAGCACTTTGGGAGGCTGAGGCAGGTGGACTGTTTGAGCCCAAGAGTTTGAGACCAGCCTGGGCAACATGGCGAAACTCTGTGTCTACAAAAAATACAAAAATTAGCCAGGTGTGGTGGCACACGCGCCCATAGTCCCAGCTACTGGGGAGGCTGAAGTGGGAGGATGTTTGAGCCTGGCAGGCCAAGGCTGTAGTGAGCCATGATCATACTATCGAGTCAGAGTGAGACCCTGACACACACACACACACACACAAAAAAAAAAAAGGAGGGAGAAATTAAGAAGTGGTTGTTTTACTAGAAGCTGAATGGAGAGCAAGGTACTCCTGTACAAACTCTAAGGCAGGGATTCCAAGCAGGCGGGCGGCTCCCTGCCCACAATGATGGAGCAAAACTCTTCTAGTAGTGGTCTAAGCAAATGGTTTTAAAAGTTAATCTGTGAGGTTAAGAACTGACTTCTAAGAATTGAGTCTCAAACAGAAAAGGTAAGACTATATAAGGCAAGAAAGACCACACACTTACTTCCTGGACCTAAAGCTACACAGAAACCATCGTTGTTCACCACCCCACCCCACCCAGGCCACTTCCCCACCCCATCTCCTTCTGACTTTGTCCCAAGATAGACTGGACATTTTCAGAAGTTCTTGAATCTTAAAACGCCTTAGGTTCTTTTTACGTATCTGGAGATGGAACCAAATAAACGTTGTGTGACTCTTCCTTTCTCTCCATACTCATACTAGTTTATTGGGGGAAGGAAGGAAATATACTTGGAAACATCTTAAAAGGCAACATCTTTGAAATTCCTGCTCTGATAAGCCCTGAAGAATAACTTCCTCTCTTTGTAAGACCAAGTAATACACTTCTCACTAGGGTTGATCTTGATCTAGGAAGAGATGTTTTCTTGTAACCCTTACAACACATCCAATGAGATGATGGAGCTATCCTATACCAACTGTAGCAGAAAGTACAAGCACCTGGAAGGCAGAAGACAAGAGCTAGTCCCAGTCCTGCAGGCCTATAGCTGGCATTCTTTGAGGAAGACTTGCTTCACTTCTCCAGATCTGTTTTGTCATTTAGAAAATGAAGGGTTTGGGCTAGATCATCCTTAGAGTCCTTACAACTCTAAACTTCTATGTGATGTTCTTTCTTATATGTGATAACAATACCTATTAGAACCATTCTTTGTACTTTGAAGATCTAGGGATTAACAGACAAGTACAGCAACGTGTACTAGCAAAGATGACAGGCCCAAGACACGCTAAAACTGTAGGATTTAAAATACGCAAATGTCTAACAGTTGGCAAAGTATGTGACCAAAAGGTGAAGGAAATCCTGATATCAACTTACACTTTTAAATGCTCTGGAACCAATGAGAACAAATACATTCATCACAAGTACCAGCTGCTCTTCTTACTAAATTTAACAATAACATGAATTTTAACTCAGTGATTTCCCCATCACCAACCCCGCCAAACACCTGTAAATATTTAGGAAAAACAAGCTAAAAAAATTGAATCTAAAAGGCAGGAGAACAAATCATTGCAAATCATTGTGGTGACGGACTGCACTTCAGTTGCAAGATGTTCTGGCTGGATACTAACTGGAGAACGCAAGGCAGCAGATGCAACCCATGGACAAGTTTGAGGTATTTAATACCAAGGGCTGGCAAGTCTGACCCTGTAGTCAAAGTCAAGATTGCCTCTCTGCCTACCAGGACCCCAAAACAAAGTTCCTTTCACTACCCACGAATAAACGGGGGTGGGGGTAGCAAGCCGTTTCCTTTTTTCGTGGAAAGAGCTGCAAAGAGTTTTGTCATGCAACTTGGTTTGGTGCCTGTTAGTGTCAATGTAAGAGCAGCAGAGTCCGCGAAGGTGGCTGTTACCATTCCACAGACCTGCGGCGAGGACTGTCAATCCGATTCAGCAAATAACCCCACCTCTCCAAGCCAGGACTCCAGAGCTGCCCTGTGTGGTGTCTCAGCAAGGAAAGCCAACAAAGCTGGTAGACACAGGCAGACCGTAGCCCACCGCCTGTGAGTGGAGGCTCCGAGCCGACTTCACCTCCTCCTCAGAGGGACCGGCCCGATCCGAAAGGGCGGTCTCCAGGGGTCCCCATCCCGCACCACGCACACAGCCTGGCGCAACTAAAGAGGAAGTCGGATGTCACATCCAACGGATAAATAAAGACAGCCCGGCCACACAAGAGCCGCATTCTGGGCAGGACTCCTGCTAGGTTTGGGGAGGGGTCCCAGTCTGCGATCCTTTCTCCCTCTTCGTGCAGCGTCCTCCTCCCCGGGGCCCGGGCCGGCGGCGCCCACGCAACGCGGCGCGGTGCGAGTCCCGAGAGCACCTCGAGCCCCCGGCCCCCTCCCCAGCCCCGCCGGGCCCGCGGCCGCCGCACTCCCGCACGCCGGCTGCCCAGCGCCCACGGGCCCTGCCCCAGACTCGGGCGCGCAGTTCCGACGGCCCAGGGCGGGGACGGCGCGGCGGAGGGGAGCTGCCGCCGCGGGCTCTCGGAGGCACCGGCGGCCGCACACAGTCCTCCCCTTCGCCGCGAGTAAACAGCTCGCGGGCGCGCTCCAGCCGCGCCCCCATCCCCCCGCCGGGCTCCGCGCCGCCCCGCGCCCGCGCGTCCCGCCCGCCGGCGCCGCCGCCCGCTACCTGGTCGGTGAGTTTGAGCACTGCCATTCTTCCGCTCCTTCGCGCGCACACACATGCAGGTCCCCGGCCCGCAGATGTCACGCCGGGAGCCGGGGAAGCGGAAGGGATTGCCAGGAGAAGGGAAAAAATCTGGCTCCCGAATTTGACAGCCCTCCCCCTGCTCCTCCTCCGCCGCCGCCTCCTCCCGCCGAGAGGCTGACACTGGCTAGTGGGGTTTGCAGCCGAGCCCGCCCGCCTTTCCACAGGAAGTACCGGCTGCTGCCAGCCGGGCCGCCACTGACATCACCGCGCGCTGGCTCGCTCGCCGCCCGCCGCCTGGGCCGACGCTGCCTCCTGCCGCCCGCAGCCGAGCCGCGCAGCCCGGCCCCCGGCGCTGCCCCCGCGCCCGCACCGGGCCGCCGCCTGCCTTCCGCACCTGCACGCGGCGCCCGGCCGGGCCGGCCCCGGGCCCTGGGCGGATCGCGGGCCTCCCTGACGGGTCTCACACATATGGGTGGGGAAGCCCGCGGGGACACACCCCGAGGGGGCAGGAAAGGCTCTCACTCACATGCCGTCCACTTTAACCGGGGAGATGGGGTTACGCCCCCTTCCCCTAACCCAGAATCAGGTGGTGGCAGCGCCCCGAAGATCCCAGGGACCGCAATTATGATGCTCCCTTTGTTTAATGCCAGGAGGCAGCGGACACATTGTGATTCTTTACAGGGTGTTTGCCAAACATTTATGGGTGGAGGGAACAGAAGCTCTGGCCCTTCCACCTTGTTCTCCAGCCACTTTCCAGCTAAACACACACACACATATGCACACACACATACTATTGTTAAATTCAAACACCCTGGGTTTGGTTTTTGCTGGTGGGGGTGGAGTGGAGTTCCTGGAGAAGCAAAGCAGTCCTAAATCACCGAGTTGATGGGTCTTTTGGGTGTTCCCACCAGTCCTTACTGATCTCTACAAAATCCCAAGTTACCAAGCTCTTCAACAAATAGAAGACAGCTGTCAAACACCATGGGCTACAGATACAACGGGCATATTCGTAAGCATAGTAGCTGTTGATAGTTCTGGAATTTGGAGCAAACACTTATTCATTGAACAGCTATGTACTGAGTCCCTACCTTGTCAGGCACTGGCTAGGCACGGGAATAAACGGAGAGCATAAATAAGATAACCTGCTCTCAGAAGATGCCAACATAAACCGCATAGTCTCTGCTAATGAATGTAATTACAAACTGAGATAAGGGATCTCAAGGGAAAACATGCTTCTGAAGTGAACCCACAACAAAGGAATCAGACCAGACTGGTGGGTGAGGGCAGGCTTCCCTGAGAAAGTGACAGGAGTTGAGATCTGGAGAAGGGAGAATTAAGTAAGCAAGTGGAGAGGAAGTGCTCCCAGGCAGCCCCATGTGCCCCTGGCAGGCCATAGAGCAAACCTGTAGGGCAGCATTGAACAGCTTTGAAGAGCAAACTAGAGCTACAGAATTCTTTGGTCAAGACCAAACATCTGCCTCTACTGTATATTCACAAACCAAATGTCCATTCTTCCTCCCTACTCTTAGAACCTCCCCCAAAGATTCCACATGAGACAGGAGAGAAAGGAGCATTAATATCCTCACATTTACCATCCAGCCACTCTGGTTGTCGAAGCAGCTAAATCTCAAATTTACCTTTATTAGTCTTATAGATTATAATTCAGATCATGCAGACAAGAAGAACCAAGGAACTTTGTTCCTGGCTTCCACTCCTCTGTTATCAATGTTGCATGGAAACAAACAAACAAAAAATTCTAAGGCCTTTCTCAGACATACAACAGATTGTTTATGTTGCATCTATGAGTCAGTTCTTCACTGCTGTTATTGGTATGTCTATTTACTGAACACCCTGCATGGCTTTGTAAGTAAACTGAATAGGACCCTGCATTCTCTACTTAAATAGAGCCATCTTTCAGAAGAGTGATAACAAATGACTTAATTTGGAAGATTCACTCAAGATCCAATTTGATTCATCGCGGACATGCCTGCACCTAAGTTCCTGGGGCCAAAGTGAGGAGGCAGCAGTTCTCCACCCAATCAGACCATCATCCTCTTTTTGTAACTAGTATCTTTAACACTCCCCTTACTATCCTGAAAGGTAATTTGTGGATAATATTACCTACCAATACAAATTTCAAAAAAAAAAAAACCAGCAACAATATATTGTCCTAATTGTACAATAAAGGAAAAATTAAAGGAGAGTAATTTATAATGAATATGTATTTCAGTAGGTAAGTGGTAAAACACAACTCTCTTTGTCTTCTGACAAAACAAAGCAGTAAGATGCTTCCACCTATATGGAGAGGCTTTGTGAATGAGAGAATTACAAATGCAGACAGATGTGAACATATAGTGTTAGGAATTCAAATATCAAGATTGGTGTTGTCATAGGTGACCTGACTTTGTGAAAGGTTGAACAACTCGTGGCCAAGTTCCAAATAAAATAGGGAGCAGAAGATTTGGCAAAATTTATTGATAAGACTACACTTATCAGAAGGTCTGCTTTTAATGTGTTAGCCAGTACTTTGACAGTGATTCAAACACTTTGTTTACTTCATTAAATGAGACTCAGACTCAGCAGTTGACTATATTCGGTGAGCTTGAGAAGCCAGAATGCCCCTGGTATAATGTAGAGAAAGAAATCCAAAGATTTGTGGAGATGGGAATGTTGGAATAATTTTATCATGTATAATCTGTACAGCCAACCCCTACATATTCCTGGAGAGCCAGATGATGATCTTTATACTGAAGCATTGAAAAATACAGGCCAGGCACCATGGCTTATGCCTATAATCCCAGCACTTTGGGAGGCTGAAGCAGGTGGATCACCTGAGGTCAGGAGTTCCAGACCAGCCTGGCTAACATGGTGAAACCCCGTCTCTACTAAAAATACAAAAAATTAGCCAGGCGTGGTGGCATGCACCTGTAGTTCCAGCTACTTGGGAGGCTGAGTCACGAGAGTCGCTTGAACCCAGGAGGCAGAGGTTGCACTGAGCCAATGACGCGCCATTGCACTCCAGCCTGGGCAACAAAGCAAGACTCTGTCAAAAAGAAAAAAAAAGAAAAGGAAAGAAAAATACATTCGAGAGAGAACGTCAGAAAAACTCTCTAGTAGCTGGATATGATGGTGGGAGATGCTTTCGTTGAGATGGCTCCTTGATTTTTATATTAGTGGGATCCTGCGACAGCAATGGCCAAGTGGCAGCACTTAGCTGGCAGAGACAAGGTGGACACATTTACTGTAATGGACAGCAGAGACAAAGTAGTACTTAAAGGTCTTAACCTACAGGTATATCTGGCAGTGCCCTAGGTTGTCCTAGGAATGAAATAGACGGGCAGACTTTGGAAATAGCCATTGATCTTTATAACAGACAAAACTCTACATCTGCCACCTGAAAGCTCCCTTGAGCCATCAAAATGAAATTATCTTTCATTCAGTTTCCGTACCTAAATGAGTTCACAGACACAGAGCTCCTTGATTAAAAGGGAAGCTGGTCCCCTTCAGGAGGGTCTTGCAGCATTGTCATAAATATATACTACAAATCCTCATCCAAGCCTTATCCAAAGGAACCTGATGTATTTTTCTAGGCTGAGCGAGTACTGGGAAAAAGGAAATACCCAGACATTTGAGGGATCACTGACACTGCTTCTGAATTAATGCTAATTCCTGAGGATTGCAAACACCACTGGATCCACCAATCAAAATGGGGATCTATGGTAGGTGATAAATGAAATTTTTAACTAAGTATAAATCAGTGTGGATCCAGTAGCTCTGCAGACCCAAACTATAGTTATCTCCTCAACTGTTAGTTAGAATAGACATACTCAGTAACTAACAGAATCCTAACATCATTTCTCTGACCCACAGAGTGAAGTTTATTATGGTAAGACAGGCCAAATGGAAGCCTCTGGAATTTCCTCTTGATACCAGAATAGAAAACCAACAACAATGCTCAATCCCTGGAAATATGTAGAAATTGGTACCACCAGAAAAGACGTAGAAGATACAGGAATGATAATACTGTCACATCTCCATTTAACTCACCTGTTGGGCCTATGCAAAAGATCTTAGAGAATAACTATGATTTGTTATTAAGTTGTAAACTTAATCAAATGGTAATGTCAGTTGCAGCTGCTATTCTATATATGCTGTCTTTACCGCAACAAAGCAACTCAGCCCTAGGCACCTGGTGTGCACTATTGATATGGCAAATGCTTTTTATCTATTTCAATTTTCACCAAAAGTTGTTTTCTTTTATATGGCAAGATCAACAGTACACCTTTACAGTCTTCTCTAGGGGATGTAAACACTCCCACTCTCTGGCATAATCTCATCTGCACAGGTCTTGATCACTATGTTAAAGACATCGAGCTGACTGGCCCTGATAAACAGGAAGTAACAAATATTTTAGCTGCCTTAACAACACACATGTGAGCCAGAGATTGGGTATAAACCCCAAGAAAATTCATCACCTTAGTGAAGTTTCTGGAGGTCCAGTGGTCTAGAAAACACCAGGATATTCTCCCCAACGTAAAAGACAAATTACTTCACCTTGTACCATCTACCACTAAGAAAAGAGACACAATACTTTCTGGGTATCCTTGGATTTTAGAGGCAATATGTATCACATCTGAGTGTGATGCTGTGACCCATTTATAGAGCAACCCATAAGGCTGGAATTTTTTATTAGGAATAAGGGGAGAAGAAATATCTGTAGCAGGACTTGATGACCCAGAGGAATCCAATGATACTTAAAGTGTCTGTGGCAAATAAGGATGCTATATAGAGCCTCTGGTGAGCCCTGATTAGATCTACAATGCAGAATTCCTTAGTTGTAGAGCAAGTCATGCCCTCTTCTGCAGATAACAATTTTCTATTTGAGGAATGGTCCCTAGCTTGCTAAGTGAATTTGAATGACTGGCCATGAGACAATCAAGTGACTGCAAGCTCAGCTGCCCATTATGAACTGAGTGTAATCTAATCTACCAATCCATAAGACCAGACATACACAAGAGGAATTCCTCATCAAATGGAAATGGTATGTAAGAGACTGAGCTTAAGCAGGTCCAGAAAGCACAAGTTGCCTTAGCAGGTAGCTCAGATTCCTTTGATACTTACTCCTGGTGCCTCCTTATCTTCAACTTCATGGGGAATTTCTTAAGACCAGTTAACTGATTTACAGACAGTTCTCCTAAATATACTGGCACAAGCTGGAAGTGGTCTATTCCAGCATCACAGTCTCAATAAGGAATGCCCCCGATGACAGTACTGAAGGGAAATTTTCTCAGTGCAAGAAATTTCCAGCAGCGCACCTAGGGTCTACTTTGTCTGGATTGAGAGAGACGGTCAAAGGTATAGATCTACACTCATTCACAGGCAATTATTGATGGTTTTGCTGAATGGTCAGCAACTTGGAAAGATGAGGTGGTCCGGGAAAGAGGTTTGTGGGTGCACCTTTCAGAATAGGCACAAAGTGTGAGGAATTTGTGTGCCATGTGAATGCTCACCACAGAGCATCTACTCTGAGAAGGCTTTTAGTAATTAGGTGAATGACACATTCGGTGGAGTGGGCCTCTTTCTCCACCTATTGCAGTGCTTGCTCAAAGTAGCCATGGAGTCAGGAATAAAGACTATGTTTGGGCTTCAAATCTTAGGCTTCTCTGCAGTAAGGCTGATATCTGACAACATCAGAAATCACACATTGAGAGGCACCATTTCCAAGGGAGACTAGTCAGCCATGTGGTAGCAAATTGATTATTTTGGAACCCTTCCTTCATGGAGGGAACAGTTACTTGTCTTCACTAGAGTAGACACATATTGTGGATATGAATTTGTTTTCTTTTCCTTTCTTGTTTTTTTTTTTTTTTTCAGGTAGGGTCTTGCTCTGTTGCCCAGGCTGGAGTGCAGTGGCGTGATCTCAGCTCACTGCAATCACTGCCTCCCAGATTCAAGCGATTCTCGCACCTCAGCATCCTGCATAGCTGGGATCACAGGAGTGTGCCACTACGCCCAGCTAATTTTTGTACTTTTAGTAGAGACAGGGTTTCATCATGTTGACTAGGCTGGTCTCAACCCCTGGCCTCAAGTGATCCACCCATCTCAGCCTCCCAAAGTGCTAGGATTATAGGTGTAAGCCTCCATGCCCAGCTGATATGGATTTGTGCCCAGCGAGTGTTTCTTTTCTTTTTGGAGATGGAGTCTGGCTCTGTTGCCCAGGCTGGAGTGCAGTAGCATGATCTCGGCTCATTGCAACCTCCACCTCCGGGGTTCAAGTGATTCTCCTGCCTCAGCCTCCAAAGTAGCTGGAACTACAGGCATGCGCCACCACACCTGGCTAATTTTTACATTTTTAGTAGAGATGGGGTTTCACCATGTTGACCAGGCTGGTCTCAGAACTCCTCACCTTAGGTAATCTGCCTGCTCCGCCTCCCAAAGTGCGGGAATTACAGGCATAAGCCACCATGCCCGGCCCAGAGAGTGTTTCTGACAGAACTACCATCCATGACTTATGTTGTATCTTACTCACTGTTATATAGTCTACACAATATTACTTCTTTCTGAGGAACTCATCTCATGGCAAAAGAAATGCAGCAAAGGACTCATGTAAATGGAATTTACCAGTCTTATCAATACCTCATCAGCCAGAAGCAGCTCACCTGGAAGGATGATGGAGTTCTACTGAAGACTGAGTTCCAGCACCAGCTGGGAAACACCACACTAACATAGTGAAGTTACCTCTTGGAGGACACAGAAAATGCTTTGAGTCAGGAGTCAGTACATAGTACTGCTTCCCCCAAAATACAAGGTCCAAGAATCAAGGGTGGGGCTGGGAGGGAGAAGGGAGTGGTGGTTGTAGTAGAAGTGGTTCTTTTCATCATTACACCCAATAATCCACTCATACAGTTTTTGCTTCCAGTGCCTGTTTTGCTTTGAGCTCTGCTGGTTTGGGGGTGTTGCTTCCCAAGGGAGGGTTCCCACCAGGGATCACAATTATGGTTTCATTGAATTAGAAGCTAAGACTGGGATGTGTCCACTTTCGGTTCCACATGCTATGGAAACAACAGGAAAAGCAGGGGTTACCTTTCTGGGTGGGGTTACTGATTCCCATTATCAAGAGGAAATTGGTTTGCTACAACACAGTGGGAACAGGGAGGACGATGGGGACAGGGAGGACGATTGGGACAGGAAGGACTATGTTCTGGATTTTCTGTGGTACCCCTTAGCACTTCCATATCCTATAATAAAAGTTGATGGAAGCTACTATAATTTTTTAAAAGGATTAAAAAATGGATTCAGACCCTTCAGGAGTGAAGATATGAAGAGAAGAAAAGGGCCTCTCTTCCAAGCTTTTCGTTCTAATAACTAACCTTTTCCCATTGTTCCCAGCCCTACTGGTGGTAGCTGCTTCTTAAAGTTACTATCTCTGTGTTCCCTTTTTGTTTTTTCAGTCCTCTAACACCTATTTAAACAATTCCCCATATTAAACAGGACTATTTAAGCAATTCCTCATATTAACCCTTTTCTTGTTTAGAAACAAAAGTATAGCTGACTGGGCATGGTGGCTCATTCTTGTAATCCCAGCATTTTAGGAGGCCGAGGCGGGTGGACCACTTGGGGTCAGGAGTTCAAGACCAGCCTGGCTAACATGGTGAAACCCCATGTCTACTAAAAATACAAAAAAAAAAAAAAAAAAAAAAAATTAGCTGGGCGTGGTGGTATGCACCTGTAATCCCAGTTACTAGGGAAGCTGAGGCGGGAGAATCGTTTGAATCCAGGAGGCAGAGGTTGTGGTGAGCCGAGATCGCACCATTGCACTCTGGCCTGGGCAACAAGGGCAAAACTCCATCTCAACAACAACAACAAAACAAACAAACAAAAAAAAAAAAGTATAGCTCACTGCCTGCACTCATTTGATTTTACATAAACACGCCCTTTGAGGTTGAAGCAAATCTGATTTTCAATGTGAAAATAAAATCTAAAAACTGTTCTTGGAGTTATTTCTAAACAGAACTAACATCAAAATCATCTATTTCAGAAAAATCAGATTCATCAAGTGACTCTTCAGTCAACAACTGTTCAAGAACGCTGTTAACATCACGTGTAGGAATGCTACGTTTTCTAGAATTTGACATTTTCAGCAATCGAGAATTACTATATTTTGTAAACAGAAATGCCACTACTAGAAACAGAATGCTATAAATAGAATGACGTCTTTTGTTTTCAAGGTCAATATGTCAGAGCGATGCAAAAATAATAAAAGTGAGATATTTCATGGCAAAGTTATCTCAGGGTAAACATTGCATCCACAAGCGCTGCTGGCGCATATTCTCGGGGCAAACGGGAAAGGGTTATTTCTGTTAAAATAATGTAGGTTGAGCCAGGTGCAGTGCTCACACTTGTAATCCCAGCACTTTGGGAGGCTGAGGCTGGCGGATCACTTGAGGTCAAGAGTTCAAGACCAGCCTGGTCAACATGGTGAAACCCCATCTCTACTAAAAATACAAAAATTAGCTCCGTGTGGTGGTGGGCACCTGTAATCCCAGCTACTTGGGAGGCTGAGGCAGGAGAATCGTTTGAACCTGGGAGGTGGAGGTTGCGGTGAGCAGAGATCATGACATTGCACTCCAGCCTGGGTAACAGAGCAAGACTCCATCTCAAAAAATAATAATAATGTAGATTGTTTTCCTGACTAGATCCTGACTGATACCACAACACAGTTACATTCCTAGAATGAAAAAAATCTAAACTAAACTAAAACATTGTGTTTATATGTAAAACGGGTTAAGTTCCAGGCTAAGATAATTGCAGACAGATTTTTACCTACATGAATATCCAGTGGGACATTTGAAAGACCACTTTCCAGGACAGCTAGCATCTTTAATTTCCAATCAATAGATGCTTGGGCATTCCATTCTTTGTGACAACCAAATATGTTCTCTCAAATTTCAAAAACATTCCCTAAAGAGCAAGGCCGAGAACTGTGTACTGTAGTGACCATAGCCTATGACTTTACTAAATCTACCCAATATACCATATCACATTTCGCTATGGTTGTTTTATTTACTTGATGTATGCTTTTTTAAATTTTATAAATATAAATGTGCACGTAAATGTGTGTGTATATCTGTATATCTGTGTTTGTATTTTATATGTTTATATAAAACATATGTATTAGTCCATTCTCATGCTGCTATAAAGGACTGCCCGTGACTGGGTAGTTTATAAAGAAAAGAGATTTAATTGACTCACAGTTCCACATGGCTGGGGAGTCCTCACAATCATGGCAGAAGACAAAAGAGGAGCAAAGTCATGTTTTACATGGTGGCAGGGAAGAGAGCTTGTGTAGGGCAACTCCCCTTTATAAAACCATCAGCTCTCATGAGACATATTATCCACTATCATGAGAACAGCATGGGAAAGACCCACCCCCATGATTGAATTACCTCCCACCAGGTCCCTCCCACGATAAGAGGAAATTATAAGAGCTACAATTTAAGATGAGATTTTGGTGGGGACACACCCAAACCATATCAACATATAAACTTATGAATACACAGTATTTCACTGTCGTGGATGCTGTAGTGTGCCACCCAGTTCCCACATTCAGGACCAAAGGCTTTATGCCCCCAACTGCAGAGAGTGTTGCCTGCTGATAGCTTGAAGCTGATTCTTCCTTCAGGAATTACCCTCAGTCAGAAGCAACCACCTCACCTCATTACAGTCCCTCCCTTGAAACTATTCATATCCAGTGAATTTGAGAGTACAAAGGCCCAGCCCCTTTTGCCTCAACTAAGGACATCTCCGAAAGCACATCTTAGCTCCAACACTCCCTCTGGGATCTGCTGGGGCCTGTGCTGCAAATGCATCACAGATCAACTTCTCCTTCTACCCAGTCCTGCTCTCCTCATCCCCACCAGGGTTGTGCCTGAAAACATTCCCCAGTAAATAACCTGCATACAATTCTCCATCTCAGAGACTGTTGCCTGGAGAACCCAACCCAATATAATTATATATTTTGGCTTCACACTAGTGGCTTAGATAGTTCATCCTGTTTGTAAATAAATCAGAGCCATCTCCCTGACCTGGGTGCAAACCACAAGTAGAGGCAGATAATGATGATTGCTGCATGAGGTTAAATCCTGATGAGGCTCTGCACTCTCTTCACACGGAGACTTTTCTATTTTGAAATATTGTGCCCCTTGACTGAATGGCTAAGTTACAGAAGATCCACAGATGTCTTAGGGGTATCAAATGACCTTCACAAAACAAAACCAAGGGCCTATCAATCTAGGCTAAGGAAATTAGAACATTTCCTCAATGTAATTTTTATTAACGTATATCTGTAAGCACTGTTTATTTCTGCACCTACAATGGTTCCTGGATTCTAAACAGTCATGGAGTTTAAGTTTGTAAAATTGGTTTAAAAACAACTTTTCAGAGAGCAGAAGATGAAATTTTTCACTCCATGAAATATCCCATATTCTATGAGCCAGCACATGTAAAGCACACATAACGGAACCTGGTACAAAGTAAATGCAAGATGAAATACACCATACTCTGTGAGTCAGCACATGTAAAGCGCATGTAACAGAACCTGGTACAAAGTAAGTGCAAGATGAATGTTAGCTATTATATCTATGATATTAAAATGTGAAAAGATGACACCTTAGAATTGAAGAAATACGGTTTTTTAAATCAATATTATAAAGTTACTTTTAGTGTTGATTTGTTGAAATTTATTATCTTTATCCCAGGGAATGCCTTCCTTGGCTCTTGATCCTTATTTTCCTTGACCTGCTAACAAACTTATAAACAGTATCATTCGATTAAATATTTCATTGTTTTATTTGCTATTGATCATCTATTCTCTTTGTTTTATGGGTGTTAGCCTTCCATAATTTCACATGCTTTGTTTTTTATATGTGTTGTTTTTCTCATTATAAACTTCTAATGGGTACTAGACATGCCTTACACTTCTTTGCATGAATTCGATAAATAATGACAAACTGCTTGATTTTAAAAGCATGCAATTGGAGGCAATATTAGCTGGCAATTCTATTCAATATATACTAAGTTTTTCTGTGAATGCCTACTTGTAATCTCACCTCCTACAGAAAGTATAAAAACCAACAACAGAAAAAACAATTGAGAAATAGAACAAGTAGAAGGAGTAAGTTAGCCAGGCACAGTGGCTCACATTTGTAATCCCAGCACTTTGGGAGGCTAAGGTGGGAGGATCACTTGAGCTCAGGAACTTGAGACCAGCCTGGGCAACATGGTGAGACTCCATCTTTACCAAAAATACAAAACTTAGCAGGGCTTGGTGCAGTCCCAGCTACTTGGGAGGCTGAGGTGGGAGGATGGTTTGAGCCCAATAGGTGGAGGCTGCAGTGAACTATGATCATGCCATTGCACTCCAGCCTGGGCAACAGAACCAGACCCTGCCTCAAAAAAGAAAAAAAAAAAAAAAGAAGTAAGTTATTACAGTGCCTCCTCTGAGGCATTGCTGAAATGAATATTGTGTTTGTTCTGTATTAAAACTTCTGCATTTTACTGTGGTTTTAAAAATGTTATTCCATTTATTTTTAACTTCTTCAGACAGCTGTCCTGGAAAAAATAAAACAGTGGAAGGTGAGAAAGTAAGATTCACCATAGAATACAAAGGGATAAAGGAGGGAGGAAAGAAGAGAAGCTGCAAAGAAATGTAGATGGAAGCACCAAGCTCCTTTAAAAGAGAGAAAAACCCTGACTGGGCATTTTAGCATGCAATTATGGTCCTTAAACTTCACCAGGACACTGTAGAGTCTCAGCAACCATTCTCAACCTTCCTGCAGAAAATTGATAGCCCAAATTCACATTTTTTTATTTTATTTTATTTTTGAGACGAAGTCTCACTCTTGTCGCCCAGGCTGGAGTGCAGTGGTACAATCTTGGCTCACTGCAACCTCCGCCTTCTGGGTTCAAGTGATTCTCCTGCCTCAGCTTCCCAAGTAGCTGGGTTTATAGGTGTGCACCACCATGCCCAGCTAATTTTTGTATTTTTGGTAGAGACAGGGTTTCACCATGTTGGCCAGGCTGGTCTCAAATTTCTGTCCTCA
This sequence comes from Homo sapiens, assembly GCF_000001405.40. NCBI lineage: Eukaryota > Metazoa > Chordata > Mammalia > Primates > Hominidae > Homo > Homo sapiens. Next base: position 197,322,700 of record NC_000002.12, read on the forward strand.
AGTGATCTGCCCACCTCGGCCTCCCAAAGTGCTTGGATTATAGGCATGACCCACCGCACCAGGCCCAAATTCACAAAATTTAAATGCCCCTCTTTCTTCTCCTTCACAGCCAAACTTCTCAAAATAAATGTCTCTTTTTTTCTGATCTCCACTTCCTCACCTCCTCCGCCACTCCACAGGGTGCCCCTGAGCCCACTGTCCTGAAACCACAATGACTCTGATCAGTTCCACACAGGTCCATGCTGACAACACTCTGTCTTAGACCCTCATTGTTTCTCCCGACCTCCAGTCCCACCAAGCTGCCTGCTTCTCTCTCGGATGTCTCAAAATCACCTCATACTCAGCATGTCCAAAACAAAAATTAATAATCTTCCTCCTCCAGTGTTCCCCCCTCCTCGGTAAATGACACCACCCTGGACCCAGTGTTGATCTAAGAACAAATGCTGGGGCTCACACTTGGTATCTCCGTTTCCCTCTCATCTCTCACATCCTGCCAGTTACCGAGTCTTGTCAATCCACGTTCTTTAAATCTCTTGAATCTGTCCCTAACTCTGATCTTCCTGGACCTCACTCCAGGCCAGTCTCATGTTTATCTACTGATTGGAAGGCTGATAAGCATTGGTTTCTTCTGATCTATTCTCCACCCCACAGGCAGAACAATCTTCTGAAAGACAAGCCTAATCAAGCCACAACCCCTCCAATGGCTTTCCATTGCCTTCAGCCTGTTTACAAACACCTCAGCATGCATGATGTTCAGAGTCCTCACATTCCCCACCCATCATTCTTCTTGCAGAGAAGCCACATTGCTCAACTCTGGGGGATGCCATTCCCAGCCTAGTCTGTGAATGATAACTGCTGGAGTAGTGCAGTGCACAATCTGTGTGCCTAAACAGGGCAACCTTGCCTCCGTGTCACACTTTATACACTGTGCTGAAAGCAGCTCCCCGATGCATATTTCTTCTCTCTCTGAGCCTTTGCATATTGCTGTTTCCTGTTTATACTTTTACCCACCTCGATATCATTTTCTTCTGGTTAATCTTGTACTTCAGATCTCAGTTTAGATATCACTAACCCCATGAATTTTCCCTTACTCACTTCACCTCCCAAGTTTGGATTAGGAGTATCCCTAAGGTTTATGTTTAGTGCCCTCTGCTTAACCCCTATTATTGTATTTATCCCTTCATCCTATAATTGCCGGATTACTTTTCTGTCTCCCTCTTTTAGGGCATGGACTGTGTTTAATCCACCTTGATGTTTCTAGTTCATTGTATAGTATCTGGCACATAGTAGATACAGAGCAAATACTTTTGAATGAATGTAACTTTGAGTAAATAATTTAATCTCATCAAACCTTAGTTTACTACTAGTCAAATGAGGCTAAGGATGCCTGTCCTCAATACCGTGGAGAATCATATAATAAAATGTATATGAAAATGCTTTGAAAAATGGAAAGAAATACGTAAATGAGAGAGAAGGAGACTGAACAATTGGTATGGCATTATGATAATGAGAAAGTGACAAGGAATGAGATGATTTTCTGCAGAGAGAAGCAAGAGAGACACATTTCCACCCTATCATGTATAAGAACTAATGCCTGTGCTGCTGAAGTGAGTGCAAATTCTGCATCTTATTTCTGAACTAGGATGAGAAGCCAGAATGTTTCAAAAGGTGGGAAATGAGGAATGTAGTAATCAAGCTACAACTTCCGCTTATTAATTGGTCACACAACCAGTGCTGTATATTGATTTATATGTCATATACATAATATATATCAATTTTGTCACACATATTAAGATATATATGTTATTAAGATCAAGTTTCTGATATTTGTTCATTTATTTAATTAATTAATTTTTGTAAAAAAGACCAAGTTGCTGAAAATGGTGAACGAGGGGCTCAGATAGTCAAAGAATAAACACAGCCCTTCTTCCTTGGGCATCAGTTGGATTTAATGATTCGGGGAATTAAGTCACTTAACTTGGTAGGTAACTTGAAGCAGTATTTTCATATTTACATAAGCAAACAGATATAGTATGGCATGGAGTGTAACATTTGCATACATCTTTTAAATCAACCTGAGACCCCACGCATTTTGTGTTTGCAATGGACCTCTCCACACTATCTCCCTCCAATCCACCCCTCACCAAACCTTCACACTCCCAAGCTCTAGGAATAAGTCTTTATTCACTTATGCTCTTTGAGGGCCTAGGAAAAGTTTAATAAGTGTTGCTTTTAGAAGTTTGGTGACCTTCTATGCTGCTGAAATGAAACAAAAACAGAAACCTGGCTCAGGAACTCTCACAAATGTGGCTGGTACACTTATATCCAGGGTCAAGTTTATAGTTGATTATTAATTTGTGGGTCTGCTTTCTGTTCCTAGCTTACCCATTAAACTGTTGAACAATTTTGTAAATATTGGTCACTGGTCCCCAGAAGAATCAAAAATTTCTAAATATAGAGGAATTAGTGCTAACTGTCCACAAGAAAATAATTCCTTTTGTTTTGTTTTGTTTTGTTGAGACAGGGTCTCACTCTGTCACCCAGGCTGGAGTGCAGTGGTGCAATCTCAGCTCACTGCAACCTCCACCTCCCATATTCAAGCAATTCTCCTGACTCAGCCTCCCAAGTAGCTGAGACTACACTACAGGAGCCCGCATCAAGCCTGGCCATCAAGACTAATTTTTGTAGTTTTTTGTAGAGATGGGGTTTCACCATGTTGGCCAGGCTGGTCTTGAACTCTTGACCTCAAGTGATCCACCTGCCTTGGCATCCCAAAGTGCTGGGATTACAGGCATGAGCCACCCCACCTGGCCAGAAAGGAATGCTAAATTCATAATTCCTTGCTGTTAGGACACAGTGGCATCATAATCTTTGTATATAACGGTCAACACATTATATCTAAAGGAAGGAGAGGGGCCGGGCGCAGTGGCTCACGCCTGTAATCCCAGCACTTTGGGAAGCTGAGTTGGGCGGATCACGAGGTCAGGAGATCGAGACCATCCTGGATAACACGGTGAAACCCCGTCTCTACTAAAAATACAAAAAAATAGCCGGGCGTGGTGGCAGCTGCCTGTAGTCCCAGCTACTCAGGAGGCTGAGGCAGGAGAATGGCGTGAACCCGGGAGATGGAGTTTGCAGTGAGCCGAGATCATGCCACTGCACTCCAGCCTGGGCGACAGAGCGAGACTCCGTCTCAAAAAAATAAATAAATAAATAAAGGAAGGAGAGAAGGGAACTAACATTTATTGAGTCTCTACTATGTGCCATCCACAGTGCTAGGTGCTGTAAATTCCTCACCATCTCTCCCTCACCACCCCAGACACAGTTAATCCTTTGTACAATGTCTATACCTGATATAAGCACTTCTATTGGACTTTCCACTTTAAACAACAATGAGTTGTCTGTTTCCCACTCTAGTGTAGACTCTTCGAGGGCCAGGCTCATTTTAAATTCACCTTTTTATCCCAAACATACACCATACCTGATCACATAATACATCTTCAGTTAAAATTTTTATTAGCTAAACAAAAGTTACCTCTTCCAATGTTTAGGACATTGTGAAGAAGCTAGTGCATTCTTCATTCTCCAAAAGTCAGCTGCTCATTCTAAATCATCTTATACAGTTCTGTCCATTAAGGAAATGTAGAACATAGCATTATGTCAGTTTTTTGCTGTTTTCAGGTCTTGGAATATTTCCAAGTCTCTCTCCTGACCCCCAGCCAAAAAAAAAAAAAAAAAAATCATAGACTCAATCTATAACATACACTGCCATTGTTTGAATGTGTCTCCTTCAAACTTCATGTTGAAACTTAATTCCCATTGTAGTGGTATTAAGAGGTGGGGCATTTTAGGAAGTGATTAAGTTGTGTGGGCTGTACCCTCATGAATGGATTGGTGCCTTGTAAAAGAGCTGGAAGGAGCTAGTTTAGGTCTTTTCTTGCCCTTCAGCCTTCTGCCATGTGAGGACATGGTATCGCCCCATCTGCCATGGGAGAATGCAGCAAGAAGGCCCTTACCAAACAACAAATGGCTGCATCTTGCCCTTGGACTCCCCAACTTCCAGAACTGTAAGAAATCAATTTCTATTGTTTACACATTACCCCATGCAAACAGCTAAAATGTGTACCATACACACTTTTTGTTTTCTTTACAAAGCACCTTTTTCAATAACATAATAGGTACTCTGTGAAATACATTTTTTTTTTTGAGACCGAATCTCTCTCTGTTGCCCAGGCTGGAGTGCAATGGTGCGATCTCAGCTCACTGCAACCTCTGCCTCCTGGGTTCAAGCAATTCTCTTGTCTCAGCCTCCCAAGCAGCTGAGACTACAGGTGCACGTCACCACGCCCGGCTAATTTTTGTATTTTTAGTAGAGACAGGGTTTCACCATATTGATCAGGCTGGTCTCGAACTCCTGACGTTAGGTGATCCACCTGCTTCAGCCTCCCAAAGTGTTGGGATTACAGACGTGAGCCACTGTGCTCAGCCAAAATAAGTCTCTAAAGTAAATTATTAAGTGTAAATGTCCCCAGTTTCAGTGGCTTTAACCAATGACAGACAACAAGACTGAAATCACACTGCTTATAGAGGATTAAATATCCTCTGATTCTGAAATACCAAGTCTGAACTTCTGAGTCTGTAACCACAAGATGATTTTTCTTCCTCCCCAAATTTAAAGTAATCAAAACATGGAAATTTCTTCCTCTCATCATTGCACTTTAGAGTGTATGAGAAGTGTGTACCATATACATACACATACACACACATGAGCATAGAAGAGGAAAAATAATTAGAAAGTAGGGGACTAGTCAACACTCTGATTTAGAACCAGCTCAACTTTATGATTTCAAAAGTTTTGAACCTAATCCAACTCCTCTGAAATTCAAAGTTACTTGACATTTGGTATATTGTGACTTCCTGTTTTTGTAAAAGAACATTTTCAAAAATGGTTCAATGAGCTCTTTGGACAGTCTCTAACTCCTATAATGCAAGATTTGGAACATTTGGTGGTAAGTAAATAAGGAACATATGCAATATATTTTTTAAGATGTGCATATTTTCCAAAACTCAGGGGGAAAAATACTTGGCCAAGTCTATCTGTGGTTTCATTGAATACTTGAAAATTAGTTAATGACATTCAGAGACACAAAGATACAGCTGGGTTTTTCCATCCAGTCTGTGGAACATGTAGCTGTCAACCAGCAATGATAGAACCCATAGGAAAGCACCCTCAATTTCTGTAGAAACAGGAAAGAATTAAGATTTACTGTCTGGCACTTTGGTGGTTGGATGTAGCATTTGCAAGGAAATTAAGAACAAAGCAAAAGAGTCCCGAAATGTGCTTGCATGTTTCACATTTACTCTTTCTCTGCTGTGTAACTGCCAGTGCATGGCCCATGGTGAAAAATAAGCTGGCAAATATAAAATCCACCAAATAGTCTCTGGTAAGTCTTTAGGAGTACTGCAAGGTCTACAATAGATCTTACTGACATGCAAAAACTTTAAGTGAAAAAACTCTTAGAATGCTGCAGGTAGGGATATGGAGCCCTAATTCCTCAAGCCCCAAGAGCCTAAGGTTACATTAACAATTAAACCCAAATATGTTCCTGGCTATGAGCTCCCTACCTCCACTCCAGACCCTAAGTGATGCTAGAAAGTCATAAGGGTGTCTCACAAGTGTTGAGGAATAAATCAACACTAGGAACTGCTACTCTCCCTCAGGGATTTGCTGGGAACCTACTGAGTCTGCTGAGCCCCTGCAACCCCTTGCCATCCCGTTGTCTTGCCACTGTTCTGCTGAAGCTCAGAGAAAAGATATTCTCTTCATAATAGTCATCAGTGCTGCCAAACCTGTAAAAATCTTTGATATGCTGAGTGACATTGCTAACCCTTCAGGCCACATAGGGCCAATGCTATGCGCTGGTCCATGCAGAAATGTGGATACCATAGTCTCTCTAGAGAATTCATACCTACTGCATGGGTCTGAAGCGATGGAGACCAAGCAGTATACTGTCCTCGCACTTCCCTCTCTCTCATCTCTGAATGTAGGAACGATCTTGCAGACTTTCCTGTGGTGTACTGTGAATTGACACCACTTAACCAGTTTCAGCTCAGACACAGTCAGAAACATCCTCTATAGTTATTGTCAAGAAGTTCATTTTAATTTGATAACTTTATGTGGTTAAATAGATGTCAAATTGCCAAAGCATGGAAGAGAAAGGAAATTAGAAAACCAGAAGAAAAATACAAATAGATATTATTCGTTCTAATGATTTTTCATACTATAATACACAATGGTCAAAGAATCAAAAGAAAAACATGCGATCCAATAGGTGTTCGATAGGTATCAAAAAAGCATTTGATAAACTCAGCATTCATTGATAATTAAGAAACAACTTTTAAAGGTAAATGTAGAAAAATAGAGAACAACTTCCTTAATTTGATATTTGGTATTTACCAAAAATTGAAAGCAAACCTGTTACTTCATGGTGAAAAGTTAGAAGCATTTTCTTTAAAGTCAGGAACAAAGCTAGGAGGCCAGCTTTCACTACATTTTTTTTTTTTTTTTTTTTGAAGCAGAGTTTCACTCTTGTTGCCTAAGCTGGAGTGTAATGGCGCCATCTTGGCTCACTGCAACCTCTGCCTCCTGGGTTCAAGCAATTCTCCTGCCTCAGCCTCCCAAGTAGCTGGGATTACAGGCGCATGCCACCACACCCACCTAATTTTTTTTTTTTTTTGAATTTTTAGTAGAAACAGGGTTTCACCATGTTAGCCAGGCTGGTCTCAAACTCTTGAGCTTAGGTGATGTGCCCTCCTCGGCCTCCCAAAGTGCTGGGATTACAGGTGTGAGCCACCATGTCTGGTCTGCTATCACTACTTCTACTCAACATTCCTCAAAAGAAGTAAGCTAGCATAAGGTCTGGAAAGGAAAAAACAAAAGTGTCATTAATCATAGACAATATAATAGTTTACAAAACAATCTAAGAGAATTAACATATAAGTCATTAGCACTAGTAAGACAGTTCAGCCAGGTTGCTCAATATAAAACACATATACAAAAATTAGTAGTGCTCCCATACACCAGGTGGCAGCCTTTTTTTTTTTTAACTATAAAGAGCCAAAGAGCAAATATTTTAGATTTTGCAGGCCACATGATCTCTATCTTAACTATTCAACTCTGCCATTGTAGTGCAAAAGCAGCCACTGACAATATGTAAACAAATGGGCATGGCTGTGTTTCAATAACATCGGGAGCAGGCTAGATTTTGCCCATAGTTTGCCATAGTTTGCAACTCCTGTTATACGTCATTGATGAAAAACTAGATAACATAATTTTTTTGCTTTTTATAATTTTTTATTGACTTATGCTAACCACTAAGGTTAGGGGATAGGAAACATACTTGAAAAAGAAAAGATACCATTTACTATAGCAACCCAAACTAGAAGGTACCTATGAATAAATCTAACAAAATTTATACAAAACCTATCTGGAGGAAATTATAAAACTTTACTGCAAGACATTTAAAGAGATCTCAATAAGTAGAGATGGCTGAGCATGGTGGCTCATGCCCATAATCCCAGCACTTTGGGAAGCTGAGGTGGGTGCATCATCTGAGGTCAGGAGTTCAAGACCAGCCTGACCAACATGAAAAACCCCATCTCTACTAAAAATACAAAAATTAGCCAGGCATGGTGGCACACACCTCTAATTTCAGCTACTCGGGATGCTGATGCAGGAGAATCGCTTGAACCTGGGAGGCAGAGGCCTCAGTAAGGCGAGATCATGCCACTGCACTTGAGCTGGGCATCAGAGCAAGACTCTGTCTCAAAAACAAAAACAAAACAAAAAAACAAAAAACAAGTAGAGAGGTATACCATCTTAGTGGATGAGAAAAGTCAAAGTTTTAAACATTTCAGTATTCCCAAATCAATCTGTTAATCAATGTAATTCTAATAAAAATACCAATGGAGTTTTTCATGAAACTTGATAGACTGATTTCAAAATTTATGGACGCTAAGAATAACCAAGACAATTATGAAGAAGAACAAGGCAGAGAGACATACCATACCAGGTGCCAAGATTTATTATAAAAGATTAGCAACTAAGGCGATACAGCAATTAGCAGAATAGAATAGAGGCCTCAGGAACAGACCTATTGTATTAGTCCGTTTTCACATTGCTATAAAGAAATACACAAGACTTGGTAATTTATAAAGGAAAGAGGTTTAGTTGACTCACAGTTCCACATGGCTGGGGAGACCTCAGGAAACTTACAATCATGGCAGAAGGCAAAGAGAAAGCAAGGACCTTCTTCACATGGCGGCAGGAGAGAGAAGTGGAAGCAGAGGAAATGCCAGATGTTTATAAAACCATTGGATCTCGTGATAACTCACTCACTATCACAGGAACAGCATGGGGGAAACTGTCCCCATGATCCAATCACCTCCCATAGCTCCCTCCCTCGACACGTAGGCATTATGGGGATTACAATTCAAGATGAGATTTGGGTGGGGACACAGCCAAACCATATCACCTACTCATATATGGGAACATGATATTTGACAAAGGTAGCATTGCAGATCAGTGGGAGTAAAGACTGACTATTCAATAAATGATGCTGGAATAGTTGGTTTCATATATTGTCATATCATATGGTTCCATATCACATCATATGGTATTAAATGAAGTTATATCCCTACCTCAAAACACACACAAAAATTCATGTCAGCTTGATTAAATATCTAAGTAGAAAATCAAAACTTTAAAACAGGCCAGGCACAGTGACTCACGCCTGTAATCCCAGCACTTTGGGAGGCCAAGACGGTGGATCACCTGAGGTCAAGAGATTGAGACAAGTCTGGCCAACATGGTGAAACCCTGTCTCTACCAGAAATGCAAAAATCAGCTGGGCATGGTGGTGCACACCTGTAATCCCAGCTACTCAGGAGGCTGAGGCAGGAGAATTGCTTGAACCTGGGAGGCAGAGGTTGCAGTGAGCCAAGATTGCGCCACTGCACTCCAGCCTGGGTGAGAAGAGTGAGACTCCATCTCAAAAAAAAAAAAAAACTTTAAAACAAATCAGTGGACAATATAGGAAAATATCTTTAAGACTGTGAGAAAAGGAAGGATTTCTAAAACAAGACACAAGAAGCCCAAAACACAAAGGGAAAAAATTAAAATATTTAACTACATTAAAACTGAAAATTTCAATCCATCAAAATATCATGAATAATGTCAAAAGATAAGCTATGTTAGTAAAAATATTTGCAAAGCATATCACCAACAAAGCCTTAGTATCTAAAATAAAATACAAAAATAAGAAAAGAAATATAATCCAATAAAACAGTTTTTCTAAAAGTGTAGTTGACCCATTAGGAGATCCTGAAATCAATTTCATGGATTGTGGACTAGCATTTAATAAGATAAAACAGAATAGAATAGAAAATATCTGAATGCATTCCACATATTAAAGATAAATGTTACTTTGTGGAATTTTTATTTTAGGTATGTATCTATATGTTTGCATGCCTGTGTACATGCTGGATCACAGTATGAAATAAAGTTCTTACGGTGGGTAACAATTTTAAACACATTGAAATAGAAAATTAATAAGATATATAGGTTGTGCAACAGTATGGATGTGCTTAATGGCACTGAATTGTACACTTAAGAATAGCTTAAATTGTAAATTTTATGTATATTTTATCAAAATTTAAAAAAATATTTTACCACAATTTAAAAATCATATAAACAGGTGATTAATGAAAGAGAAAAGTTTGGCCAATAAACTCACAAAAAAGACACTTGATCTCAGCAATCATCAGAGAAATGCAATTTAAAATCCCATGAAGGCCAGGCGCAGTGGCTTATGCTTGCAATCCAGCACGCACTTTGGGAGACCAAGGCAGGAGGATCTCTTGAGAACAGGAGTTCAAGACCAGCCTGGGCAAAATGGTGAAACCCCATCTCTACAAAAAAAATCAAAAAATTAGCCAGGTGTGGTGATGCGCACCTGTAGACCCAGCTACTCAGGAGGCTGCAGTGGGAAAATCACTTGAGCCCAGGAGGTTGAGGCTTCAGTGAACCACGATCATGCCACTGCATTCCAGTCTGGTGATAGATCAAGACCCTATCTCAAAAATAAATAAATAAAAATAAGAATAATATCCCATGAGTTCCTCTTCATGCCAATTAGATGAGCAATAATTTAAAAGTCTGACATGCCAAATGCTGGTTGTGAACAGAAACTGCCTTGCTTGCATTTGGGATTATAAACAACTATAATTAGGTAACACCTACTAAAGTTACCCAACAATTCCACTCCCACAGATGAATAAGGAGAAATATTCATTGCAGCACTGTTTATAATAAAGAAAGAATGGACAATCTCAATGTTCATCCACAAGAGAATGGATAAATATAAACAACTACTGTACAACAGTGAAAATGAATGAATGAGTGTCATGTACTAACATGAATAAATCTCCAAAACAACATTATGCCAACAAAGCTGTAAAAGAATACGGTGTGGTATCTTTTATATGAAGTTTGAAATGTTCAAAAGAGTACCCCATAGTATTAAAAATATAAATACTTTCATTGAAATGATAAATATCAAATCAAGCACAATTGCCTTTGGGAAAGGAGGGAGATGGCATCGTGGAGAATACACACAGTCTTGAATTTTATCTTCTAAAATTTTACTTCTTTTTTCTTTTTTTTTTTTTGAGATGGAGTTTCACTCTTGTTGCCCAGACTGGAGTGCAAGGGCGCAGTCTCGACTCACAGCAACCTCCACCTCCCAAGTTCAAGCGATTCTCCTGTCTCAGCCTCCTGAGTAGCTGGGATTAGAGGCATGTGCCACCACACCCAGCTAATTTTGTATTTTTAGTAGAGACAGGGTTTCTCCACGTTGGTCAGGCTGTTCTCGAACTCCCAACCTCAGATGATCCACCCACCTTGGCCTCCCAAAGTGCTGGGATTACATTCATGAGCCACCGTGCCCAGGCAAATTTTATTCTTAAGCTGGGTGACAGGTACACAGATCATGATTTGTTATTCTTCAATCTTTTTCTCCTTGCATTGTTGTAATGTTTCATTAAGAAAAAAAAGAAAATCAGTCAACAAGAGATCTCTAACAGCCAATTCTATGTGAAGCACTATGCTAGGCAGACACAAAATTCCAGGAAAATAGAATGCCCAACAATGGGCACTCAATATATACTCAGTTCACTCATGAAATTCATAACTATAAGATCAGACACAGTCAATTCCTCATTGTAGAAATTAGAATTATAGGCATGAGCCAGATAAAGAAATGCACAGGATTCTCTGTGGCCACTGAGACAGCGATGCAGAAAAAGGAGCAGGTTTGGGGGATGGAGATGCTGAGCTCAGCTGAGTATGGAGTGCATTTGGGACCGCCAAATCTGAAAATATGTACATGGATTTGAACATGAGAGAAGATTCAGATTTGAGATGTGTCAGCATATGGTTGCTAATGAAAGCCAGGGGAGTAAAAGAGATCATGAAAGGAACAGGAAGAGATTTGAAAGAGAGGAGACCCTGAGGAAAGTTCACAGTTAAAGAGTGTAGAACAAGCTGGCAGAAAGAAACTCAGCCCCAAATTCCAGCTCCTTGAAGGACAACACTAAAGTGAATCTTACCTTAAATGCTACCAAAGAACAAAAGTTTTTAATGTTTTATTGTAGTGAATTTCAAATACTAAAATAGAACAGTAAAATGAACTCCCCACTTACCCATTACCTGGCTTCAATGATTATCAACCCATGGCTAATTTTATTTCTTCCATACCACCATCCATTTCATTACCCCTTATATTCTGAAGCAATCCTGGACATCCTATCATTTCGTCCACACATTTCATATATTGTTCCCTAAAAGGCAATGACTCTCTTTTTTAACCATAACCACAATACCAGTCCAGGTGCAGTGGCTCACACTTGTAAATCCAGCACTTTGGGAGGCCAAGGTCGGTGGATCACTTGAGGACAGGAGTTCAAGACCAGCCTGGCTAACATGGAGAAACCCTGTCTTTACTAAAAATACAAAAATTAACTGGGCATGGTGGCGAATGCCTGTAATCCCAGCCACTTGGTAGGCTGAGGCAGGAGAATCGCTTGAACCCGGGAGGGGCAGGTTGCAGTGAGCTGAGATCGTGCCACTACACTCCAGCCTGGGCGACAGGGCGAGACTCCATCTCAAAAAAATAAAAATAAAAAAATAACCACAATACCATCATCACACTTGAAAAAAATCAACAGTAATTCTTTAGTATTACCAAATATTCAGTAGCTGTTAAAATATCCAGTCATTTCATAAAGGCCATAAGTTTATTTTACAATGTGTTTATTTGATCAAAGTCCACATATTGTGATTGAGTGCTATGTCTTTCAAAACTGGGTCAGGGGTGATGGCTCAAACCTATAATCCCAGCAGTTTGGGAGGCCCAGGTGGGAGGTTCGCTTGAGCCCAGGAGTTTAATACCAGCTTGGACAGCATGATGAAAGTCCCTCTCTACAAAAAATACAGAAATTAGCCAGGTGTGGTGGTGTGTGCCTGTAGTCCCAGTTAATCGCTTGAGCCTGGGACGGGAGGTCAAGGGTGCAGGGAACCATAATTTTGCCACTGCACTCCAGCCTGGGCTACAGAGAAAAACCCTGAAGAAAAAAAAAAAAGAAAGAAAGAAAGAAAGAAAAGAAAACTACAAGTTTCCCCTACTGCATCTTTTTTTTTTTTTTTGCCTTGCAATTATTATTATTATTATTTTTTTTTTGAGATAGAGTCTCGTTTTGCCTCCCAGACTGGACTGCAGTGCCACGATCTCAGCTCACTGCAACCTCCGCCTCCTGGGTTGAAGCGATTCTCGTGCTTCAGCCTCCTGAGCAGCTAGGACTATAGGCGCGTGCCACCACACCTGGCTAATCTTTGTATTTTTAGTAGAGACAGAGTTTCACCACGTTGGCCAGGCTGGTCTCAAACTCTTGACCTCAGCTGATCCACCCACCTCAGCCTCCCAAAGTGCTGGGATTACAGGTAGGAGCCACTGCACCCGGCCTTCCTTGCAATTTTAAACTATAATTTTAAAGTTTAAAGGAAATAGATAAGGACAATAAAGAGGTCACCCAAGTATTTCCTGGAGAGCCATTTTGGTGGAAGACGCTGAGGAAAGGTAGCTAAGCTCTTTTTTTTTTTTTTTTTTTTTTTTTTAAGATGGAGTTTTGCTCTTGTTGCGGATGGAGCGCAATGGCGCCATCTCGGCTCACTGCAACCTCCGCCTCCCATATTCAAGCGTTTCTCCTGTCTCAGCCTCCTGAGTAGCTGAGATTACAGGCGTGCGCCACCACACCAGCTAATCTTGTATATTTAGTAGAGACAGGGTTTCTCCATGTTGGTCAGGCTGGTCTCGAAATCCCAACCTCACCCAGCCGGCTCTTTTTATTTTTATTTTTTAAGAGACAGAGTCACCCTGTCGCCCAGGCTGGAAAGTGGAATGCAGTGGCACAATCATAGCTCACTGCAGTATGGATCTAACTGAGCTCAAACGATAAAAGGATGAAAGCCTCAGCCTCCCAAGTAGCTACGACTGCAGGCTTTGCTTGGGATAAGCTCATTTTTGAACTGTAATTGGAACTCAGGTTTGTTCAGACTGTGGTTGCACAGAACACCATCTTGCATTAAATCATAGTTTTAATTGCATTAGACTATCATGAAAATGCTCTGTGATAACTTCTGTCACTGTAAGTAAAGTTGAAATAAGGACCAACATAAAGCTCATCTTTAAAGAACGAAAGGGATTGGCTTTTGAGCTGCCCCTTTTATACTGACATATTTCCTGAGGACTTATGTTTCTAAATGAAGCAATAATAAATTGATTTAACTGTAATGTAGGCAGTTGCCCTCAGTAAAAACAATTAACCTAACAATAAACTTAGAGACATTTCAAATTACTTGCTAAAACTATGGACAGAAGTCTAGCCCCATGTAGTAGTTCTTAACACACGTTTAATATTCTTGGCTTTTTAAGGCAATAATTAAATTTTACTTTACCCATTTTGTACATTTTTTTTTAAGATGTTAAACATATGTTCATGTTAGCAAGTTTCCACGAAACCTTGCAAATGTTACCACACAACTACCATGGGTTTCCTCACAGGTTCTGAATTCCAGTTTTTTGCTCATGGAGTCAATGTCTTTAAACTTCTTGTTGTTTAAAATTGGATTTCTATCTCAGGCACCATTTTCGTATTAAACTATGAGCTTTTTCTTCTTGTGGCTATGAGGGATTTCCATGTTGCTGCACAATGAACCCACCTTACCTTCTCATCTTTGGCAGCTGCTTTGGGTTTATAATAGAATCTAAACTGAGATGATAGAGTAGCGTGCTATGATTTGAATGTGTCCTTTCTAAAATGCAGGTGTTAGGGGCGAGCACAGTGGCTCACACCTGTAATCCCAGCACTTTGGGAGGCCAAAACGGGTGGATCAACTGAGGTCAGGCGTTCAAGACCAGCCTGGCCAACATGGTGAAACCCTGTCTGTACTAAAAAATACAAACGTTAGTTGGGCGTGGTGGTGCACGCCTGTAATCCCAGCTTCTAGGGAGGCTGAGGCAGGAGAATTGCTTGAACCCAGGAGGCGGAGAGTACAGTGAGCCAAGATCACGCCACTACACTCCAGCCTGGGCGACAGAGCAGGACTCCACCTCAAAAAAAAAAAAAAAAAAAAAGAGAGATAAATAAATAAAATGCAAGTGTTGAAACTTAATGGCTAATGTAATGGTTTTAAGAGGTGATTGGTCATGAGGGCTCCTCCCCTTGTGAATGGAATGAAGGCCCTCATAAAAGAGGCTTCATTCAGCCTTTGGTTTGCTTGCTGGCCTGCCCCTCCCTTCCGCCATGTGAGGACACAGTGTTCCTCCCCTACAGGGGATGCAGCAACAAGATGCCATCTTGGAAGCAGAGAGCATCCCTCACCAGATAACTGAACCTGCCAACACCTTGATCTTAAATTTCCCAGCCTCCAGAACTGTGAGAAATACATTCCTGTTCTTCATAAATGGCCCAGTCTCTGGTATTCTGTTATAGCAGCACAAACAGACTAAGACAGCTGATCAGTCCTCATGGAGCACCCAGGCAGCTTGGACAGTGATGAGTCCCTCCCTCAAGTGACTAATGGGTAGGAGACACCAACCAGAGACTGGAGCTGAAGGGTATGAGAGGCCTTGTCAGCAGCATATATGTGTGAGACACCTGGAGAAATACCTGAGGTGGGGAAGAGGATAGTGCCAGGGTACTATGATGATGAGATGGGGGTAATATGCTATCAATACCCAAAGATTTTTGAGGGCTTTATCTCTCTCTCTCTCTTTTTTTTTTTTTTTTTTTTTTTGACAGGGTCTCACTCTGTCGCCCAGGCTGGAGTGCAGTGGTGCAATCTCGGCTTACTGCAACCTCCGCCTTCCAGGTGCAAGCGATTCTCCTGCCTCAGCCTCTGGAGTAGCTGAGATTACAAACACAGGCCACCATGCCTGGCTAATTTTTTGTTTGTTTGTTTGTTTGTTGTTGTTGTTGTTGTTGTATTTTTAGTAGAGACGGGGCTTCACCATGTTGCCCAGGCTGGTCTCGAACTCCTGACCTCAGGTGATCTGCCCACCTTAGCCTCCCAAAGTACTGGGATTACAGGCATGAGCCACCGTGTCCAGCCAAGGCCTATATCTATTTTTTTTTTTTTTTTTGAGACAGTGTCTCGCTTTGTTGCCCAGGCTGGAGTGCAGTAGCACTATCTCGGCTCACTGCAACCTCTGCCTCCTGGGTTGAAGTGACTCTCCTGCCTCAGCCTCCCAAGTAGCTGGGACTACAGGTGTGTGCCACCATGCCCAGCTAATTTTTATGTATTTTTAGTAGAGACAGGGTTTCACCATGTTGGCCAGACTGGTCTCGAACTCCCGACCTCAAGTGATCCACCCGCCTCAACCTCCCAAAGTGCTGGGATTACAGGCGTGAGCCACCATGCCCTGCCAAGTGCTCTATGGATCAAGACTTCCTTGGGTGCAAGTCCAAGTGACAAGCATCAAACTCAAACTGGCCTAAGCAAAAAAAGGCAAATTATTGAGTCACTTCATTTAAAAAGTCAAGGGGTTCAAACAATGTCACCAGGTCTTGTTTTTCTCCCTCTGTTTTCTGCCTGGTATTTTCTGGTTTTTACTTATTTTTAGCCCAACTTCCTACAGGTCCCAGAACTCCAGCCTTGCATCAGCCTGATTCTGTCAATCCCTGCTAAAAGGGATACCTTTATTTCTACTTAGTTTAATTAAATAAAGGTCCCAGGGTGGAAACTCATTGGCTGCAGTTGTGCCACTTGCTAGTGCATGAGCCAGTGAGAATGGAAGAGCAGCCGGGCCTGGAACACGAAGGATGGGATCCCTCTGTTCACACAACATGAACTGAGAGGAAAGCAGAGCATTCCTCCTCGGAGATCAAAACACTGTTACCACACAAAGAGCGAATCAGTGATGAGCAGAAAAAGAAACATATGTGCGTGAACAGCGGTGTGCAAAATCGCATGTTTTTTAAACTCCTGACAAATGGTCAAGCAGAATATAGACAAGAGTGGAAGACTCGAGCTCTAGCCAGAAGCAGATGGGGCTGATTTCTAGAGTAAGAAGGAGAAGGAATGTGTGGGAGAGCAGAGAGCAGAAATGGTGAGATCTGGAGGTATTAACAAGGCCACTCTGACAGCCTATCAACTAGAAATGAGTTGCAGGACAGAGAGCAGAGAGGGACAAAGGCAGATTTGGAGAGCATATAAGACAGTGTGCTTTTGGTTGCACGTGACAGGACACACAAATGATAACATTTCATTATTCCATTTGGCAGTTCTAGGGTTGGTTGATGCAGTGCCATGTGACATGGGGTCTCTGGGATGGAAGAGACGCCCGGCTTTCACCCCATAGTTTCGAGATGGTTGCCACAGCTCTGGGCAATACATTCTCACACATCAATGTTCAAAGGCAGGAAGAAAGTGAGGGGGTGGCCTTTCTTCCTGCTTTTTTCTCTCTTATCAGGGAAAAAAATCATTTCCAGATACTCAACAGGTTTCCTTTTATATCTCACTGACCTGTTTGAGTCACATGTCCAGGTTCTCATTGCAAGAGAGGCTAAAACATAAAATCCAGCATTCAGCCCCTTTGGTGGAAAGAAGGCTCTGCCAACAAGGAGACCAGCTATACCAAAATGGGAGTCAGCGTCCAGGGATCAACTGGGGACAAGCTGCTGAGGACAAGTGGCAGGATTCCATCTGAGAAGAGGTGCTGACAGTGGCTCTCTACCTTCCTCTGTCTTCCATGGTCCTCACACTCTGAATTGTTCATGAGAGCAATAGGCTTTGTTGTCCTAAATTATCATTTACAGTCACACGTCGCTTAATGACTGGGATACATTCTTAGAAACATGTTGTTAGGTGATTCTGTCATTGTGCCAACATCACAGAGGATACTTGCACAAACCTAGATGGTACAGCCTACTGCACACCTAGGCTATATGGTGTAGCCTATTGCTCCTAGACTACAAACCTGTACAGCATGTTACTGTAGGCAATTGTAACACAGTAGGCAATTGTAACACAATGGTATTTGTGTATCTAAATATATCTAAACATAGAAAAGGTGTAGTAAAAATATGGCATTATAATCTTTTTTTTTTTTTCTTGAGATGGAATCTTGCTCTGTCACCAGGCTGGAGTGCAATGGAGCGATCTCTGCTCACTGCAACCTCCACCTCCAGGGTTCAAGTGATTCTCCTGCCTCAGCCTCCCAAGTACCTGGGACTACAGGCATGCGCCACCACGCCCGGCTAATTTTTGTATTTTTACTAGAGACAGGTTTTCACCATGTTGGCCAGGATGGTCTCGATCTCTTGACCTCGTGATCCGCCCACCTTGGCCTCCCTAAGTGCTGGAATTACAGGCATGAGCCACCACACCCGGCTGGCATTATAATCTTCTGAGACCACCATCATCTATGCACTCCATTGTTGACTGAAATGTCATTATGCAGCACACGGCTGCATTTGCTTTTAAATGATATTTACACTTTCACAAACTATAAAATATCTAGGCATAGGAATATATTTATGAAAAATTTGCATTGCATAATTTTTAAATGCAAATCCAAGTTGAAAGGATGCAGAGATTTACATAAATGCAGAAACATTATATTTTTAGATTTAAAAATGAGTATAGTGAGGATGTCAATTTATCACTGCTATGGTTTCGATGTTTGTGAGCCCTCCAAAATCCATGTTGAAACATAATCCCTAGTGCAATAGTACTAAAAGGTGGTGCCTTTGGAAGGTGACTAGACCATGAGGGCTCTGCCCCATAGGCGGGACTATCACCCTTATAAAAGAGCCTGAGGAAGAGTTTGTCCCTTTGTCCTTCTGTATTTTGTCATGTGAGAACACAGTGTTCATCCTCCCAAGGTTGGGGCAACAAGGCACAGTCTTGGAAGGAGAAAGCAGGCCTCATTAAACACAGAACTTGCCAATGCCTTCATCTGGGACTTCCCAACCTCCAGAATTGTGAGAAATAAATTTCTTTTTTTTTTTTTTTTTTGAGACAGAGTCTCGCTCTTGTCGCCCAAGCTGGAGTGCAATGGCGTGATCTCGTCTCACTGCAACCTCCACCTCCCAGATTCAAGCAATTATCCTGCCTCAGCCTCCCGAGTAGCTAAGATTATGGGTGCCTGCCACCACGCCTGGCTAATTTTTGTATTTTTAGTAGAGACGGGGTTTCACCATGTTGGCAAGGCTGGTCTCGAACTCTCAACCTCAGGTAATCCACCTGCCTCGGCCTCCCAAAGTGCTGGGATTACAGGCGTGAGCCACCATACCCGACTGAGAAATAAGTTTCTAATGTTTATAAATTACCCAGTCTGTGGTATTTTGTTATAGCAGCACAAACAAAGACAATCAGAAATAAATTTATAAGTTTAACATACTACTGTTTTATTAATCTTATGGAATTTTTTGAGGGATAACGACAGGATTCAAAAATGTATCTAGAAAAATTATTGAAAATGTGGGCCAGGTGCGGTGGCTCACGCCTATAATCCCAACACTTTGGGAGGCTAAGGCAGGCGGATCACCTGAGGTCTGGAGTTCGAGACCAGCCTGGCCAACATAGTAAAACCCCATCTCTACTAAAAATAGAAAAATTAGTTGGGTGTGGTGGCACTTGCCTGTAGTACCAGCTACTCAGGAGGCTGAGGCAAGAGAATTGCTTGAACCTGCGTGGTGGAGGTTGCAGTGAGCCGAGACCGTGCCATTGAACTCCAGCCTGGGTGACAGAGCGATACTCCATCTCAAAAAAAGAAAGAAAGAGAGAGAGAAGGAAGGAAGGAAGGAAAAGAGAGAGAGAGAAAGAAAGGAAAGAAAGAAAGAGAGAGAGAGAGAAAGAAAGAAAGAAAGAAAGAAAGAAAGAAAGAAAGAAAGAAAGAAAGAAAGAAAGAAAGAAAGAAAAAAGAAAGAAAATGCCAAAGATAATTCATTAAATAATTTGGCCATGGTAGGTGCCCATAGTACTGGCCACTTAAGACGCTGAGGCAGGAGGCTCTCTTGAGCCCAGTAGTTTGAGGCCAGCCAGGGAACATAGAGAGACCCCCCATCTCCAAAAAAAAAAAGTTTTAAAAATAAAATTTTTTAAATTTGAGGGTGTTCCTACTGGAAATTGTTTCCTTTTGTGGTGATTAGTCTTTTCTGAAGTTCAGCAATTCCTTAAGTTTTACTAAAACTTTTTCTTCTGATAAATTCAAGTAAAATTAAACTCAGTATTTTTAGTGGAAAAAGATACAGTATCATCTCATTCGTAGAAAACAGCTTGATCTCTCAATTTATTGAGCAAGCCTGTGGATCGTGCTGTGTGCCACTGTGTTCCAGATGTGAGGATAAGCAGGCAACTGGACAAAAGTAAATCTCTGCCCTGTCCCTCCAGCCATCTACCCAACTATCTTCCGTCTGCTTCTGTGTACTAATAGATGTGTTCGAATGGTAGGATTGAGTTTGATTCTTCTTTTCTCTGTTATATTTCCCTGAACTACTTCACAGTAACAATAACTGTCAGGTATGTCCTCCAGAAGCAGATGCCAAGATGAAGATGAGGGTGGCGAAACTGGGGAGGTGTGGTCAAAGGGTATGAAATTTCAGTTAGGAGGAATAAGTTCAAGAGATCTATTCATGGCCGGGCGCGGTGGCTCACGCCTGTAATCCCAGCACTTTGCGGGGCCGAGGTGGGCGGATTACGAAATCAGGAGATTGAGACCATCCTGGCTCGACCACCCGGGCAGAGTGGCAGGCACCTGTAGTCCCAGCTACTTGGGAGGCTGAGGCAGGAGAATGGTGTGAACCCGGGAGGAGGAGCTTGCAGTGAGCCAAGATCGTGTCACTGCACTCTAGCCTGGGTGACAGAGCAAGATTCCGTCTCAAAAAAAAAAAAAAAAAAAAAAAGAGATCTATTCATTCTAGTTAATAACAATATACTGTCTACTTGAAAATTGTTAAGACAGCAGATTTTAAGTGTTCTAACCACAACAAAATAAGTACGTGAGATAATGTCTATGTTAATTAGCTTGATTTAGCCTCCTATTTTTTTTTTTCTTTTGAGACAGAATCTCACTCTGTCACTCAGTGTGCAATGACACAATCTCGGCTCACCGTAACCTGTGCCTCTCAGGCTCAAGCCATCCTCCCACCTCAGTCTCCTGAGTAGTTAGGACCACAGACGTGTGCCACCATCCCTGCCTAAATTTTTTTTTCCTGTTTCTCCATGTTGCCCAGGCTAGTCTTGAACTCCTGGACTCAAGTGATCCTCCCACCTTGGCCTCCCAAAGTGCTGGGATTACAGGCGTGAGCCACCACACCCAGTCAGGTTGTACTATTTTGTACACACACACACACACACACACAATTGTGAATTTTTTTAATAAGTAAATTTACAAAATTTTTAAGATGAAGATAAAGGTGTCGGAGGTTGGCTGAGGGTAGTTCCTGTGAAAAGTGAAGAGGAGAGAGAGCAGGATGAGGCAGGAAAAAGCCTTCAGATTGTAATATCTGTCTGACAACTGTGAAAGAAGAGTGGGAGGGAAGGAGGCTTGGGTAGGAAGAGTTCCAGACTGCAGTGCAGCTCTGAGGACATTTCACTTCATCAAACAGGGGCTCCACACACAGATTTCTCACAGAGGAGTCCTGTGTTAGGCAAAGATGGCCAGGACCTAGTACCCTTGCCACGCTCAGTTGTTGAGCAGGAGTTGCCTGGGAAGAGAGTGGTCTCCATTCCCATATGCCATGGCAGACCCTGAAGGTTTTGCATCTACAGGCAGTCAGTGCATTGCACTCCTCACAGCTGAAATGTGAGCTCCTTCTCAAAGTGAGATCTGAGCAGGGCCTGCATGTCTGCCACAGCAGCCACGTGAGATTTCCATTTTTAAAAGCCAGTTCCTGGCAGAGCACAGTGGCTCACGCCGGTAATCCTAGCACTTTGGGAGGCCAAGGTGGGTGGATCACTTGAGGTCAGGAGTTTGAGACCAGCCTGGCCAACATGGTAAAACCCCGTCTGTACTAAAAATACAAAAATTAGCTAGGTGTGATGCCACATGCCTGGCGTTCCAGTTACTCAGGAGGCTGAGGCAGGAGAATCACTTGAGCCCAGGAGGTGGAGGTTGCAGTGAGCCAAAAGCATACCACTGCACTCCAGCCTGGGTGAAGGGAGTGAAACCCTGCCTCAAAAAAAAAAAAAAGCCAGTTTCTTTAAAAAAATGTTGCTTGTAATCAACATATAGAGGCAAAAGAGTGGAAATTAGGTCTGTGTTATTTTCTGCTAAATTAAAGGCAAGCATCCACACTGAGGAAAACATTTGAAATAAACATGATAGGCAAATTAACAAGTTTTTAGCTAGGGAGGATTTTATATATATTGGTTTTGTTAAAAAAAAAATGGAAGGCCCAATATAGGTAAAAGATATTATTAGAAAATTCTCCAAAAAGAAAATACAAAACAAGTAGAATTGGAACAGCCTCAACCTCATCAGTAATTAAAAATAAGTAATGTTAAATAATTTTTTTCTGAAGAAATTAATAAAGGTTTAAAAAATGTTTGATACTTAGTACTTGTAAGGGTATGATGAAATAAGTTATTCTTATACATTTCTGGAGTTGGTGTAAATTGGCGATAATTTTGGACCTATTATTTTTCCGTAGAAGAATATATTCTAGGCACGGTGGCTCCAGTCTGTAAATCCCAGCACTTTGGGAGGCCAAAGGAGGGTCACTTGAGCCCAGGGGTTCCCGATCAGCTTGGGCAACATGGTGAGACTCCATCTCTACAAAAAATAAATTTAAAAAATTAGCCAGGCGCGGTGGTGCATACCTGTAGTCCCAACTACTCAGGAGGCTGAGGTCAGAGGATCGCTTGAGCCCAGGAGGTTGAGGCTTCAGCGAGCCATCATCACACCACTGTACTCCAGCCTGGGTAACAAAAAGTAGAAAAAAGCTTGGGACACAAAGATGTTATTTTAGTCAGGATTCTTGATTATGAGAAACCCAACTCAAGTGGCTTAAGCTAAAAAGGGTAAATTACATGTCACATAAGCAAACCATGGAAAGTCGGGTTTAGAACAGGCCTTGGGTTAGACTGGATGCAGAAACTCCACAGAATTAACTCATTTCCTCTCTCTCTCTCTCACACACACAAATGCACACACGCTCACACACACATTAATTTCCTCACTCTCTGAGGTGTATTGACCTTGTTCTCTCAGGACCAGAAGAAAACAAAAACAAAAGCAATGGCACCTTAACTATTAGGTACTGAAAGATTGTCATTCCAGACAATAATCCAAGTGTTTAAAAGGAGCTCATGGCCGGGCACAATGGCTCATGTCTGTAATCCCAGCACTTTGGGAGGCTGAGGTGGAAGGATCACTTGAGCTCAGGAGTTTGAGACCAGCCTGGGCAACATGGTGAAATCCCATCTCTACAAAAAATTCAAAAAATTAGCCAGGCATGGTGGTGCATGCCTGTAGTCCCAACTACTTGGGAGGCTGAGGTGGGAGGATCACCTGAGCCCAGGGGTTGAGGGTTCAGTGAGCCATCATCACACCACTGCACATCAGCCTGGGTGACAGAGTGAGATCCTGTCTCAAAAAAAAAAAAGAGCTTGCATATAGTCTCTCATATGGTGGAGAATAAGGCAAAGAAGGCAGCCATTAACTGTGAGGCCGTGCGCTTATAGCTTGTGATCCAAAGGGAATGAGACTGCTCTACTCAGCCTGAGTCACACGCACCTCACTGGCTTGTCATCATGGCCAGCTTTTCCTTGTTTGGTCTGGGTTAAATCTGTCCCCTCCTTTCAGTAACCGCTGCCTCCCAGTCTGATTTCAGATCCTCACACTGTGTACTCTCACCTGGACTGTCTATACTGGCTCCTAACAGGTCTCACAATTTCCAGAACAACCCCCACCCCCAGCCCCACATGCTATACATAGCCCCATTCATCCATCCTGCACACTGAGACCAGGGACATTCTTTTGCATCAAGTTTTTGCCGACTCCCCATTGCTTTCAGGATGAGGCCAGTATTCTTTGTCTCAGCCTACATAGCAGCACAGTCTCATTCAGATTCTCCTCCCACTATGCTCTCCTTCACATCTACAGTCCCAGCAGACACGCTGCCATCTCCCAAGCCGTCTGCGTTTTTGCACACATCATGTTTTACATGCCACTGCTGGGGCAGCCAGTTCTGGGCAGCCTGCAACCGGCTCTGAGCAAATACAACCCGAGGCCACCTTGTCCCTGTTCCACACCAGGGGCCTCCAGCCTCGTGCTCTGTGGCTTCTCTGACACCCAGAGGGTGGGATGTCCGTGAGAACCTGCTCCACTCTTAGGCAGGCACAAGTCAAAAGCCCAGGACTATTAAAGCCTACTAGACCACCCTTGACCGATAGAAGATTAGAGCTGATGGATAAATGCATTCCCCTTTTGTCCCCTGAGAGGATAGTTTTGAGACGTATTTCATAAAGCTCCTCAGAAGTCCCCCAGGACTGAACACCAGTCACCCATACCAGTGCTGGTCTCAGTGGCGAAGTCCATGTATTAGCAGCTTCTTTCCTTCTCTGCCTGACTTCCCCTGGGATTGCATTCCCAAATCATCTACCTGTTCTCAAATCTTTGCCTCAGGATCTGGTCTGGGGAGAACCCAGGCTAAGAAACTGAGATATATTCAAGCCAAAGGCTCCCCCAAAGGTCATAAACTAACCACATCGTTAAAGAAGATCCTAAGGCTGAAGAAAGAAGAAAGACCATTCAGTGAGGAAGCAACTGCCTTACTCCAATATTTATCTCTCGCTCAGATATAACTGGAGACCCAAGTAGCCAAATCTCAGAGCAGGTTTGCAGTCAAAGAAACAGGCCAGCAACCCAACTCAAACCTATTAAAATCATTGCTATCATCTTTCTTGAAAAGCATCAAGGCCAGGAAAGTGTATTTTTAACTCAAAACAAAACAATATTATAAAAATACCCTCTTTAACCTCCACCACTTCAAATATCCTCCATATGGAAAAGAACTTGCTCCCAAATCCACATTTTCTCTCCTTGACCTTCAGCTCTCAAATATAAAATTCTTTAGAAAGAAACAAACCCCTCATAGCTCTAGACTTTCCTCTCCTTTCATTTCCCCCTTTCTTCTCTCTTGTGAGTAAATCTTGGCCTTTTTTCATGAAAATACTCCAACTCATCTCTTCTTCTATGTTCTATCTATTGTCTACCATTGTTCCAAATCTGTATCAGGAAAGCCCAGAAAGCAACCTAGCAAAGGCAGAATCCACCTCAGCTCTTAGGAGAAAAGGAAAAGTGGGAGTTGCTAGACTCAGAATTCTCTTAGGGGCGGAGGGGAAGTGCAGTGGCTCACGCCTGTAATCCCAGCATTTTGGGAGGCTGAAACAGGAGGATCACTTGAGCCCAGGAGTTCGAGACTAGGCAACATAGTGAGACTCCCATCTCTATTTAAAAAAATTAAAAATTAACCAGGCATGGTGGCACACACCTGTGGTCCCAGCTACTCGGGAGGCTGAAGTGGAGGAGGACTGCCTGAGTCCAGTTGAGGCTGCAGTAAGCCATGATTGCACCACTGCACACTCCAGCCTAGGCGACAGAGCGAGACTCTGTCTCAAAAGAGAGAGAGAGAGAGAGAGAGAGAGAGAGAGAAAATTCTCTTTAGAGGGTAAAAGAGAGCTATGAACATTCAACTTTAATCCTTTTGTTCTCAGTCACCCAATACACTCAGTAGCACCCTAGGAAGCACTGGGTCAGTCAAGCACAGAGGCAAGTGTATCTAAGGTTTCCTCATTTCTCTACAAGGAAAAGGATAAAAGATGAGTGATGTGAACTGACTTTAAAGACTGAAGTTAACCCAGCAATTCCCATAGTCCATGTGCAATATAACTACCTATACTTTTGGAGTATGTGTTATACAATATTTTTTATATTTGTTAAATCTTTTAACATAACTTTGTGCCTGAAGAACTGACTGGTGGTTCAGATATTCCCAAGAATGCTGGGAGTGGCATTATGTTATGGAGCAATATTCCATGACACTAAATGGTGGGTGGGGGGAAATTATTAGAGGTTTACCTGGATCACAGTGCTGCCAGCACTGGAAATCAAATTATTATCACATGTGGCCGGGCACAATGGCTCATGCCTATAATCCCAACAGTTTGGGAGGTTGAGGTGGGCATATCACTTGAGGTCAGGAGTTCGAGACCAGCCTGCCCAACATAGTGAAACCCCGTCTCTACTAAAAATACAAAAATTAGCCGGGCATGGTGACACATACCTGTAGTCACAGCTACTCAGGAGGCTGAGGCAGGAGAATTGCTTGAACCTGGGAGGCAGAGGTTGCAGTGAGCCAAGATTGTGCAGTGGCCTAGATGACAGAGCGAGACACCATCTTTAAAAAAAAAATCATAATCACGTTATTTGGTGAGACTGAATTCAGGGCCACGGGAGCTGAAGGCATAATGGAGCTGTGACCACCTGACACTTCCAACTCCTCAGCAGGCTTCACCTGCCACTTGAGTTGGGTGGGGGTGTTGCCAGGCCAGGGTGCATGCTGTGCAGGAGAGAGCTTCCAGGGTCTGTTTCTCCTACGGTTTGAATGTGGTTTGTTGTCCTCACCAAAGCTGATGCTGAAATTGGACCCCTACTGTGGCAGTGTTGGCAGGCGAGGCCTGGTGGAAGTGTTTGGGTCATGGGGATGGATCCTTCATAGACAGCTTGGTGCTGTTCTCATGGTAGTAAGTTCTCACTCTCTGGAGAGTAGATTAGTTATTGCAGTAATGAATTAGTTCCCTTGAGAGCAAGGGTTACAATGCAAGTTTCCTCCTTCTGTTTGGCTCTCTGCACATGTCCACTTCCCCTTTGACCTTCTCTGCCACGTTGTGCAGCACAAAAGCCTTTGCCAGAAGCCAGGGCCATGCTCTTGAGCTTCCCAGCCTACCTAACTATGTGCTAAATAAAACTCTTAAAAAAAAAATTACCCAGTCTCAGGTATTCTTTTATGGCAACACAAAATGGACTAAGACAGTCTTTCTCTCCCTTTTCCAAGACTGAGCAAATCTCCTTCTACCTGGCTCTTTTTTTGGCTAGATTAATATCGTTGGTCAAGGTAGGCCCTATCATGGGATGGAAGTAGACAGTAGAGAAATGGCTTGGGCATCTGAAATGGACTGGGTGTTTGTGGTTCCCCAAAATTCACCTGTTGAAATCCTAACAACCAATTTGAGTGTATTAGGAGGTGTGGCCTCTGGTAGGAGAATAAGCCATGAGGATAGAGCCCTGGTGAATGAGATTAGTGCCCTTGTAAAAGATACCCTAGACAACTCTCTCACCCTCTTTCTACCAGGTGAGGAGACAACCAGAAGTCTGCAGTCTGCAACCCAGAAGAGAAGACCTTCATCCGAACCCAACCATACTGGCAATCTGATCTTAGACTTCCAGCATCCAAAACTGTGAGAAATAAATTTATATTGTTTATAGCCACCCAGTTTAGGGTACTTTGTTACCAAAGTCCAAACTGACTAAGACAACATCTCTTTCACAAAGGGCCTCTGTTATAGCAGGCTACCCAGAGAGCCAAGAGATACAATAATGCAATTGAAGAATGACATGCATCGTACACATTTATGCTTGAACTCCAATAACAGTCCACATTGCCTGGGTGCACTATGAAAGACTAATTTCACAAATCCCATAATTATCTTGTAACACAATTATATTGTAGTATGTGTTATATATTAGTGTTAATTACCTCAATGTAAACATTTAGAATAGCACAATTTTAAAAGTCTGTTTTGTGGGCCAGGCGCAGTGGCTCACGCCTGTAATCCCAGCACTTTGGAAGGCCGAGGTGGGCAGATCACAAGGTCAGGAGATCAAGACCATCCTGGTTAACACAGTGAAACCCCATCTGTACAAAAAACACAGAAAGTTATCTGGGCATGGTGGCGGGCACCTGTAGTCCCAGCTACTCGGGAGGCTGAGGGAGGAGAATGGCGTGAAACCGGGAGGCGGAGCTTGCAGTGAGCTGAGATTGTGCCACTGGGCGACAGAGTAAGATTCCATCTCAAAAAAAAAAAAAAAAAAAGTCTGTTTTGCATGTCTTCTTTTCCTTCAATAAGTAGGAATAACTGAGGCCTCTCAAATTCTGAGCAGTCCTGGATCAAGTAGCTCTTGTTTGAACATTATCTCTCTAAAAATGGGAATTTGCAGGTCTTTACCCTGTTCAGTTATGTGTTAGCTAATTAGCAAGTGAGAGAAAATTAAACAACTGTTAGCTGAGTGCCTACTCTTTGTAAGGCACTCGGCAAAGGTGAAAAAATAATGGACATAGTTCCTGCCCTCAACGAGTTTACATTCCAGAGTAGGAGATGGAAACTAATCATTGAATCACATAACTAATCTAAAATTACAATCATAGAGGTGCCAAGACAAAAAAATAAAATAAAACTACAATCATTATGAGTCATAATAGGGGAATTTGACCTTTCTTACTGGGAATCAGGAAGGGTATTCATGAAGTTAAACAGATATCTGAGAGGAAAACAAGTAGAATAGAAGGGAGTGGCAGAGGCCGGGAGCAGTGGCTCATGCCTGTAATCCCAGCACTTTGGGAGGCCAAGGCAGGTGGATCACTTGAGATCAGGAGGTCAAGACCAGCCAACATGGTGAAACCCCACCTCTACTAAAAAAATACAAAATTTAGCCGAGCATGTTGACTCATGCCTGTAATCCTAGCTACTTGAGAGTCTGAGGCAGGAGAATCACTTGAACCCTGGAGGCTGAGGTTGCAGTGAGCCGAGATTGTGCCACTGCACTGCAGCCTGGGCAAGAGAGTGAGACACCGAGACTCCATCTCAAGAAAAAAAAAAAGAAAGGAAAAGAAAGTGGCAGAGACACAAAGGGGGTCACAGGCAGAGGGAAGAGCATGTCCAAAATCCCTGTAGTGTGAGGGAGCTGCACAGATTTGAGACATTGAAAGATGTCTGAGCCTCTGGAGCACAGAAAGCCAGAGAGAACAGGATCGAGATGAGTCCAGTTGGGAAATATGACTTTGAGTCTCCAGGTTTTGAGTGCTGGTGGTTGAGGGAATGGGGAATCACCTTGCTGTTGCCCACACACACCACCTTCAAATCCTACCCAGAGTACCACTGCCCCCAATATCCACATCTGAAATCATCTTTCAGAGCCTAACTTGAGCCTGGGCTTGCCAGAAATAACTCTATTAATCACTTACTGCCCTTGATGCAGGACTTTGTGCTTCAGATTTTGAACAGCAATGAAACAGAGAGAGAACAAATCCAGAATGGGGTGAAGTGTTGCCTTAAGGAAGACAATTCAAGCAATAATATTAAATTACTTTAGAAAAGTGGATGGAAAATAAGGAAATACACCCACACAGCAAAACTTTTAAAGTTTTTCCAGATAGAGGGACTTTCATTCATTCACAGCAACAGCTTTGAGTTATTAGGAGATTTTTTTTTCACATGCAAATATTGCAATGTATGTGAAGGGATATGGTGTAAAGATGGGTTACAAAGAAGCTAAGTTAGAGGGAATCAGCAGAGCCAAACTTTGGCTCTTTTCAAAGACTAAAATAAAAGAGCCAAAACCGGCAAATTCATAAAGAAATAAAAAAAGAAAGCACAAATAAACAATATTAGCAGTAAAAAGTGAACATTATAGATACAATGAAGACTTTCTTAAAGAAAGAAAACTAAGAACAACTTTTTGGCAACAAATCTGAAAACAAATTCCAATAGACTAAATGTTTGTGTTCCCCCCAATACACACACAAATTTATAGTTTAAAACCTAATCCCCAGCCGGGCGCCTTGGCTCATGCCTATAATCCCAGCACTTTGGGAGGCCGAGACGGGCAGATCACCTGAGGTCAGGAGTTAGAGACCAGCCTGGCCAACATGATGAAACCCTGTCTCTACTAAAAATACGAAAAATTACGCCAGGCACAGTTGGCAGGCGCCTGTAATCCCTGCTACTTGGGAGGCTGAAGCAGGAGAATCGCTTGAACCGGGGAGGCGGAGGTTGCAGTGAGCCGAGATCGCGCCATTGCACTCCAGCCTGAACAACAAGAGCGAAACTCCGTTTCCAAAAAAAAAAAACCTAATCCCCAATGCAATGGTATTTGGAAGTGGGGCATTTGGGAGGTGTTTAGGTCATGAGGGTAGAACACTCACAAATGCGATTAGTGGGTTTATAAAAGAGACCTCAGAGAGTTCCCTCACCCATTCATCATGTGAGGACACAGTAGAAAGATGGTCATCTGTGAACCAAGAAGCAAGCTCTCGCCACACACAGAATCTGCCAGCACCTCAGTCTTGGACTTCCCAGCTTTCAGAACTGTGAGAAATAAATTTCTGTTGTTTGTAAGTCACCCAGTCTATGGTATTCTGTTGTAGCAGCACAAAAGGACTAAGACACAGATTAAGTGGATAATTGACTAGAAAAAAATATAACTCATCAAAGCAATTCAATAAGAAAGTAAGTAGGTTAGAGTATACATAATGGATTTAGGCAGAGAAAATAGACTTAACCTCAAATAATTAAGTGCCAGTTCAAGGCAAGTGACAGAAAAGGCATTCTGGAATTCCTTTTGCAGCAAGCCAAGTGCAGTAAAAATGGGCCTTTTCCCCAGTGGTTGT
Organism: Homo sapiens; assembly: GCF_000001405.40. Taxonomy (NCBI): domain Eukaryota; kingdom Metazoa; phylum Chordata; class Mammalia; order Primates; family Hominidae; genus Homo; species Homo sapiens. The sequence goes on from NC_000002.12 coordinate 197,352,991, forward strand.
ACCAATTGCCTACCCATAATGTTCAAAGTGAAGACTTAACTGTCATTATCAATGACTGAGCCAGATTTTTTTCTCACATTGATGTCTTGTTGACCTGCAAGTTTTCCTGAAACTTCTGCCAATAATATTACCTTTATGGGCCTCTACTTTAAGCATTCTGTGCACTGTAACTGGCCTAAAGCATTAGGCCAGCAGTTCTGAACATTTGGGTCTGCAGGATACCTTTGAATACTAGTGGTACACTTGAAAGAAAGTCTTCAGACAATACTAAACAAATCAGCAATAATTACGATACAATCCTACTATAATATAACAACATAGCTCTGACTGTAAAAGCAGCCACACTTGCGATTGTCACTCTCTAGCAGCATGTTACTATTTAGGCAGATCCTATTACTGCCTAACTGTACCCTAGTATACACTTTTAAGGTCATAACCTTACATCTCACATCCAACCAACAGAAGACCTTTCTAGGTACCAGCTTAAACTTTTCCTTATACCTTTTATGTGTTACCCACAGCAAGTTCTATGCTACTGTACTATGCTATTGTGTCATATAATCCCCTCTGCCTATTCCAGTTGATAGACATCATGTAAATACCTGTATACTGAATCCCAGAACGAATTACTGTTACACATGAGTCAAAAATTGACAACACCCTCCCACCCTCCTGTGAAGAGCTTACCTTACACTTTGTACATAGCTGAGAACTGCCAGGCACCATTAGCAAGCCAACAGGCAACAAAGATTTCCCAAAGCATTGTGTACATCTTATTGAGTTTCACTGAGATGATTGTAGACAGATGATTTTTTATTTCCAAGTTATGCAGGTATTTGTGATATGTATTAGGAGGAAACGCAACCAGCATCTCAAACATGGGTTTTCACAGATATTATGGCTTAAATAATTTAAATGGATTTAGCTAGTGATTTCTACATTTAAATAATAAATTTAAGTAATAATATTAAATAAAAATAATTCAATATAATATAAAAATATAAAATTAATATTAAATAATAAATATATTTACCTTGTCATATCATTGAAATATGAATGTTAAATTGATAATAATATATGTAGTATGAGGATATGGTAAAAATCATGAAGGTAGCATATGAGCGATTGAAGTTTAGGGTACTGGTTTATCTAATTCACTCCTTAAGACCAATATCACTCAGCAGAAGGCAAGGATCAAAGTGAAGGTGGCACTTTATAAGAATGCGCGTTATTATAAATGGTCTCATGTGATCTTCCCTATACAGTTGTATGGTGGATGCACCCAAAAGCAGTAACTTAAGCACACCCTGAGAATGACCTGTGGCCTCAGAAGAGTGTGTGTTCAGAGTCCTGCAGTAAGGAACCGGGGAGTGGCCAGTCCAGAGTTTCTTTCCTTATCTATGAAGGATGTCTGAACCTCTGACCCATCCCTTGGAATGCAGGTTGTATAGGGGATTGAGGCCCTTTGTTATGGGCTAGATGGAGGGTGCAAAGTAAAAATGCTAGGTAAACTGCATGCTTTTTACAAACAGTAGGTGTTCCGTCCAGCTCACCAACACTGGACAGTCCCTGTAGGTACATTCCCCCAATAAACCCTATATATCATTCACTGTCTCCAAGTCTCTTCTTTGGCCTCTTGGACACAGTGCCATCCCTATTGGAATCAACAGGGGTCCAGCAAGACAATAGTGAGATGGGAAAAGGAAATGTGGTTATGCCAACTGAGACTTAGGAAGGCTAAATAACATGTGCAATGTCACTTAGGCCATGACATGATTTCCCAGTTCCCAACATGGCACGAAGATCAAGGCTGCCTGAAGACCTTAATGGTGAGCATACCCAGTCCATCTTCCACTTGGTCCAGCTCTTTCCACCATGCCACATTTTCCCCCAAGGAAGACAAGGAGGCAACAGGGGGCCTTGAGAACACAAAAGCATGATCAGAGGGTAGAGGGGCTACAAGAAGATCCCCAGAAATAACCCTAGAAAAGGTTATTTCTTTTTTAGAAAGAAAAGAAAACCCTCATAATACTGCTTCAGGCTGGTAAAGTTTGGAAAAAATGCCCTTCCTATACAGGATTATGATGCATTAAAAAACAAACCGGGGCCGGGCGCGGTGGCTCACGCCTGTAATCCCAACACTTTGGGAGGCCGAGGCAGACGGATCATGAGGTCAGGAGTTTGAGACCACCTGGCCAACATGGCAAAACCCCATCTCTACTAAAAATACAAAAAAATTAGCCAGGTGTGGTGGTGGGTGCCTGTAATCCCAGCTACTGGGGAGGCTGAGGCAGGAGAATTGCTTGAACCCAGGAGGCAGAGATTGCAGAGAGCCGAGATCACACCACTGCACTCCAGTCTGGGTGACAGAGTGAGACTCCGTCTCAAAAGAAAAACAAAAACAAAAACAGAAACAAAAACAAAACAAAACAAAAAAAACAGGCATTAGTGGCAAGTGCCTGTAATCCCAACAACTTGGGGCTGAGGTGGGAGGTTCACTTGAGCCCAGGAGTTTGAGGCTACAGTGAGCTATGATCTCACCTCTGCCTGGTGAGCACAGTGAGACACTGTCTCAAAAAAAAAAAAAAAAAAAAAAGGCCGGGCACGGTGGCTCATGCCTGTAATCCCAGCACTTTGGGAGGCCAAGGCAGGTGGATCACCTGAGGTCAGGAGTTGGAGACCAGCCTGACCAACATGGTGAAACCCCGTCTCTCCTAAAAATACAAAAAAGTTAGCTGGACGTGGTGGTGGGTGCCGGGCACCTGTTGTCCCAGCTACTCGGGAGGCTGAGACAGGAGAATCACTTGAATCCGAGAGGCGGAGGTTTCATTGAGATGAGATCATACCACAGCACTCCAGTCTGGGTGATGGAGCGAGACTCCATCTCAAAACAAAACGAAAAAAAGTCTAAAATCAGCTGTCTCTTAAATTTAGCCTATTTCCCCAGAAAAAGTTTCTGTGGGCAACACCACAGCAGTACAAACCTGGAGTGTTTTTTTTTCAGTGAATATTCTTTCTGGATACATTAGTTTGTTTTCACACTGCTATAAAGAAATACCCAAGACTGGGTAATTTATGAAGGAAAGAGGTTTAATTGACTCACAGTTCCACGTGGCTCAGGAAACTTACAATCATGGCAGAAAGTGAAGGGGAAGCCGGCACATCTTGCATGGCAGCAGGCGAGAGAGAGCGAGAGCAGAGAAAGCTCCCTTTTAAAACCATCAGATCTCACGAGAACAGATCTCACTATCACAAGAACAGCATGGAGGAAACCACCCCCAAGATCCAATCACCCACCACTAGGTCTCTCCCTCAGTACCTGGGGATTAAATTCAAGTTGAGATTTGAGCAGGGAGGGCACAAAGACTAGCCATTTCCTTTTTTCCCTCTAGTGGTACAAGCAAGTAAGGATCAAATTCTAAGATGAAGACAGAATTCTGATGCGGCTCTTCTACAATGCCTTGCCTGAGTCAGAGATGTTCATTGCCCCCTCCCCAAGAAATAAATGAAAGTTTCTAGGGAACCCCAGATAAGAGATGAAGGGATTTGGTTTCTGTGCGGAAAGAAAAGTGTGAGGGTCTTGAGGATTCTGAGTATTGTAAGGAAGAATAATTTAAATATAAATGAGATTTGAATTTATCACACAAAATGGAGGGAATTTTCCTCCTTGAAACCAGATTTGTTCTGTATCTTAACTCAGAAATATATCAGCCCCAGAGCAAAGGGCATGGCAGCACAAGAAACAGAACTGGGTTTCGAGGCACATTTCCCCAGCCGACTCTTTGACCTTGAGTAAGTCTCTTCCTTTCTCTGGATGGCCAGATGACCTTTCAGCACTCTTCCCATTTCAACACTGTATGATTCCAATCAAAATTTTTATAAAAAGAAAACAGAAGGAAAATCCAGACTTTACTAATCCCAAATGCAGAGCTGAGGGACACCACCTCTAGAATAATCTAGATTTGAGTCTGAAGAGTGACAAGAATGAAAACAGGATTCCTAGTGGCAGTTTCAGAGAGCCTCCAGCCCAGCAACTGATGTTGAATATGGCAGAGATTATCACTAGGACCAGGAGTCCACAGGGGTCTCACTTGGGGTCCAGAGGGGATAGGATTTAATAAGAGCTAAAGGTCCTAGAACTTTTTTACTTTTTTTTTTTTTTTTTTTTTTTTTTTTTTTTTTTTTGACACAGAGTCTCACTCTGTTGCCCAGGCTGGAGTGCAATGGAGTGATCTCGGCTCACTGCAATCTCTGCCTCCTGGGTTCAAGCGATTCTCCTGCCTCAGCATCCCAAGTAGCTGGGATTACAGGTGCACGCCACCACACCCAGCTAATTTTGTATTTTTAGTAGAGACAGGGTTTCACCATGTTGGCCAGGCTGGTCTCGAACCCCTGACCTCAGGCGATCTACCTGCCTCAGCCTCCCAAAATGCTGGGATTACAGGAGTGAGCCCCTGCACCCAGCCGGTCCTAGAACTTGAAGGTGAAAGTCGAATTACTCAGTCAAACTGTAACAGAGACTCAGAATTAGAAGACTTCCCCAAGGACTGGAAGTGATGAAGGTAAGTGCTTCAATCAACATAGTTAGTGGGACTGAGCATGGTGGCTCACGCCTGTAATCCCAACACTTTGGGAGGCCGAGACAGGAGGATCACTTGAGCTCAGGAGTTCAAGACCAGCCTGGGTAATATAGTGAGACTCCATCTCTACAAAATATATATTTTTTAATTAGCCAGCCATGGTGGCACATGCCTGTAGTCCCAGCTACTTGAAAGGCTGAGGTGGGAGGATCGCTTTCGCCTAGGATGTCGAGGCTGCCGTGAGCTGTGATCAAGCTACCGCCCTCCAACCTGGGAAACAGAGCAAGACTCTGTCTCAAAAACAAACAAACAAACATCATCAATGGGCATTACTGTGCTATTCATAACGCTGCCTTATTCACCAGTTTCTTCATTGTCTTGGGTCAGGTTTCTCAGAAGCTGATAGATGAGAACATGTGTGCAAGTGATTTGTTAAGAAAGGGCTCCCAGGAGAAAGCAGTAAGAGAGTTGGGGAAGCAGAATAGGGAAAGGGAGGAAGCCAGAAGGCAGGCTGAAGTCCTAGCCTCAGCCTGATCCAGGAGGGTCAGTTACACCACACAATTTGTCCTGCCTCAAGGCAGAAGAGCTCGGCTTTCCTGCTCCTTCACTCCTCAGCTATCACCTTGGGCTGCCCTGAAGGCATGAAAACTCCTGAGTAGTTTTCACTCTTGAGAACATCCAGGGTAAGCTGCTTCTGTAGCCCAAGGGCAGTTCTCTGAAGAAGGTTATAGGTTTCAGCTATTAGGATAGGAGGTAAGCCCATGGAAGCTGCAGATGAGAACACAGAACTGCTCAGTATTTCCACAGGGACAAGGTGAGACACCAATACCAACAGTGTCCATAAATATTTGACTTTTCTCCCTACATGAATTATCAACTTGTTATGGGACGAAGCATGGGTTTCAGATTCAGACAGACCTGGAATTGGGTTCCAGCTCCACCGATTACAAGGCCTGCGACTTTAAACAAAATGATTAACTACACTGAGTCTCAGTTTTTGCATCTGCAAAATTCAGTTGATTCACCTCAAATAAACAAAGTGCATTTAACTCCATTCTAAAACACACTCTTTTCAAATTTAAAAATCTTCCAAATCAGGATACATCTCGTAATCATTGTTGGCCAGGCAGTAATCACAAGCTTGTCTCTGCCTGTGCTCAAAAGAACTTGGTTGCAGCTGCTGACAATATTGTCACAATTGAGTTATATGCACTGTTGATAATATAGGTGTTTCAATCCCTGTTTTAAATGTCTTCAAAATGATTACACTAGCATTCAATGTCAATAGGAAAAGTTTCCATAGAGATAGCACAGCAGAGAATGAAAACAACAGTCGAATGTGGATTTGGTGTGAGAGACATAAAAATTCTTAGAAGGAATGACCACATTTACCTACGTTTAGCAAAGCAATAAAATCAAACACAGCCTTTCTAGAACCTAAGAAAGGAAGATACCCACAAGAAGATGAATCTGTGTTGCATTTTGCTACTGAGAAGTGTGCACAAGGATTGCCCATCCTGGCAACTGAAGGCAGAGGAAATTGCTGAGCCCTTCAGAATAGATGAAAGGAATTTCAAAGCAACAAGATGCTGGTGTGAGTGATTCATATAAGACACATCACTATCATTGTGTCGTGGTTTCAGTAGTAGTATTTTCATTCCTGGTCCATAAAATAATGGTGCATCTGGCAGTCAATTATGTCTTAGATCAAATGAAATTCCCCCAAATTGCAAATGCCCCAAGATTTAGCTATACCCTGGAGCTGACAGTACTGAGCTGGATGTGAGAAAGTGAGGCCCCCCAGGAATGATGAGGCAACATAGAAAGGCCAGGCTTCTCTTGTGGGATTCTGGGTGGCACCAAAAAGTGAACATGGGATCAACTTATAACTGGTATGGCAGGAAACCTTTAACATATGAAATACAGTAGCTAGAGATGAAAAATAACAAAGCTGTCACTTGGAGAAGTGATCTCTCCTCTGCCCTAGGCTCACTAGAGACCTTCTCTACTCGGGGGGTGTGCTAGTCCATTTTGCATTGCTATGAAGAAATACCTGAGGCAGAGTAATTCATAAAGAAAAGATGTTTATTTGGCTCATGTTTCTGCAGGCTGTACAAGCATGGCACCAACATCTGCTCAGCTTCTTGTGAGGCCTCAGGAAGCTTCTACTCATGGTGGAAGGCAAAGGGAGAGTGAGTCCCATGTCAAGAGAGGGAACAAGAGAGGGAGGAGGGAGGTCCCAGACTCTTTTTAATAATCAGATCCTGCATGAACTCATTACAGGGCACTAAGCCATTCATGAGAGATCAGTACCCATGACCCAAACACCTCCCAGCAGGCCCCACTTCCAATATTGGGGATCACGTTTCAACATAATTGGAGGGGAGGAACATCTAAACCATACCATGGGGGATATGCAGAAACTTAATGACCCTCACATTAGGGAAACAGCAGGCCCCAGAAGGGCCCCTAGGGGCCCCTGCTGGGCCAGGTGTGGCCCTCTAGTGGCTGTGAGAGGCTGTCCAGGGATCCCAGAGGAGGGCAGCAGAAGAGAGGCTAAGGGCAGCAGCCAGGCACCAGTTAGTGTGGAAATATTCTAATATTTAGAAAATCACTGTGGTCACATTGGTGTTTACTGGTCAAATATCAGCCCTGCTGTCCTGTATACTGTGAAAGTGAAAAGCCAAATTGTGGAAGTCTGGGCACAGTGGCTCACATCTGTAATCCCGGCACTTTGGGAGGCGGAGGCAGGTGGATCACTTCAGGTCAGGAGTTCGAGACCAGCCTGGACAACATAGTGAAACCCTGTCTCTACAAAAAAAATACAAAAATTGGCCAGGTGTGGTGGCAGGCACCAGCTATCCCAGCTACTCGGGAGGATAAAGCAAGAAAATCCCTTGAGCCCAGGAGGCAGAGGTTGCAGTGAGCTGAGATTGCATCACTGCACCCCAGCCTGGGTGACAGAGTGAGACCCTGCCTCCAAAAAAAAAAAGCCAGGCTGTGGAGTCAGACACAGGCCTGAATCCCTACCGGATGACCTTAACTCAGTCATTTAACTTCTTATAGTCTCATTTGTTTTTTTCATTTTTGTAATGGGGAAAATATTTGATTCTACAGGTTTCTTAGAATTAAATGAGGTAAGATAGGTATAATACTTCAGCATGGGGCCCAGCACATAGAAAGTACTCCACAAACCAAAGCTGCTAGCACTTCTCATGCACAAGGAGCCAGGTAATTTGTCCAGTCATTAGTGGATGACTCACTTTGGACTGTCTATGTTGAAGATGTGGGGTTAGGGTTTGACTGTTGATAGCCATTAAAAGACAACCACAATGAGAACATCTGGTTTCCATTGAAATTCTAGTCTGTCTCTGTGTTATTTGAGTCAGCTTAGGATTTCTTCCCCCTACCTCCAAAACAACTGAAAGCTTTGTACTACATTTACCATTGCTAAGTGGGTTGAAATTGTTCTTTATTAAAAAACAGGCCCCAGGGCAGTATGAGAGACAGCTATCTATTTTGGCAAGTTGTCTCTCCATTAAGTACCTATTACACAGTCAACTCACCATGGTAAAGCAGTTGAGACATTTCTCACTGACCTTTCTAGCCCCAATTATTTAATGCTTAGCAAATCCTGTATGGATAATATCATCAAAATTTGCAGTTAATGGGTGAATTTAGCACTGTCTGTGCCTTTAAAATATGCTTTCTCATCCTAATTAATGCTTATTTTGTACTTTTTTCACATTATACATACTATTACAGTTAATACGCTTGTAGTTACATCTTTGTGCCTTTGTCTAATTATTTTCTTAGAAATTCTTAGAAACAGAGTGCCTAGAAAAAGTGGCATACAGATATTTTTAATGAACATATATTGCCCTCCAGAAAGTTTTTACCAATTTATAATTTTAGCAATAGTGTATGAAGGTATATTTCCCCATACCCTCAACATTTAAATCTTTACTAATCTGGTAGGCAAAAATGTGAACTTACTGCTTATTGCTTCAATTTGCATTTCTTCAGTTACTTATTAAGCATCTTCATGTTTGCTTATAAAATGGATTTCTTACTCTGAAATTTCTCTTTGAAACTTTTGCTGATTTTTCCAGACTGCTGATATTTTTACTCAGTTATAAGCATTCTTTAAAATGTACATAATAAATTTAAATACAGGCCAGGCATAGTGGCTCATACCTATAATCCCAGTGCCTTGGGAGGCCAACTCAGGAGGATCACTTGAGCCCAGGAGTTCAAGGCTGCAATGAGCTATGCTCCTGCCACTGCACTCCATCCTGGGCAACAGAACTGTCTCTAAAAATAAAATAAAATAATATAAATATAAACACAAATGAAGAACTCATAGAATCATGACTTTGTCAAAATCTAATTACTTCCCAAAGGCCCTGCTATGGTCTGATTGTGTCCCGCCAAAATTCAAATGTTGAAATTTAATTGCAATGTGATAGTGTTAAGAGGTGGAGGTGATTACATCATGAAGGTAGAGGCCTCATAAGTGAGAATAATGACCTTATCAAAGAGGTGCAGATCTTGCTCTGTCACCCAGGCTGGAGTGCAGTGGTGCCTTCATGGCTCACTGCAGCCTCAACCTCCCAGGCTCAAGTGATTCTCCCACCTCAGCCTCCCAAGTAGCTGAGACTACAGGCTTGCACCACCATTCCCAGCCAATTTTTTGTATTTTTTGTAAAGATGGGGTTTGACCATGTTGCCCAGGTTGGTCTCGAACTCCTGGGTTCAAGATATCTGCCAGACTCAGCCTCCCAAAGGGCTGGGATTACAGGCATAAGCCACTGCACACAGCCTTTAGGATTCTTAATATTTAGCAAAGTTTTAACTACATAATAAATACTCAAAAACCTATCATATCTATGTATCATACAACCTGCTAATAATGTAACAGAATTTTTAAGATTAAGTAATATTAAGTATATTAAGTAATATTAATATTACTTAATATTAAGTACTTAGTACTTACTACTTATTAATATTACTTAATATTACTTAATATTTAATATAATATTAAGTATTATTTAATATATTTAATATTTATGTATTTAATATACTTGATATTTAATATTTTAATTACTTAATAATATTAAACAATATTTAAAACTTAATATTAAGTATATTATTAATGAACTGTTATTTAGTTTCTAGATTTGTAAAATGGGAAGGTAGAAAGGAGGAAAGATAGGAAGGCAAATGGAAAAGTAAGGTATTCTTTTTAGGTCATAGAATTTTTCAATTAAAAGAAGTCTTAAACATTATTAATCTAATACCTTTATTTTACAGAAGAAAATGAGACTCAGAAAGGAGTGATTAATCTGTTTTCTTTCTTTTTTAAAAAATAAGACCATGAATATTGTTTTTTAGCATGTTTATGTTTCATTTATAAAACATGAGCAACTCCTCACATCTTTAGATTGTCTTCGATAGCATCATTTTTAATGACTGTGTGATATTTTAGTATAAGAATATGTGTCAATTTATTTAACCAATCCTGAAGAAGCATTTTAACCTAGAATATAAATATTACTGATTCTAAGTAGTAAAAAGAAAAACTAAAAAACTATAAAGCATGGGGCCTGGTTTTCAAGAAGTGCATATTTTGTTACTTTGGTATAAAAACTTAAAACTCTAGGCCAGGTGCGGTGGCTCACACCTATAATCCCAGCACTTTGGGAGGCCAAGGTGCGTGGATCACCTGAGGTCAGGAGTTCAAGACCAGCCTGACCAATATGGTGAAACCCCATCTCTACTAAAAATACAAAAATTATCCAGGCATGGTGGTGCACACCTATAATCCCAGCTACTCGGGAGGCTGCAGGAGAATCTCTTGAACCTGGGAGGCGGAGGTTGCAGTGAGCCAAGATCACGCCACTGCACTCCAGCCAGCCTGGGCGACAAAGCGAGACTCCATCTCAAAAAAAAAAAAAAAAAAAATCTCCGTCCCCTAGTGTTACCTGGCAGAGACTTTGGCAGCAGATGATCAGCATCTTAGGAGATGATTATGTGAATATAAAAGGAAACCACCTATAATTCCAGTGCTTTGAGAGGCCAAAGCAGGAGAATCTCTTGAGGCCAGGAGTTCAAGACCAGCCTGGGCAACATAGTGGGACCCTTCCCCCATCTCTAATAAAAAAATAAAATAAAATAAAATAAAAATGAATTTTAAAAAATATTCTGTGAGAAAAATTCATCCTCCCCCATTAATAGAATTTATACTCATTCTAAATCAATAAGCCAGAATAATGGGGTTTTACTTTATTTCACAGAATCAGAGGGTCTTACAGTAGGAAGGAAATTTCAAAGCTACTTAATCCAAAACACCCATTCAATAGCTAGATCCCGTCCATCAGCCTCTCCATGAAGTTCTGCAGCAAGACCGACGTAACAGAGACAGCCTCACTTTCTGAAGGCAGTTAGAAAGTGCTTCGATATGCTGATACAGGATCTATTTCCTCGTAACTTCCTCCCACTTGTTTACCAAACAATACTTTTGGGACCAAACAGAACGAATTGAATTCCCCTGCCACATGGCAGCACTTGTAGTGTTTGGAGACAGTTCTGATGGCCTCTCCCAACATACGCCATCCCCACCCTCTTCCTGTCCCACCTTCTCTAGACTAACATCTCCAGCTCCTCATATGGTGGCCATTGTTCTTGTCCCTTGACATCTGCGTTGTTTTTTCCTGAATATGATCCAGTTTGTCCACATTCCTCAAAGGGTGGGCCTACAGTAGTCTTGATAAGGGGTTGCAAATTCAGATACCTCCAGAGATTAGACCCTAACTAGAGATAAACATGAGGTCCCTGGGGTAGCTCACACCTGTAATCCCAGCACTTTGGGAGGTAGAGACGGGTGGATCACGAGGTTAGGAGTTTGAGACTATCCTAGCCAACTCAGCGAAAGCCTGTCTCTACTAAAAATAAAAATACAAAAATTAGCCAGGCATGGTGGTGCACACCTGTAGTCCCAGCTACTCAGGAGACTGAGGCAGGAGAATTGCTTGAACCCAGGAGGCAGAGGTTGCAGTGAGCCGAGATCGTGCCATTGCACTCCAGCCTGGGTGACAGAGCAAGACTCTGTCTCAAAAAAAAAGATAAACATGCAATTGTGGCCCAGTATAGAGACATGAGGAATGGTGGGAGCTGGACTTAGCCCTGATTTAAGGCTTTCATATTCAAAACTTTAAACTCAGGTGCTGGTCAAAGAGTATTGGGGCATGGAGTCATATTTGCCCTTCTGGGCCACTGGTTATCTGTTCAAGGTAAAGCTGTCCCCTCCCTGATACTAAAAGGCAGTTGTCACTATATTAGCTATGATGTGTACAATCAGCTCCCCTCTTTGAATATGTCCTCTTATCAACTCAGTTTTGCCTTTGGTGGGGTAGCTCATTACTTTAGTCTGGTCAAGACATTTTAGGATTCTGATTCTATAGTATTACTGAGACAAATGGTTCCCTATCGTGTGTGTGTGTGTGTGTGTGTGTGTGTGTGTATATGCATGTGTATGTATACATGTGTATATATATACACAAAATTTGTATATTATGCATTATATAATTTATACGTTATATAAATGTTGAATTTTACTTAAGCCCTGTCATCCTGGAAAAGAGTAAAGACTGAGAAATCCCCCCACCCTTTGGTTGTAGAGAATGGCTTCCTGAAAAGAACCACCTTTCCCATATGACATACGTAAGACCTATACATGCCCCCCCAACTTGTTAACAAGGCCAGACCCTACTGCTTCTCTACACTGATCGATCAGAACAAAATGCTTGTTCAGCACACCTTGGTTCAGCTGCCCTCCTTCCCCCAAGCTCCTAAATGCTGTCCTGCCTCAGCCTACGCCAGCACACAGCCCCTCCCGAGAACAGACTGGCCTCAAGGTCAAACATTCTCTCATCTACTGTCCCATCACATCGCCTTTCATCCCACTTCTCCATACCTGGTTCTCTTCGCGTTTACTCCTCTCTATACAAGAAAACCTCGGCCGGGTGAGGTGGCTTATACCTGTAATCCCAGCACTTTGGGAGGCCGAGGCGGGCGGATCACGAAGTCAAGAGATCGAGACCATCGTGGCCAACATGGTGAAACCCCGTTTCTACCCAAAATACAAAAATTAGCTGGGCATGGTGGTGCATGCCTGTAGTCTCAGCTACTGGGGAGGCTGAGGCAGGAGAATCGCTTGAACCCGGGAGGTGGAGGTTGCAGTGAGCCGAGATCGAGCCACTGTACTCCAGCCTGGCAACAGAGCGAGACTTCATCTTAAAAAAAAAAAAAAAAAGAAAACCTCTTTTTGCCGAACCGTAGGAAGCTTGCAGATCTTATGGTCAATGCATTCTCCCTATTGCAACAGTCCCTCTCTCTTACTGCAAGAGTCTATTTCTCCTCCTTGCAATAATCCTTTTGAATAAAATCTCTTCTTACTGGTCCAGATTTACTTGACAATATACATTATAATAATCTGTTAATATTATTATATTAGCTCACCTAAGTTTGCTTTTTTAAGAAAAAAAAAGGAGACGGGCTCACTGTCATCCAGAGACACTGCTGGAGTGCAATGAGGCAGTCATAGCTCACTGCAGCCCTGAATTCCTGGGTACTAGTGATTCTCCCACCACAGCTTCCCAAATAACTAGGACGACAGCTGTGCACCACCATACCCAGCTAATTTTTGAACTTTTCTGTAGAGACAAGGTCTTGCTATGTTGCCCAGGCTGGTCTCAAATACCTGAGCTCAAGTGATCCTCCCACCTCAGTTTCCCAAAGTGTTGGGAATACAAGCGTGAGCCACCACACCTAGCTAGTTTGAATTTATTTTAGCACTATTGAATCACAGTGATTGTCATCCTAAATCTTTTTCCCATATGCTGCTGTTAAACCTCAGCTCCCCTCTTCAAGCATGTCCTCTTATCAATTGATTTTTTTTCCTTTGATGGAGCATCTCATTACTTCAGCCTGGTCAAGGCATTTTAGGATTCTGATTCCTATAATATTACTGAGGCAAAGTGGTTCTCTATCATTTACTGAATTGGTCAAATAGGCTCTTATAGCTTCATTTATGTCATCAATAAAACATGTTTACAATACAGGACCAAAAGTTGAGTCTTCAGGAATGTTTAGAAACCTTTCTCCCAATCCCTTTTATTAATAGTTAATGTAGAGTAGTCAACTCTATAATGTAGAGGTAACACATTAAATATGAAAAATCATTGGCATTTCCTTAAGGCAGAGACACTTCATAAATATTTGTTAAATGAATGGTTCAAGAAAGAGCCACAACTACATTTCAATTTAATATTGTTTGATTTAATTGAGCATTTATATTAAGTTCTATTCTTACAAATTAAAAAAAAAATACCAGTATACTCCAGGGAAGAAAAAGAAAGAAAAGGGCCAGGCATGGTGGCTCAAGCCTGTAATCCCAGCACTTTCGGAGGCCGAGGCGGGTGGGTCACTTGAGGTCAGGAGTTCGAGATCAGCCTCACCAACATGGTGAAACGCTGTCTCTAATAAAAATACAAAAATTAGCCAGGCGTGGTGGTGCATGCCTGTAATCTCAGTTACTCAGGAGGTTGAAGCAGGAGAATTGCTTGAACTCAGGAGGCAGAGGTTGCAGTGAGCTGAGATGACACCACTGCACTCCAGCCTGGGTGACAGAGCAAGACTCTGTCTCAAAAAAAAAAAGAAAAGAAAAGAAAAAGAAAGAAAGGCCGGGCGCAATGGCTCATGCCTGTAATCCCAGCACTTTGGGAAGCCAAGATGGAAAGGATTGCTTCAGCCCAGAAGTTTGAGACCAGCCTCCACAACATGGCAAAACCTCGTCTACAAAAAAATACAAAAATTAGCCAGATGTGGTAGCATGCACCTGTAGCCCCAGCTACTTGGGAGGCTGAAGTGGGGGAATCACTCGAGCCCAGGAGTTCTAGGCCGCAGTGTGCTATGATTGCACCACTACATTCCAGCCTGGGCAACAGAGCAAGACCCTATAAAAAGAAAGAAAAAGACAGACAGACAGAAAGAAGAAAGAAAGAAAGAGAAGAAGAAAAAGAGAGAGAAGGAAATTAACTGGCTCTGAATCATGTATTCATCTTCTGAATATGTGAATATCATAGTAGAAACCAATTTTTACAATTTTCATTCATTTATTCAACAAATATTTATTAATATTTATTGTATACCTACTGGTACCAGAACACTATTCTAGGCACCAAAGATAAAGAAGTAAACAAAACAGAGTTCCTACCCTTGTTGAGCTCACATTCTAGTAGCGAACATACAGTAAGCAAGTAAGCCAATCCATGGATAATATAACGTCAGCTTATAATAAGGGCCATGTAGAAAAATAGAGCAGGGGCCAGGCACAGTGGCTCACACCTAATCCCAGTACTTTGGGAGGCCGAGGTGGGTGGATCACCTGAGGTCAGGAGTTTGAGACCAGCCTGGCCAACATGGCGAGACCCCCGTCTCTGCTAAAAATACAAGAATTAGCCGGGCGTGGTGGTGCATGCCTGTGGTCCCAGCTACTTGGGAGGCTGAGGCAGGAGAATCGCTTGAACCTGGGAGGCGGAGGTTGTGGTGAGCCGAGATCGCGCCACTGCACTCCAGCCTGGGTGCAATGAGACAGAGTGAGACCTGTCTCAAAAAAATACATTAAATAAATAAATAATAATAATAATAATAAAAGTTAAACTTTAAAATAGAGCAGGGTTGGGGATAGAGAAGGATGGGGCAGAGTGACACTTCAGACAGAGTTGTCAGGAAAAGGCCCTTGGAAAGTGAATAAAGGTGGAGAAGCCAGGCAAACACCTGACAGTAGAACATCCCAGGCCAAGAGAAAGGCAAGGGCAAAGGTCTCTCATGGAAACACGGCTAGTTTCTTTGAGGGACAAAAAGGAAAGCCAGCGTGGCCACAGCAGAATAAGAAGGAGGTAGAAAATGTAATGTGAGCTGGGCAGGAACCAGGTCATGTACAGCCTGGAAAGCCATGTAAGGACCTTAGATTTCGTCCAATGTGGCTGGAAGCCATTGGAGGACAGAACAGGAGCGTGACGTGGTCTACTTTTTATTTTGAGAGATCGCTTTGGCTGTTGGGTAAGAAATACACTGAACTTAGAAGGGACAAGAGGAACTTGATCTTTTTTTTCTCTGTGTCTTTCTTACATCTTTTTTACAACTCTGGTAAGGACCTATTTAGAGTTTTTACATATTTCAGCACCAATGAAATGGACGGGATTAGTGTAGTGCCCATTCAAAGATGTATAAGCTTTAGAATAGTTGCTTTAAAAGTTATTGTAAAGTTCACCTATCCATGAAATGTGAAATGCTTAGGTTGAAAATTACTTCCAACTTTTCTTGAAGATATGTGTACCAAGTAACTAACGTAGCTCTGCACGTATCAGAACCCTAGAGGCAAATAGCTAAGGTTAGTCTCAACAATGCTTCTTTTAAGAAAGTAGATGCCAATGCCCTTTCAAAGAAAATTGTACAGAAACTGTAAGGCTATCAAAGCAGAGGTAAAGAAGCAAGAGGAAATACTGAAGTAAAAAGCTCTGCGTTTTCAATATGCTGTGTGTGCTATTAACCGTAAAAACTGCACGTATAAATGTATTCAATCGAAGCTCCATTATATGATATGCACTGCTAGTGATTACTCAAAATCCACCACCATCCTCTAACTTTTACCTTGTGAACTAAACCCCAATTTGATTCAGAACAGTGGTGTGCCTGGTCTTGGGTGAATCAAAATTGGTCTAAACTGTTCAATGATAACCCTTCCGTGCCTTTCCACCTTCCTTTGAAAGTGGAGGTGGCCAAATGACCCAGTTCCAGCCAATGAGACACAAGCAGAAATCTGCTTGGGGGTGTGGTCTGGGGGTGTGAATATGATAGTAGAACCTTCTTTTCTTTTTTTGGTGGCATCTGTGAACAATTCACTTTCTAATTGTGGATCACACAGTCTTTTCATGGCTCATGTTACTGTCTTACAACTTCCAGCCCCTCTTTCCACCCCCACTCTTAAATGAAAGATAAAACAAAAAAGGAGGCCAGTTGGAATTTATTTTCCTCCCTCTGTAGCAGATGTTAAAGCTTTAACTTTACTGACAAAAATTGTCTTGACACAGCTGGCTTCCCCTTCCTCCTCTCTTCCTGCCTTGTTTGTGGGCGTGTGGGCTACTACTCAGGCATGCTGCAACAATGGGGAAAAAGCCAAGAGATTTACCAGGATGCTGGTCCTAATGTCATTAGCCACCAAACCAACACTGTTAGCGGTGGAAGTTATCCGGGTCATAAGGCACCAAAATATGTTACTGTTCACGAATCTGCATAGGTCTGCAGCAACCTCAGTTCTTGCCTCCTCAGAAGAAAGAATTCGACCAAGGGGCATAAGGCAGAAGACACTGAGGCAAGTTTTAGAGCAGGAGTGAAAGTTTATTAAAAAGCTTTAGAGCAGGAGCAAAAGGAAGTAAAGTACACTTGGAAGTAGGCCAAGCGGGAGACGAGAGAGCCAAGTGTGTGGTTTGACCTTTTGACTTGGGGTTTTATATGTTGGCATACTTCTGGGGTCTGTATCTCTTCCCCAGATTCTTCCTCAGGGTGGGTTTCCGCATGCACAGTGGCCTGCCAGCACTTGGGAGGTGAGCATGCCCAGTGTGTTTACTGGAATTGTATGCATGCTCACTGGAGGCATTCTCCCTTACCAGACCAATGTCCCCAGGAGGTCGTATACCATTAAACTCCACCATTTTGCCTTAATGTGCATGTGTGAGCTCACTTGCCCAACTCCTGAGATCTTATTGAGAGGTGACAGCATGCTGGCAGCCCTCGCTCACTCTCGGCGCCTCCTCTGCCTGGGCTCCCACTTTGGCGGCACTTGAGAAGTCCTTCAGCCCATCGCTGCACTGTGGGAGCCCCTTTCTGGGCTGGCCAAGGCCGGAGCTGGCTCCCTCAGCTTGCAGGGAGGTGTGGAGGGAGAGGCGCGAGCGGGAACCAGGGCTGCACACGACGCTTGCGGGCCAGCTGGAGTTCCGGGTGGGCGTGGGCTTGGCGGCCCCGCACTCGGAGCGGCCAGCCGGCCCTGCCGGCCTGGGCAATGAGGGGCTAAGCACCCCGGCCAGCGGCTGCGGAGGGTGTACTGGGTCCCCCAGCAGTGCCGGCCCACCGGCGCTGCACTCGATTTCTCGCCGGGCCTTAGCCACCTTCCCGGGGGGCAGGGCTCGGGACCTGCAGCCCGCCATGCCTGAGCCTCCCCGACTCCGTGGACTCCTGTGCGGCCCGAGCCTCCCCGACGAGCACCGCCCCCGCTCCACGGCGCCCAGTCCCATCTACCACCCAAGGGCTGAGGAGTGCAGGCACAGGGCGCGGGACTGACAGGCAGCTCCACCTGCGGCCCGGTGCCGTATCCACTGGGTGAAGCCAGCTGGGCTCCTGAGTCTCGTGGGGACTTGGAGAACCTTTATGTCTAGCTAAGGGATTCTAAATACACCAATCGGCACTCTGTATCTAGCTCAAGGTTTGTAAACACACCAATCAGCACCCTGTGTCTAGCTCAGGGTTTGTGAATGCACCAATCCACACTCTGTATCTAGCTACTCTGGTGGGGACTTGGAGAACCTTTGTGTCTAGCTCAGGGATTGTAATCAGCGCCCTGTCAAAACAGACCACTCGGCTCTCTGTAAAATGCACCAATCAGCAGGATGTGGGTGGGGCCAGATAAGAGAATAAAAGGAGGATGCCTGAGCCAGCAGTGGCAACCCGCTCGGGTCCCTTTCCACGCTTTGGAAGTTTTGTTCTTTCCCTCATTGCAATAAATCTTGCTGCTGCTCGCTCTTTGGGTTCACACTGCCCTTATGAGCTGTAACACTCACCGCGAAGGTCTGCATCTTTACTCCTGAAGCCAGGGAGACCACGAACCCACCAGGAGGAACGAACAACTCCAGACGCGCCGCCTCGAGAGCTGTAACACTCACCGCGAAGGTCCGCAACTTCACTCCTGAGCCAGCGAGACCGGGAACTCACCAGAAGGAAGAAACTCCGAACACATCCGAACATCAGAAGGAACAAACTCCCGACATGCCGCCTTTAAGAATTGTAACACTCACCACGAGGGTCCGTGGCTTCATTCTTGAAGTCAGTGAGACCAAGAACCCACCAATTCCGGACACATTATCAGGAAACCTCTGATCACCAGTTTCAGGTTTTTCCTATCTATAGGTAGACTGCCCTTTCCTGGTACTTGCTGCGACCAATTATTATTTTAGAGAGACAGTTAACAACCACCTGACCATCCATCATCCAATGGTCGCCTGAAATTCCTGGTTGGTGGTGGGGGAACCCTCTCCTGCCCTGTTCTTTTCTGACTAGTACTGTAACAACATCATCAGCACTTACTTCCAGACTTCTTGTTAAGAACTAGAAACTTTTGTATATTTAAGTCTCTGTAAATTGGGTTTTCTGTTACTTATAGCCAAACCCTTTTTTTTTTTTTTTTGGAGCGACAGTCTTGCTCTGTCGCCCAGGCTGCAGGGCAATGCCTGGGCTCACTGCACCTGTGCCTCCCAGATTCAGGCGATTCTCCTGCTTCAGCCTCCCAAGTAGCTGGGATTACAGGCATGTGCCACCAAGCCCGGCTAGTTTTGTATTTTTAGTAAAGACTGGGTTTCACCATGTTGGTCAGGCTGGTATCAAACTCCTGACCTCTAGTGATCCACCTGCCTCAGCCTCCCAAAGTGCTGGGATTACAGATGTGAAACACTGCACCCGGCCAGGAGCTACACTCTTGATTCAAGACTTTTTCCCCATTTCTTTTCTTTCCTTTTAATGGCATCTGTGAACCATTCACTTTCTAATTGCGGGTCACAAAGTATTCTCATGGCTCATGATACTGTCTTATAACTTCCAGCCCCTCTTTCTACCCCAACTCTAAATGAGATAAAAAAGGAGGCCATTGGAATTTATTTTCCTCCCTGTGTAGCAGATGTTAAATTCAAACTTTTTTAATGAGAGCATATTAAAAGCAGCATCTTTTTATCCCAGAGCCACTGCCCCCCGCATTTGAAGCCCCAGCCCTCAGGAGGAAACCTCAGGGATCTTTTCATCCAGGGTGTGGAGGGAGGGCTCTGAAGCTGGGTGCTGCCTCTCCCTCCACCACTTCCCCACCGTGGGACTTGGGCAAGATTTTGAATCACTCTGGGTCACAGTTTACTCATCCGAGGGGGGTTGGATTAAAGAATCTTGGAAGTTTTTCTAGTTCCTGAGTCAATAAGTTGCCTCAAAAAATTGAATGTAAAACCACTGGCCACTTTTAGAAAAAAGTTACTTTCCCAATTTTTTTTTTTTTTTTTTTTGAGAGACAGGGTCTTGCATTGTCACCCAGGCTAGAGTGTTGTGGCACCATCATAGCTCATAACTGCGAGCCAGGTTCAGGCAAGCCTCCCGCCTCACCCTCCAGAGTAGCTGAGACTACAGGTGCACACCACTGCACCTGGCTCAGTTTTGTATTTTTTTTGTAGCGACGGGGGTCTCTGCGCCCGGCCACTTTCCCTCTTTATTCTACTTTTCTCAATAACCAGAGATCATCTCATTAATTTGGTTTTATGAGAGTTTATTGCTAATCTTAGTCATTTGGGGTGAAGATTCTCAGTTAAGGTAAATGTTTGAGAAGCTGCCCCTTTAATTCAGATCCATATTTTTAATCTGTTTAGAGTTTCACAGGACAAATAATAGTACTTCTCTGCTCTGCTTCAGTATTTTTTTTTTTTTTTTTTTTTGAGACAGAGTCTCACTCTGCCACCCAGGCTAGAGTGCAATGGCATCATCTTGGCTCACTGCAACCTCTGCCTCCCAGGTTGAAGCAATTCTCCTACCTCAGCCTCCTGATTAACTGAGATTACAGGCACGGGCTACCATGCCTGGCCAATTTTGTATTTTTATTAGAGATGGGGTTTCACCATGTTGGTCGGGCTGGTCTCGAACTCCTGACCTCAAGTGATCCACCCGCCTTGGCCTCCCAAAGTGCTGGGATTACAGGCATGAGCCACCACGCCCAACTGCTTTAGTACTTTCCCCCCGCCCCCCGAGACAGAGTTCTCACTCTGTCTCGCAGGCTGAAGTGCAGTGGTGCAATCTCGGCTCAGTGCACCCTCTGCCTCCCGGGTTCAAGCGATTCTCCTGCCTCGGCCTCCCCAGTAGCTGGGATTACAGGCACGCGCCACTATGCCTGGCTAATTTTTGTAATTTTAGTAGAGACGGGGTTTCACCAAGTTGGCCAGGTTGTTTATAAACTCCTGACCTCAGGTGATCCGCCCACCTCAGCCTCCCAAAGTGCTGGGATTACAAGGGTGAGCCACTGCACCTGGCCTGTGCTTCAGTACTTTTGATGTGAGAGGTATTTATTGTTCATGCCTGACCATAACACCTGTATGTTATTAAATTATCTCTCTCTCTCTCTCTCTCTCTCTCTCTCTCTTTCTCTTTCTCTCTCTCTCTCTCTCTCTCTCTCTCTCTCTCTCTCTCTCTCTCTCTCTCTCCTCTCTCTCTCTCTCTCTCTCTCTCTCATCCTTCCGGCTAAATCAGTTTTCCGCATCTTTTGACTTTTGTCCGGAATAGCAGCTGCACCTGATTCACAAGTGTCCAGCCTTGTTTTCTCATTCACACTCTGATACTCACAGTCACCTCACAGCCCTCTGACTATAGATCTTATGGGTGTCAACTTCTCCAGGGTGCCTTTCTAGATACCCAGGCCGGATTCTTTGTAAAGCAATGGGTTAAAGAGAAAATGAAGGGTGAAAAAGGAACTTTCCTTGCCACCGTAACAGAAATACAAGCTCTTACTCAAGTAGAGAAAGAAAAAGCAAAATCCAAGCTCACACAATTCCACCTCTGATTTAACTCCATAAAACGCCTGAGGCCAATTCACTTAAGACTTATTTACATTTTATAGCTCATTTTTACTACAGCATCGTGAGCCTGTTATTCTGCCCAATTTTGTCATATTTCAACAAATGAAATGGGATTTTGCTGTTCAGCTGCCTAAAGAACAGAAACATTTGCTGAAGAGAAATACAAGAAGCCAAGGAACATAGACCTGGTTATTATTTCTCATCGTTATCACCCAAGAACATCTAGCACGCCTTTTTCTTCTTCCTTGTGAGGAAGCTGGAAGCTTTAAGGCCCAAATCTGAGCCACATGCTTTTCACTTCCTGGCCTCCTCCCTGGGCCTCCACAGCACCCGCTGCACACACAAAGGCTCCATCTTCTGCTTGCAGACTCGGGCACCACCACTTCTACATTTTTTTTCAGAAGTAAATGAGGCATAAAAAGTCAATACTCTGCATACATATCAGCCCCAAAAAATAAATGGCTGCCTGCTGGCCCCATCCATTCCCTTGATTTGTACTGACCCTTGTGTGGCTCCAAACCGTCTCAGCTTTATGAAGCGCTTTCATGTTCATTAAACTCAGAGTCCTCTCCCTAAACCTGAGAGAAGAGTATCCTTCTCTTTGTGTTACAGAACAGAAAATGGCTGAGCAGAGGGGAGGTAACTGGCCAAGGTCACACAGGTCAGTGGCAGACCCAGAACTCTAACCCCCAGTCCAGAGTTTATTTTTCTATAACCTGTACAAGGTTCTCCCTTGAGTCGAGACATACATAAATCAGAGCCTTACTGGGCAATGTTGGGTTCCAGAAAAAATAGTCTCAGAAGCCAGTCACGGTGGCTTATACCTGTAATCCCATCACTTTGTGAGGCTGAGGTGGGTGGATAGCTTGAGTCCAGGAGTTCGAGACCTGCCCCGGCAATATGGCAAAACCCTGTCTTTGCAAAAAAAAAAAAAACACACAAAAAATGAGCTGAGCGTGATGGCACACCTCTGTAGTCCCAGCCACTCAGGAGGCTGAGGTGAGAGCATCACCTGAGCCCAGGCAATTGAGGCTGCGCTGAGCTGAGATCGTGCCACTGTACTTCAGCCTAAGTGACAGAGTGAGACCCTGTCTCAAGAGAAAAAAAAAAGAAAGTCTCAGAAGATGCAGAATGAAGTAGTGCTAAGAACTCAGGCTGTGGAGCCAGAGAACCAAGGTGTAGATCTGAACTCTACCTGCTAATAACTGTATGATGCTGGTAATTTCGGGAGACTTCATTCATGCGAAGCTTCATGTGAGTTGCTCCCCCATGTGAATGACACCTAAGGTTTTCGGTGTAGGTGTCTTGGGAATTACATGACTTCCCTGTGACTCAGTAGTTCCATCGGAGAAAGGGGCATAATGATAACTATTTCCAAGGCTGTCATGGCAACTGAATAAAACAAAGCCTACAAAGAGCAGATAAAGCCTGGCCCAATCACAGATGCCCCAGATGCCCTGTCTCCTTTGAGGACTATTTCCCACATCCCCACCCTGCTGGGTATTATCCCTTGCTGTGGAAATGCTTGCCGCTAGTGAACGGCTTCCCCTCCATGCCCTCGGCTCCTCCCACAGCTGGGACATCCCATAATCCACACTGTGTCAGGCACTGCACTAAGCCAAAGCATGCGTGCTCTTCCTCGATCCCCATGTTTCAGGATCTCCCGTACCTTTCACTAATCCAGACCCTCACTGAAGAATGAGCACCCCAAGGTGCTCCAGCAGCACCTGGATAAGGGGATTCTCTTCTCAGTACTGCCATTAACACTCTAGGTGACCCGCAGGCCCGGGATGTCCCTGCTCTGAGTCTCAACTAATTCATCTACCAGGAAAGGTGTCTTAATACCTGTCCTGTCCCTTAAGAGATTCCTGTCTGTATAAGCAGGATGAATCATGTGAAGCCATAAATGAGAGTAGGGAGGAAGGTGAATTGAATGTAAGAGGCTCTGAGTTATTGTTGAAAGAAATGGCCAGGCTCTTACTAACTGCCAAGAACCCCATTTTAAAATCTACCTCTGGGTCAAGCGTTGTGGTTCGTGCCTATAATCCCAGTACTTTGGGAGCCTGAGGAGGGAGGATCAGTTGAGCTCAGAAGTTCAAGACCAGCCTGGGCAACATAGTGAAACCTTGTCTCTATAAAAAAAAATTAAAAATTAGCTGGGCATGGTGGTGTGTGCCTGTAGTCCCAGCTACTCAGGAGGCTGAGACGGAAGGATCACTTAAGCCCAAGAGGTCAAGTCTGTAGTGAGCCATGATCACGTTGTGCCTGTATACTCCAGCCTGGGCGACAGAGCAAGACACTGTCTCAAAAAATAAAGATAAAAATCTACCTCTGAGGGCCGGGTGTGGTGGCTCACGCCTGTAATCCCAGCACTTTGGGAGGCTGAGGCAGGCGGATCACTGGAGGTCAGGAGTTTGACATGGGCTGACCAACATGGTGAAACCCTGTCTCTACTAAAAATACAAAAATTAGCCGGGCATGGTGGCACAGGCCTGTAATCCCAGCTACTTGGGAGGCTGAGGCAGGAGAATCACTTGAACCTGGGAAGTGGAGGTTGCAGTGATCCGAGATGGCACCATTTCACTCCAACCTGGGCGACAAAAGCATAACTCTGACTCAAAAAAAAAAAAAAAAAATCTTCCTCTGAGAAGTACAAACAGAACCTGACAGTATTGGAGGCAGAAATCTAAACACAAACATAGTAAGAAAATAGGAAGCTTCATGTAATGTGCTATGCAATGCTAGAAAGGAGAACATGAGGGAATTCCTGCTGAACTATACTAGGACTCCTAGACTAAGGCAGAGACAGACATCAGAGAACCTTAGGATACCCTGCAGACCTCTTCTGTATTCCTGGTTTCAAGGTGACCATGTGGACTGAGGGCCAAATTACTGCCAATCAGATCTAGCCCACCTGTGTGTCTCTTACCTGTGCAAACCCATGGGCAAGCATATGGACTCCTCCCTCTTTTCTTTCCCCTGCTCTCCTTTGCATAGTTTTAAAGAATGGAAAAGTAGCAGATTCCCTGAAGTTAGTTGTGGGATATAGTACGTGCCTAAGGTGATCATGTTTCTGAATGCAAATTCCCCATGGAGTGTATTTATGGGACAATTGGGTGTCATATATGACTTAGAAACTCCCCTAGAGAACTAAGATGTGAACAGGCCAGAGATGTTCCTTCAATTCCATGTGCGTGTGCCAAGCACCTGCTGCCACACACCAGGCCTGCTGGGCACTGGACGTAGGGACAGAAAGCATGAGCCTGGGCCCCCAAGGGTTCATGCCATAATGGGTGGGGCAAGGAGGATTTCGGTTCTGGCTATTTGCTTTCATTATTATCTCAACTGCTTTCATTGCTTTTTGGTTTTTTTGTTTTGGTTTGGTTTGAGATGGAGTCTCGCTCACGGCTCACTGCAACCTCTGCCTCCTGGGTTGATGTGATTCTTGTGCCTCAGCCTCCTGTAGCTGGGATTACAGGCCCGTGCTACCACGCCCGGCTAATTTTTGTATTTTTAGTACAGACGGGGTTTCATCATGTTGGGCAGACTGCTCTTGAACTCCTGACCTCAAATGATCTGCCTGCCTCAGCCTCCCAAAGTGCTGGGATTACAGGAGTGAGCCACCATGCCTGGCCTAGGTTTATTAAAAATTATTATTATTTACTAAGTCTTTTTTTTTCCAGGATGATGGGGATGAGGAGACAATAGCCCCAGCATCTGGTCATAATTTGTAAATCTCGACATTCTCCCTAACACCAGCTGGAAATATTTCATGCTCTAGCATCGTTTTACAAGTTGCTGGCAAAAAATAAGCATCCATCTTATTTAAAGACTGTAATAAAATGAGAAAGATGGTTATTTGCCTTATTTTTTGTCTTTTTTTTTTCCTTTTATAAAAACAGTTAGTTGTTTGCGGTGCCTTCAAAGAATGTTAAGTTAATAAAAGCCAGCCTTTACCTTACAATCTTTATTCAACAGTAAGGTTTGTCAGATACCAAGGGCTGGTTTCTCCCAAAAATCATTAAAGGTCTGGCTCCAAAGGTGTGCAAGCCACCAGTTAACCGGGGCCAGCCTTTGTTTTCCTAGGCTCTGCTGCCCCCTGTCAGAAGCTAAGAATGTTACAGGAAATAGAATATTTTGAACAAAGGTTTTCACAGAACAGCAGTTTTACGCTCTGTCAGGTGATGAAATAGAATACTCTCCCACCTTGTGAATGAAGACCATTGAATTATTTGCTTAAAAATATGCCTACTTGCTTGGCTGCCTAGAAGTTCTTGCACAACTCCCAGCAGTAATAACCTGTCTGAAATAATTCAGGCGGCGGCTGTCATTCACTGAGTCCGTCTGCACATGTACAGGGAGCGGCAGATGGGTGCTGGGGGCGTGAGTTGTGTATCCATTCACAGACCATCGGGGAAGACGACTGAACAGATGACTTCCACGTCGTAGAGCAAGGGAGAAGTGTGTGCACCCCAGGTGCTGGGGGAGCACGTCAATGCAGCACTTTCGCCAGGGGGGTCCTAATGAAGTCGAAGGAGTCCATTCTCAAAGAACTAGCGGGGACCAGCCAGCTGAAGGGGAAGCAAAGGGCTTTTCTGGATAGTAGCAACTGCATGTGCCAAGGCAGAGGCCCCTGGAAGAGGGTGGTAAGTTCTGGCAATAGCAAGAGGGGACTGAATTATACTCTGAGCACCCCAGCTGCTACTCCGCTGCCTGGCAACTGCTGGTCCCCGGGCCACTTCATCTCCCATTGCCTCAGTGTATGGCCAGGTCAGAGGCCAAGACAAAGGCAAGCAAAAGGGCCCTGGAGGGGTATCCAAGGCACACTAAAGTGCTGGCGGTTGCCTTGTGTTCTGCATGCATTCTTTTTTTTTTTTTTTTTGCTTTATTAAAATACTGAGTTTTATTTCACATGTATATTTTTGTCTCCCCACCATTTCCACGTCTGACCACCGCTACTACTATGTCCTATCATAACATTCCATACATACTTAAAACCAAGCAAAGGGTGGAGTTCCATCTTTAAAAACTAAGCAGGCATTTTGGACAACACATTCTTGGCAATGGAACCTGGACAACATTTATCAAACATGGTAGGGAAAGTTCTCACTCTGCATTATAAAAAGGACAGCCAGATATCAACTGTTACAGAAATGAAATAAGATGGAAATTTTTTAACAAATTGTTTAAACTGTTTTCTTAAAGAGACTTCCTCCACTGCCAGAAATCTTGAATAGCCTCCTGCTCAGTCATCCAGAAGCAATTCTTCACATAACTGATGAACTTGGCTTCCACTTTGGGAAGAGAACCACATTTTTCTATACTTGCTTGCATTTTTGCTTTAATGTCTTCTACAGAACTAGGTCCTTTTAGGTGTTTTAGGAGTTTTTTCCTGTTTTTTGAAGGATTCTTGTCCTTTTGATCTTGGTGTTGATGATGGTTTTGAGTCTTTTCCATTCTGATTTGACTTTTGTGCATTTTTGGCTCGAGTATCTTGAATAGATTTCTTCACTGGCGCTTTTTCTTCAGCTTCCTCATCATCAAAGTCATCATCATCATCTTCATCATCGTGATCTTCGTCATCATCTTCTTCATCAGCAGCAAGTTTTACTTTTTTCTGTGGAATCTTGCTACCACCTCAGACCACTTTCCTGATATACGTAAGAGTTTCACATCCTCCTCCTCTCATCTTCTGACTTTGCATCTTCCTCCACAGCTACTAAGTGCTGTCCACTAATATGCACTGGCCCTGAATCACACTTGAACCTTAACACCACTGGTGATGTTATTTCAAAGCCCCCAAGGGAAACCGTTGGCTGTACAGACATTTTCTTTTTTTTCTTTTCTTTTTTTTTTTTTTTTTTTTGAGATGGAGTCTCGCTCTGTTGCGCAGTCTGGAGTGCAGTGGCGCAATCTCGGCTCACTGCAAGCTCCATCTCCCGGGTTCACGCCATTCTCCCGCCTCAGCCTCCCGAGTAGCTGGGACTACAGGCGCCCGCCACCATGCCTGGCTAATTTTTTTTGTATTTTTAGTAGAGACAGGGTTTCACCATGTTAGCCAGGATGGTCTCGATCTCCTGACCTTGTGATCTGCCTGCCTCGGCTCGGCCTCCCAGAGTGCTGGGATTACAGGCGTGAGCCACCACAGACATTTTCAAAGTTGCCAGTGTTACTTTAATTGGACTGCCTTCATCATTCATGGCCTCTGCTTCAACAATGTGCAGTTCATCCCTTGCACCAGCCCCTAAACTGACCGTTCTTAAAGATAACTGGTCTCATCTTCATCATTATCCACCTTAAAGTGATCATCTTTGTCGGCCTTTAGTTCACAACCGAAAAGATAGTTCTGGGGCCTCAGGGGGCTCATGTCCATGTCCATTGAATCTTCCATCAGATGGTGGCACGCACTTAGGTGGGAGAGAAGGAGGACGGAGATAAACGAACGCTGCTCCAGAGAACAGCCACGCAGGACGGAATCACACCAGGGATGTTCTGTATGCATTCTATCCACATCCACAAGAGTTCAAATATTTTGCTATCTGGCCGTGCACAGTGGCTTACGCCTGTAATCCCAGCACTTTAGGTGGCTGAGGTAGGTGGATCACTTGAGCCCAGGAGTTCGAGACCAGCCTGGCCAACATGGCAAAACCCATCTCTAAAAAAACACAAAAATTACCCGGGCATTGTGCTATGTGCCTGTAGTCCCACCTACTCAGGAGGCTGAGGTGGGAGGATCACCCGACCAAGCCCAGGAGGTCGAGGCTGCAGTGAGCCAAGATCACGCCACCGCACTCCGGCCTGAGCGACAGAGCAAGAACTTGTCTCAAAATATATACGTGTGTGTGTGTGTGCTATCTACTGAGGACTCTATCTCAAAGAGAAAGGGGACCACTAAACAGCCAACAGAGATTTGTACATAGTCAGAACTACTGTTCACAAAATGACACAAGGAAACACCAAGCGGGGAGTAAACAGTGATCATCTGTGGGATCTGAAAACTCTACCTCCAGGAAACACCTAAATTGATTGCTCATAAAACTATTTCCTCTGCCCGGCTGCCCACCATCTGGGAAGTGAGAAGCACCTCTGCCCGGCCGCTGTGCAACCCTCCAAGTGTGAAGTGACAGCCTTGTGTGTGATATTTCTGCCCTCCCCAAGTTTGCATTTTCAACATTAAAGTTTACTTTTTAATTAAAAGTTTTAAATTGGAGAATATTAAAAAACTATTTCCCCTCAGTGCTGAACTTGTTTCACCTCATGAAACCAGTTAACTAAGTGACAAAAGAAAGTTTTGTCTTTATCAGAGTACACACACATGCCAAGACATTAATTATTTACAGTTTTCCATTATTCATCTCATTTCCATTTAGTGCCTCATCTTTCAGTGAGCCATACGTTTTCCCTTTGAACAGGGTTTTGGCAAAATTTTTCCATTTTTTATGTCCCTGTAATTCATTCTCTATCAAACATTAAATATTCATTTATTTCTGTACTCTATAATAATGTTTTCCATCCTCCTGGTCTCCTGGTGACTTTGACTTTATCAGTCCTAATGGATTTTGGTAAGGAAATGATACTCCTCAAAAAAATCATACACTTCTCATTAGTTCAGAACAACAGTGTTAAAAACTAATTTTGATAGTTAAAATAGCTGAAAATACCTGAGTGCAGTGGCTCACGCTTGTAATCCCAGCACTTTGGGAGGCCGAGGCAGGCAGATCACGAGGTCAGGAGATCGAGACCATCCTGGCTAACATGGTGAAACCCCGTCTCTACTAAAAATACGAAAAAAAATTAGCTGGGCATGGTGGCGGGTGCCTGTAGGCCCAGCTATTCGGGAGGCTGAGGCAGGAGAATGGCGTGAACCCGGGAGGCGGAGCTTTCAGTGAGCCAAGATCGTGCCACTGCACTCCAGCCTGGGTGACAGAGCGAGACTCCGTCTCAAAAAAAAAAAAAAAGCTGAAAATAACGGAGAATACATGCATCAGCGGCAAGAGCATCAGCTTGGAGTCAGATCAGCCATGCTTAAAATAACCGCACCATCAGTTAACCTCTCTGAGCCTTAATTTTCTTGTCTGTGCAGTTGGCATAAGAAGTGTCTACTTCTTAAAGGTGCTGTGAGAAATAAGTGAGTGAATGAATGCTAATGCATTTGGAAATTATAAAGCACTAACAGATGTAAAGCGTGTTCTTAAATTACTTATTGAATGAATGTAGGTTTTATAATTTTTCCTTTGAACACAAAGTTTCTAATCATGATGACATTCTTTTTTAGACATTGTCTATTTGCACACATCTCACCAAAATCAGGAATGATTTTCTTCTTTGCTAGGCCCCAGTTAATTGATTCTTGTTAAAATTAACAAGATATGCCAAGCATGGTGGCTCATACCTGTAATCCCAAGACTTTGGGAGGCTGAGGCAGGCGGATCCCTTGAGCCCAGGAGCTCAAGACCAGCCTGGGCAACACGGTGAAACCCCGTCTCTACTAAAAATACAAAAATTAGCTGGGTGCAGTGGCATGCACCTGTAGTCCCAGCTACTTGGGAGGCTGAGGTGGGAGGATCACTTGAGCTTCGGAGGTGAAGGGTACAGTGAGCCATGATTGTACCACTGGACTCCAGTTTGGGTGATAGAGCGAGACCCTATCTCCAAACAAAAACAAAAAGCTATCAAGACAAAAATTTTAGGCTGGGCATGGTGGCTCACACCTGTAATCCCAGCACTTTGGAAGACCAAGGTGGAAGGATAGCTTGAGTCCAGGAGTTTGAGATCGCCTGGGCAACATACAGAGACCACCATCTCTACAAATAATAATTTAAAAAATACCCAGGCACGGTACATGCCTGTAGTCCCAGCTACTTGGGACGCTGAGGTGCAAGAATCACTTGAATCTGAGAGGCTGGGGCTGCAGAGAGCTGTGATCACGCCACTGCACTTTAGCCTGGGCAAAAGAGTGAGACGTTGTCTCAAAAAATGAAATAAGTAAGTAAATTTCAGCACACAAGAAAACAGCACTGCATTCAAAAAGGATTTTCCTTCTTGTTCTTTTTTCTCCAAGACAATATTAAGTAATAGCTGTCATGCATCCCTTTTCAGAGCATTGCCTGCTTGTTTCCCTGCTTTGTCACATGTATCATGATCCATTGGGGTGGCTGGACAGAGTGCTGCAGCTCCAGGCTCCAGAAACAACATGAACAGCTCACCTGCCCAACTCCTCATGTGGAAAATGTCCACCTGCCCTTTGTCTGCAAATCCAATTAGCCAGGATCATTTGGAAGATTTTCTATAAATCATTTTCCCTGGAAAATATGGAATATCCTAGATCCCTTTGTGGTATAAAAAAGCTATTTTTCTGACTAACACCCTCTAGACCTCTAAAGTAAACTTTTAAGGAAAGAAGCAAACAAGCAAGTAATCCGAAGAACACAAAACTAGTTTGATACCGTTCCCTTCCACAATTGTCCCAGCTCTTGGGCAGTGGTTGTCTAGCTTTGAGGCAGCGACCAGCAGGGGCCACAGTATCACAGTTAAGGAGGTGGGAGGAAAGCAGCTGGGTGGGGACCATGACTTAGTCTGAGCATCTTTGAACTAATTCAGCTCTGAGAACATTTGCTGTATAAGCTCTTTATGTATCTATGATCTGGATCAAGGAAATGAACTAGAGATATTGATCTTCCTGCAAGCACGGTTCAATTCATGCCACTTCCCTACTTTAAAATCTTCAATAAATACTTGTGGAATAAGTGAATGTTGAATAGTCAGTGGTTACCCATTGCCTATAAGATAAAGTTTAAGAATGGCCTTTAGAGAGTAATGATATAGTTTGGATCTGTGCCCCCACCCAAATCTCATGTATAACTGAATCCCCAGTGTTAGAGGTAAAGCCTGGTGAGAAGTGATTGGATCACAGGGGTGAATTTCTCCCTAATGGTTTAGCCGCATCATCTTCTTGGTGCTGTTCTCATGATAGTGAGTTCGTTCCTGCCAGATCTGGTTGTTTAAAAGTGTGTGGCACCTCCCTCCTCTCTCTCTCTTGCTCCTGCTCTGGCCGTGTGACTGTGTCTGCTCCCCCTTTGCCTTCTGCCATGATTATGTTTCCTGAGGCCTCCCCAGAACCCAAACAGATGCTAGCATCATGCTTCCTGCACAGCCTGCAAAACCGTGGGCCAATTAAACCTCTTTTCTTTATAAATTACCTAGTCTCAAGTATTTCTTTATAGCAATGTAAGAACAGACTAATACAGAGACATTCCGTAATCTGAATCCAAAATACCATTCATCCATTCATTTGTTCAATACATACATATTGGGTGCCTAGGAAGGGAAGTATGGTACTGGGTGCTAGAAGTTCAGATTTGAACAGACATAGCAGATACTGGCCCTGAATTCTTGGGGCTACATCTGATCTTCCATTATTTCTCATCATTTGGGCTGTCCCCCCACCCTATTTTCTTAGACACAACCCAAGCTTTCCCAGTTCCACTATTTTGCCAAGGCTCTTCATTGTCCCTTTCAATACCATATATGCAATTCTAACTTTTCCCTAAAAAGTACACCCTTCTCCTGAAGCTCCCACCTAATCTCACTTTCCCTCCTCCCACATGAAGGAAGCTCCCAGGTGAAGGAAGTTTTTCCAGCATCTTACAGGGAAGGACCTTTTCAACTATGTTTATAGTATTAATAGTTAGCAAATGCCTTGTAGATAGCTGGCACTTAGTAAATATTTGCCAAATAAATGAATGAAGTCCTCATGATTTAAATTGTAGATAACTGTGTTTACACCCCTGAGAGACATTTCTCAAACCTCCTCAAAAGTTATCATCTCACGAACTCAAAATCCAAGTAGATCATTTGTTCATGATTACTTAATGCAATTAAAATATATGGCTGGGCACAGTGGCTCACACCTGTAATCCTAGCACTTTGGGAAACTGAGACAAGAGGATCACTTAAGCCTAGGAGTTCAAGACCAGCCTGGGCAACATAGCAAAACCCCGGCTCTATAAATAAATAAATAGACCAGGCACAGTGGCTCATGCCTGTAATCCCAGCACTTTGGGAGGCCGAGGCGGGCAGACCACTTGAGCTCAGGAGTTTCAAGACCAGCCTGGGCAACATGGCAAAACCCCGTCTCTACAAAAAAATACAAAACTTAGCCTGGTGTGGTGGCATGCACCTGTAGTCCCAGCTACTTTAGAGGCTGAGGTGGGAGGATCGCTTGAACCTAGGAAGCAGAGGTTACAGTGAGCTTAGATTATGCCATTGTGCCCCAGCCTGGACGACACAGCAAGACACTGTCTCAAATAAATTAATTAAAGAAAAAAATGTAAAAATCCCCATTAGAAAATGAAAATGTATTGAACTATATATCTCATTTGTTTAGCATTCGGGGTAGAATCATGTCACTATTCCCAGAGAAATAAAACTTGAGGGATGTGCTTCTCAGGTGCTTCTAACCACTGAATGACACTAGTTCCATCTAAAATGATTTGAAGATTTAAAGAGCAAATCTATACTTTTTTTTTGAGACGGAGTCTTGCTCTGTCACCCAGGCTGGAGTGCAGTGGCGTCATCTTGGCTCACTGCAGCCTCTGCCTCCCGAGTTCAAGTGATTCTCTTGCCTCAGACTCCCGATTAGCTGGGACTACAGGCGTGCGCCACCATGCCCAGCTAATTTTTTTGCCTTTTTAGTAGAGACAGGGTTTCACCATGTTGGTCAGGCTGGTCTTAAACTCCTAATCTCAAATGATCCACCCACCTTGGCTTCCCAAAGTGCTGGGAATACAGGTGTAAGCCACCATGCCCGGCCCAAATCTATGCTTTTAAGTCTTCAAGTGAACTCACACCAATCCCCTAATTCTCTCTTTCCTTCTGCTGCACCTGCAGATCAGTCCAACCAAATACCTTCTCTAGCCAGCTGGACTGTTGAGCAATACTAAAGAATACCTTGCAATCCCTTGGGATTCCCAGACAATCTAAACATCCCTGATGAGTGCCTTCTATTTCCTCAAGAGTTATTTCCAAAGTGCTTGCTCCTCAAGCCACCTGCCAATCTCCATCCCTTCTAATGTCAGCAATAACAGAGGTCTTTTCCCTCATGATAACAGGCCAGGAGTGATGGCTCACACTTGCGAATCCCAGCACTTTGGGAGGCCAAGGTAGGAGGATTTGCTTGAACCTAGGAGTTTGAGACAAGCCTGGGCAATATAGTGAGATCCCATCTCTATAATAATAGTAAAATAACTATATCAACAGCAGCAGCCATTACATTTATTAAGTGCTGTGCTTAGGCACTTTGCTTTATATACATTATTTTAGCTAATCTTTACAAGGACCACCACCTACTGAGGTAGGTACTATTATTATCCCCATTTTACAAATTAAAAAGCTGAAGGATAGAAAGGTTAAAAAACTTGCCCAAGGTCACATCACCAGTTAGTGGCATAGCCAGGTTACAAATCCAGGACTAACTGCAGAGCCAACTCCTAAACCTATACTGTGTTGCCTTCCTGTTCCACTCTTCTGTCAGGGCACAGTAAGGGCAGAGCCAGGATTCCCAAAGGCTACCTGGCTCCCCCAGGTGACCTCATACCAGTGTCAAGACAGTGAGCTCTCCTTTTCCATTCCAAGCCTCTCCAACAACCAATGTCAGTCAACTAGTAAGCAGCAGAAGCAATACGGAGATACACCTATGAGGTTTATTAACTACATTACGCTGACCTGCTTTATTGGAAAAAGCAATGGATTTTATTAAAATAAAAAAGGCTTCCTGCACCCTCTCTTTTAATTTCACCCAGGTTCCAGCAAAGTACCTTCCTGGAAGTGTTTTGATAACCTCTTGGCTGTGTCTAAGGCCCACTTGCTTCCACACCCAAATAGGCACTTCAATTGTTTTTTTACTGTGTTATTGCCACATTGAGAATGGAGTGGTGTCCCAGTCTAGTGCTTCTCAATTTCAATGGCATATGAATCACTTGGGTATCTTATAAAAATGCAGTTTTTTGGGTTTTTTTTTTTTTTTGAGACGGAGTTTCATCCGTTACACAGGCTGGAGCGCAATGGCGCGATCTCGGCTCACCACAACCTCCGCCTCCCGGGTTCAAGCAATTCTCCAGCCTCAGCCTCCCGAGTAGCTGGGATTACAGGCATGCACCACCACACCCGGCTAATTTTGTATTTTTAGTAGAAATGGGGTTTCTCCATGTTGGTCAGGCAGGTCTTTAACTCCTGACCTCAGGTCATCCGCCTGCCTCACCCTCTCAAAGTGCTGGGATTACAGGCGAAGCCACCAAGCCCAGCCCAAAGATGCAGCTTCTTATTCAGGTTCCGGATGGAGCCTACAAGCATGTTTCTAAAATCCCCATGTGACATTGATGCCAATCTCCAGACCACGCTTGAGTAACAATGGCCTAGATATGTGGCATGTGAACAGTTCTTCCTTGGTGATCATCTTGGTGCTAAGTGCTTTTCTTCCCAAATGTATAAATTATATTCTGCTTCTGTGATCAAAACTATGTAAAGCATCGGTTTACACATTACACATTATACATACTATAGACACCAGAGTGTCTGAGTGTTAAACTTCACCAGCTTTTTTGCATGAATTTTTTACACAAGTCTCATTTTCCTCACTATGTCTACTTGTTTCTAAAGCACCAAGAAAACTGTTTTGAAATTCTGACATGCCATAGATGAACTTTTCATGCCTATAACCCACCATATCTTTTTCCTTATGTACTCAGGGAAAGATGCTGCTCCTCCTCTTCAGGAAAACCCTTCCATCTGTGCTTGATTTCCACACTTCTCTGCCTCATTATTCATTCATTCAAGCAGTCGCCCACTTTGTTTAGCTCATTAGCTTCCTCCTCTATTTTATCTAGTCCAAACTTCTCTTCAGCAATACTGCTTGAAAATTGTCTCAAGAAATTCACTATTTAAAATAAATACACAAAAGCAAAATAGCAAAATTTTAATTGTTGAATTTAAGTGGAAAATATACAGTTGCTCATTTAATAGTCTTTCAACTTTTTTCAAAGTTTGGGCAGTTATAGAAACAATTTCTTCTATTTACAAGTTTTTTCCTAGCACAAACCTATTTAGATTAAATCCCCTCGCCAGCCTCTCAGCTAACATGTTAAAATTTCCTTCCAGAACTTCATTAATCAGCCAGGCTATAAAAAAGTAACTGTCCAAGGCCCAAGCATGTCCTTTCAAAATCTTTTTAGAATCCACAAAATAAATTTTAAAACTTAGTTATTCTAGCAAGAACACTAGAGATGTCACTGACTACACTCACTCTGGTTTACTTACTTATTCCCTCCTGCCTACAAATCTTGACTGCCTTGCAAACCTAAATTCTCTATCAAGTCACATTAAATTCCCTCCATGGCTTCCTATCCAAATTTTTTAAAAGGGGAGGAAGGGGTTTCTGTGCCCTGCCTGCCCTCCTCTTCCAGCCGTACCATATAACCCACCTATCGCCAGCTCACAGGTGAGAACACAATGCTTGAAGACCAGCATCCCAAGTGGAGCACCAAGCCACCTCCAGCACTCCTGCCCGAGCTGCCAACATGGCTCCCAACTGTCACAAGATGCTCTGAGGATCAGTGCGGGGTCATCTTACACATTTTCACAGCTTACTCTCCCCAGGACTTATGCGGAGCTTTACCCCAAGGTAGACATTTAAGTATTTGCTAAGTTGTATTTCTAGTTACTTCCTAGACAACTGCTGCCTAAAATCAAATGCTTTATATATCATGCTTTAATTTTATTAAACATGTAAGTCCTGCTTAAACAATGGTCTCAGTGGTTCTCACCCTAGGGAGATTTTGCTCTCCAAGGGACATGAGACAATGTCTGGAGGCATTTTTGGTTATTACACTGGGATGGGGGTGTGCTGCTGGCATCTCAATAGGTAGAGGTCAGGAACACTGCTCAAGATTCTGCAAGGCACAGGACAGCACCCCCACAATAATGAATTATTTGATTCAAGATGTCAATAATGCCAAGGTTGAGAAACCCTAGGGTAGCTGTAGTGTTTTCTTTTAACCTTAGGGGATTTGAGAGCCACTGGAAACCAAAGAGCCAAACTGAACCTATGTGGCTGCAACTTTTTTAGTTTCTTATTAAAGAAAAAGTTCTCTGGTTTTTCAACACTAAGTTCCCTTATTTCGAAAACAACCGAAAGAGCTCAATTTTGCAAAAATGGCACAACCACAACAGAGTGCAGTGTGATAACAATACAGAGTCAACTAAGATTAAAAATTGGTCTACTAAGACTTTAGATATAATACGTTTTATTCATCTAGTGGTACTTGGTGCTCACAGGGCACTGTACAACAAATTTTAAAAATACAATATGAAAAAAATCAAACAGCCAGAGATCAATTCCATTAGAGGGCGATGGCCCACAGAAAAACCAACAAAGGCCCACAGAAAAACCCACCCTGTCTCCTTAAGAACATTTCTTTGTTTGGCTTTAAGAAACACCAAAAGAAAATACAAAAGAAAAGGTCTTTGAGAAGATAGGTAAAACTTCACATAGCGTCTTCCACATATCACAAAATGCTTTCCTTATTTAATAATAAGCACATAAAATAATCCAAATATCTGTGAGCCTCTATTTGGTCCCAATGTTTTAGGTCATAGCTTTCACTACTTCCCTCCTCTCTATCCTCAAATTATTTGCATCAGTAAAAAAAGTTAATTAAGGTGTAACAGTCTCCTTTGCTCCACAATGCCACTACAAAGCCTATTTTCCATAAAGAACCAGAGGCCAAGCAAACGTAGGCTACTAAGTACTTGAATTGAAAATACAACTAAAATTTCCTGAGTCATTTAACATCAAATTTTGGCTTTGTAATCTATTTGTATTCAATTCTCAGTCATTACTGAAGGTCATTTGACATCAACCATAGAGAGCAGTGAGATTTAAAGTTGCATGGAAGTACCGCTGAAAACTTCTAACAACAGAAAGATGAGTTTGGAGTGTTTAATTTTACTACATAGTGACATATATTCAGAAAGTTGTCATACAAGGAATGATGAGGAGTTACAAATCCAACTTGGAAACCCTTAATGCTCACTATCAATTTGTTGAAAGTCAATTTTTTTTTTTTTTTTGAGACGGAGTCTCTGTCGCCCAGGCTGGAGTGTAGCAGCGCTATCTCGGCTCACTGCAAGCTCCGCCTCCCGGGTTCAAGCCATTCTCCTGCCTCAGCCTCCCTAGTAGCTGGGACTACAGGCGCCCGCCACCACGCCTGGCTAATTTTTGTATTTTTAGTAGACGGGACTTCACCGCGTTAGCCAGGATGGTCTCGATCTCCTGACCTCGTGATCCGCCCGCCTCAGCCTCCCAAAGTGCTGGGATTACAGGCATGAGCCACCACACCCGGCCACAAGCTGTTTCTTAACTAAGCTTCTGAAGCAGGAACTCCTAAAGTGTCAATAGGCAGTTTTACTTACAGTAGTAGTTATATACTAATGCTGCTTGCAGAATTTTTTTTCCCTTTAGAGTTCACAGAAGTACTACCACATGGAGACAAAACAAAACAGTAAAAATAGTATAGGTAGTAAAAAGGCCAAAACTAAGAAATTTGGGGCCATAACATTAGAAAAGTTTGAAAATATACTTTACATATTTGCTTAAAAAATTAAGTGTAGTACTGCCTTAATGCTTGGTTCCTCTACCATTAAATGGCATTTCATTCAGTTTATGCTGAACTCTTAGATCAACTTATTATTACTGAATACAAAGCTAAGCAAACCTAGACATTTTAGCTGCTGCCACTGTGTATTATCACAGTACATAAGGAATCTGTCACAAGGTTTGTCTCCCCTTCTCCATTATACTGTTCTTAAAGGTAGAGGGCAGGTCTCATGCACCTTTGCATCCCCTGCATATAAGCACAGTGGCTGGCATACAGTGGGTGAATAGGTATTTACTGATGCATTGCTGAGTAGTGGCTTATAACATGGAGAAAAGCCCAACATTGTCCTGTTCTATCAGCATTACTTAGGTATCCTCACTCCTAATAGGCAGAAAGCAGTTTTGAAGTAAAGTTAAATTCCTCACTTGCTAAACACAGCAGACCTGTCAAGTGTTGGACAAGACTTAAACCACTTTCTTTAAATGTGTTCATAAAGCATTTTGAGAAATCAAGAGATGAAAGGCGCTATGTAAGTACAAAATATTCAAGACAGTTTAGCAAAAGTGCTACTTTTCTACGATGATGGAATGGTTGTGCTAGTTTGAGGGGAACATCCCCTGAGGCTACTCTTCTTGCTGTCATTATTAACACAACAATGGAATTTTGACAAAGATGCCATCACTTTATATAGTTTTTATTCAGCTAACTACTTTCTATAAACCATGTGACAGAAAATGAAATTAAGCCACTTATTCCACATAAACCAATACTTTATCAAAGTTCCGCATTTTACAAGTCATGTTCAAAAAACACACACAAATTAGCATTTTGTACACAAATGTTTATTTCTCAATTAAACATTCCCTTTAAACACAAGGAATGAGTTCTAAATCTTCATAAAGATGAATTAAAAATGAAATCCCTCCAGTATAGTGTATATAATCACTGTGTTCTTGGTCACTACTGGCATTTACTGTTTAACATCAAAAACAAAGACAGGTTATTTAAAAATCATGCTACTGGATTTCTAGCTCTTCCTCTATGACCAGTTCTACACTGATCTGCAATGTTTAAAAGTTTACATCACCAAATCAAAGCAAGTTTAAGGTGTGAAGTAGCTGTGCATTAAACACAAAATAAACAATAAAATTATAAGATATAGTCAAGTTCATAACGAATATAGGTGTTCTTATCATCGTTGTAGATTCTTGGGTAATGTGCTATGAGAGCGTCCTGGGAACCAATGTAGATGGAGTTGTAAATTTTCCAATATACATCTCTGACTTTCCGGGCTGGGTGAAACAGACCCTAAAATAATTGAACGGTTACATTATTTCAATTTTTAAGAACATACATAACCTTAACAAAATTAAGAAAACATAAAGATATGATTCAAAATTATTTCCCTTGGGGAGTTGGGGGGGGGGGAACCTACTAATTACACTGCTCTTAAGCTGCAATGGAAGAGACAAAACTCACTCCCCTGTCACCACACAATTGTTCTACCATATGGCACAATATACCCTAATGATAATCAGGAAAAGTAACTTAATTCAATACACTACTTTTCTTGCTAAGTAATCTTTTAAAAATCTTTAACTTACAGGCAGTGGGGGGAAAGGGGAGGGAGAGCATTAGGACAAATACCTAATGCATGCAGGGCTTAAAACCTAGATGACAGGTTGATAGGTGCAGCAAACCACCATGGCACATATATACCTATGTAACAAACCTGCACGTTCAGCACAAGTATCCCAGAACTTAAAGTATTATTTAAAAAAAAAAAATCACCGATTAAAAAAAAAATCTTTAACTTACCTGTAAACAATATTGCAACATTCTACATGGTCCAATAGCAACTCTCAGGCCCTCTAGGGCTCCCATAACTGCCTGAATTACATGAGGAGATGTCTCAAATACATTGGGCCATACATAGTTCAACAAGTGATTCAGCGAATCTTCACAACCAAATCCATAAACCCCAAGTGACATGTGCTGTACCACTGCACTAGCCGTCTGTCTGTGTACAAGGTCTCTACAACGGAAGGGAAAAAAGTCCTTTAAGATGCGGTCTTATAAGAAAGGGGGAAAAATCCTTAAAGATACAGTCTTAGTTTTACAGGAAATATTCACCGGCCCATTAGAAACTAAATTACTAATTCAGTGCACTGAATAGATGTGAAGTCATCTAACATTTCATATATCTAATATATCCTTTAGAATAGCTTCCACTTGAGGACTTTTGCTTTAATTACTCAAGATTCACTATGGCTCAACAATTAAGCCATATTTTCTAATTAACTTTTTTTTTTTTTTTGAGACGGAGTCTTACTCTGTCACCCAGACTGGAGTGCAGTGGTGTGATCTTGGCTCACTGCAACCTCTGCCTCCCAGGTTCAAGCAATTCGCCTGCCTCAGCCTCCTGAGTAGCTGGAATTACAGGTGTGTGCCACCACGCCTGCCTAATTTTTGTATTTTTAGTAGAGACAGGGTTTCACCATGTTGGCCAGGATGGTCTCGATCTCTTGACCTTGTGATCTGCCCGCCTCAGCCTCCCAAAGTACAGGGATTACAGGCGTGAGCCACCGTGCCTGGCCATCTAATTAACTTTTAAAAGGAATATGAGCAGGAGGGCTCTGTGAAGTCTTGGCTTTATTATGCTACTAAAGAGGAGGCATGTGGTTCTAACATATGAATAATAAACAGTAATATTTTAAACTTTTTTCTCTTTTTTAAAATTATTTTTCAGGCCGGACATGGTGGCTCATGTCTGTAATCCTAGCGCTTTGGGAGGCCGAGGCAGATGGATCACCTGAGGTCAGGAGGTCAAGACCAGCCTGGCCAGCGTGGTGAAACCCCGTCTCTACTAAACATACAAAAATTAGTAGGGCATTTTGGCACACGCCTGTAATCCCAGCTACTCAGGAGGCTGAGGCAGGAGAATCACTTGAACCTGGGGGGTGGAGGTTGCAGTGAGTCGAGATTGTGCCACTGCACTCCAGCCTAGGCAACAAGAGTGAAACTCTGTCTCAAAAAAAAAAGAAAAATTATTTTTCTTTTTTATTGTTATTGTTAGAGATAGGGAAGGCCTCGCTATGTTGCCCAAGCTGGTCTTGAGCTCCTGGGGTCAAGCGATCCTCCCACCTTGGCCTCCCAAATCATTTTAAACTCTTGATTATAAACTTAAATCTTTACTAGTACTTCAGATACTGGTATATAATAGGTAACTAAATTAAAGTTAAATTCCCTTCTCACGTAAAGTTTAAGTTTCATTCAATAACTCAATTTGGGGAGAGGAACAAAAGATCAATAATTTTTTCAAACCTACAGAAATAACTATCATCTCCTATGTTAACTGAATTTATGTTCATGAAAAATCAATGAGTTATTCATTCCACAATTATTCAACCAAGTATGAGCTCGCTGGCTAACACAATGGGATTTGCAATGGGTATGAAAATGAGTTTCCAGGCCGGGCACGGTGGCTCACGCCTGTAATCCCAGCACTTTGGGATGCCAAGGCGGGTAGATCACGAGGTCAGGAGATGGAGACCATCCTGGCTAACACGGTGAAACCCTATCTTTGCCAAAAATACAAAAAATTAGCCGGCCATGGTGGCACACGCCTGTAGTCCCAGCTACTTGGGAGGCTGAGGCAGAAGAATCACTTGAACCTGGGAGGCAGAGGTTGCAGTATGCCGAGATCATGCCACTGCACTCCAGACTGGGTGACACAGCAAAACTCCGTCCAAAAAAAAAAATGAGTTTCCACACTTTGCTCCAAAGATAGTAACACAGACCATATCAAAGAGAAAAGAGAAAAATACTTGTATTTACTAATATTCTTGTTTTTCCTATTTATTTTAATAATGTCATTCAGCATAAGAATGAAGCAGTATTCCTCATTAATAAAATTTCCAACTGAAGTATTCTTTTCATTTAGTAATTTTCAATGGAATTACTCCCTTAACTTCTTAGTACACAGAAAAAAGTTTTTAACTGCAGGTGACATACATTAATGACTGCACTATGGTGCTCAGGCACTTCTCACTAAGGAATACAGAGCAAGGGTGATTTACCCTCATTTTTTTTAGCCCTGGGCAGCCAGGCTTTTACAGAGCACAATTCTTACTTTGTCTCCATGTCTTGCATATATACGTTCTGGTAACTTGTCGAGTCCAGTTAAGTCTCCCTTTCAGAAGGTTATTAATGAATAACTTAAATCTGTACACAAAAGTATTTGAATGGGCTCTGATTTGAGTAACTTATCTCTCCTGAAAAATAAAGAGCCAGTGAAACAGTTCTTTCCCTTACTACGCTTGCACTTTCCTTTGCACTTTCTTCAGTTACTTCTGTGTTTAAGGCTGTACGTCAGTCTAGATGGTAAAAGGTATTAGCAATCTGTCAAATAACTTGAACAGTACTCTACTGGTGGTCACCATCTGAAACACCAGGGACCTGCAACAGGAAGAGTGTAGTTCTGGCAGGCTATTGTTCAGTAATTCAAAGGCTTAAGAGAAACCTGTCCTTTACCTGCAACAAAAAGCTAAAAAGATCAGGTCTCTGCCCATTAGCTTCTGCTCATCATGTCCTCTAACTATATTTGACCAATTTTGAAAACAAAAGATTATCAATCAACCCTTTTCAAAATTTATTTAATTCAATAGATAAGAAAAGAGATTTAAAGGGGATGGGAGAACTTGAAAGAAAGTCTGGGGAATCACTACAGCGTGCACATTATTTTAAAATAATAAGTCATATTTACAATGTCCTAAGACTCCAGGCTAGCAATTTTTTCTTTAACTATGTTACAGTAAAAAGTCATCTAATAACTATTTCACGATGTTCTAAAATGAAGGAAGAGTTATAATTATTTTCTTGTATTTAGTTCAAGTCACTTACCTATCCATTAAAGCATCTTCAAGTAACGGTGTTACGGCATAAATGTAGTCTTTTCCCATTTCACCAATATATTCAAACAAGAAGGAAAGCGATTTTAACACTCCATTTTGAACATTCAGTTCAGGAACTCTGTATTCATTCATTAAGGCAGGGAGTACTGTAAAGGGTGAACATGTTTCTGCAACAATAGCTATTGCTACAGTGGTACAAACTCTGTTCTGCCTTTCTTGAACTTTGAGGTTGTTCAGAAGTGTAGCCAATACATCATGAGGGCTGAAAAAAACAAATGGGTCAACAAGCTGTTACATTATAAGTCAAAAATTTATGGAAGAAAAAAATGCATAAAGATGAAAACTTTTAAGTATTAATAATTACAGGGAACTCAGTAATTTTATAAAATGCAATACTTTCAAGTCACTGGCATTGTTGTTTCTATATAAAAATTTCATATAAATTAAAAGGTCAGTTTAAAAAAGTTGACTCTGAGAAGATCAGAGGTCATAGCTGTACAAATTCTAAACATTTTAAGTTAACTCAATTTTCAAATGTAATTTTCAGTTCTTAAACTTTCTGAAATATAAAGAAATTTAACTAAATGTTTAAAGTGAGTAATTCTCTGAGTTGTCAAAATGGGCACTAGAACTAGGTAGGAGTGGTGAGGGGAATATCCGAATTGTAGTCTCCCATTATAAACCATATAAAATCTCTTTTCCTTTTATCTTTCCTCCACACAATTTGCTGCATCTATTTGCCTCTTCTTTGACATAAACTTAGAGGGACATTGGGGCTAAAAGCTTGCACAAAAGCTATTCTTGCAAATGTCTTGACTCCATCACCACTGAAATAAATATTATGCTACCAAAATAGGAGAGGAATGAGTATGTGTTAGGGGAGGGGGTGTTGTCTGGTATAATTCTACCTAATTAATCAGACATTCACATGTCATATTCCTTGAAAACATTTTCTTAAGCCACATGGACATGTGGTGTCTCGTTTTCTACAATGACTGTTTTTTCCTATTTTAGTTGTGATGGAGTGGAAGCAAACCACCACAGATTATCTCACAAAGCAGCTATAATTCAGTTAAATCCGTGGAGTAATGTTAGAATAGCATTTTTGTTGTTTTTTTTAGAGACAGGGTCTCGCCCTGTCGCCCAGGTGCCCAGATGCCCAGGTTGGAGTGCAGTGGCACAATCACAGCTCACTGTAACCTTGAACTCCTGGGCTCAAACAATCCATAATAAGATTTTTAAAACATATAAAGCATTAATATGAGACTTAAATGATGTTGTGAGACTAAAAACTTGCCTTAATAGTTTAAGCAATATCCTAGAAGACCAGCACACATTTTAAATTTTTCTGAAAATGGTACTGTTTCCCTCCCTGAAAACACCTAAAGTGTAATTAAAGTAAGTCTTA
Organism: Homo sapiens; assembly: GCF_000001405.40. Lineage (NCBI taxonomy): Eukaryota > Metazoa > Chordata > Mammalia > Primates > Hominidae > Homo > Homo sapiens. The sequence goes on from NC_000002.12 coordinate 197,397,475, forward strand.
AACCCTTCCATCTATTTTAATTAAGAATTTAAGACTACAGGCTGTGCGCAGTGGCTCACGCCTGTAATCTCAGCACTTTTGGAGGCCAAGATAGGTGGCTCACTTGAGGCCAGGAGTTCGAGAACAGCCTGGCCCACATGGTGAAACCTCATCTCTACTAAAAAATACAAAAATTACCTAGGCGTGATGGTGCATGCCTGTAGTCCCAGCTACTGGGGAGGCTGAGGCAGGAGAATCGCCTGCACCTGGGAGGCGGTGGTTGCAGTGAGCCGAGATTGAATCACTGCATTCCAGCCAGGGTGACAGAGCGAGACTCCGTCTCAAAAAAAAAAAAAAAGAATTTAACAATACATTCCAATAATCAGAAGGTCAGTGGTTAAATGAAGAGCTTTCTCAACTGCATTATTCAGACCATGCCTCAAAAGAGATTTCTACATGGAAGTATTTTCCAATACCACAATGCATTTATTATAAAGTAATTTTTTTTTAATGGAAGTAAATAACACTCACCCAATGGCCTTTGCAATATAACCAAATGTGTTGACTGTGGCTCTACGAATAGCCTTTTTGTGGGCTTTTAAGAGCTCTAAAAGCTCAAAGCAAATCCTCATCCACTCTCTTGCAGATACATATTCAGCTCCCCTAATTTAAAAAATACACATATTAATTATTGTGACATTAAGAAAAGTTTTAAGGATAAATTTGCAAATTCAGTTCTAAAAACATGATTAACTCATTTTAAGCATTAAATAAAACTTACTACTCTTCAGAAAGGCTGAAGAGTTAGTCTTACAGGTTTAGTCCTAAAATTACATTGCCACCCCCATTACCATCCAAATTGAAATTTGACTGAAAATATTAATACTGGATAGCCTAATCTTTTACACTTATATTAGTGACATTAAGGAAATTTTGCTAATTGAATACAAAGTGGCCAAATTTGAAAATTGATACTGCTTATAAAAATGTGTGGGTAATCTGCTTACCTGTCAGCAATACGACCAACAAGATCAATACAATTCTCTTGTACTTTTTCATGTCTGTTCTTTAAGATGGGGGTGAGTCTAGGCAGCAGATCTTTAATTGGTGGAGTCATCTTATGCATACCTATTTAATAGAAGTCAATAAACTATCAACATTTGAATTGCAACTTTTGTTCACTTTCCTTTTACTTAGCAATGTCATATATGACTATGTATAAATATAAACTTACAGCTGCCTAGGGAAAGAGAAAGCCCCAGATTCTGACCAGACTCAGAATCGTTTTTAACTTTTATTAACAATTTTTGATTATGTATAGAAATGAAAGAAATCAGTGAAGTGATTTAAAGGATGATGGATACTCAATAACAAAAAAGTTTTGTTTGATTCTGAAATATATTTGTGCACTGACATTTAAATATGGGGACAGCTTATGTTCCGGCCATACACAACAATATAAGCCAGAGGTAAACATGTAAATAAAGCAAAAATTTCCAGAAAGGGCCCCCTTACCCTTTAACTGCAAAACAAACAGATCTCCAGTCTCCCTGCAATGCAGGGCATACTTGGATGGTATTTACACCTACGAAGAGAGAAAAAAGGAGGCAGCTGGCAGGGGCTCTTGCTCTAACTAGAATCACTTGCTCTGATTCTCTCTCCATTGCTCTTCCCATGCCTCTCTGACAAACAATATGGTTTAAAACTCCCTGCAAACCAGAGCCCTACAAGTGGCCATGTAAATGATTTCTGGCAAGTAGCTATCTTCAAGTATAGAGGATAGGGTTGCATTGGAGATTATATGCAAATACAATAGTTTAAACATGTGTATCGCATAAATACCTCTTACAAAATGAGGAAAAACAAACAGTGGCTCTCTCACAGTCAGCTATTTTGACTTCTGCTAGGTTATCAGAGCCTCTAAACTCTGCAGGAGTTACATTTGGCAACAGTTATAATCAATTTAAAAAAAAGATTAAATATAAGAAACCATTTGTTTTCTTCATACTGCCCTAATGGAATAAAAACTTTGCTCTCCATATCCAAGACCATTTGTAATATAGCTGTATTACGGGTTAGAAAACTGAATGGACAGTATTTAAAACTTGGGTATGTAAATAAAGACAATAATTTGATCAGTTCACTTTTCTCTGATTATATTCCTTGAAACTGATCACAAGCAAAAAACCTGTCATAATCGCTAATTCAAGGTTTAAATATATATATATTGTTCTAAAACTAAATTAAAACTTTAGGATTGCCTTTTCACCCCGCAGCAGAACATGGCAGAATATATTTCACCTGACACACTATTTCTACTAGGGTCCTGTATTCCATGACTTCAAAGCTTTTTGAGCTGTGACTACTCCCACCTCTCATGTAGGTCCTAAACTTACCCTTTTTTTCTCTTTAAAGTAAAATATAAATGGGTTTTGGGAAACAAGACTTTTGTGACATCCCCCGACTTAACTACAATCTTGAAGTGCTTTTAAAAAGCTAACAAAAACCTCCCAACTCCTAAATAAGATTTTACTTACGAAAAAAAAAAGAAAAAGAAAGTTAAAACAAGAAAAAGTCTTATGTAACCAGCAAATTCCATACCTATGACATTTACAATGGCCTTCAGTGCTCCAAGAATGCTGCCCAATACTTCAGGGTACTCTTCACCCAAATACTCATACAATACAACACCCAAGTGTCCCATCAATTTTTCCTATAATAAAACAAATAATGTTAAAATGTTACTATTTACATTAAACTATTTGGGGAAGAAGTAAGAATTTGATGCAAAAGTTTACCTCTTGACAAGTCTTCATGACAACAGCAGTTCGAGAAATCAAGTCAGCTGCCTGTTGCCTAACTTTAGCAGATTTGTTATTTAAACGCCACAAAACTGTACCACAGATCTGAGGCAAGTATGGTTTGACTCGTTTGCCAAGAGCATTAACCACTGTGCCAAAGCCGTTCAACATTACTGAGTCCTAAAAAATAAATTTAAAAAAAAGACATATTCATTTGGTTTATGACTGCACAGTTGAAATACACTAAGAGTCAACCTTTTCTAACCACCCAAACATCTGTTGCTGTTTTTTTACATCAAATCTTAAAACTTGAGGTAGAATAATATCGTTTGGTAACCCCCTGAGCATTTTAAAAATTACTTCAAATTCAATTGCATTCTAGAAAAATTTGCTTGACAACTAATATGCTTTTCTACAAATATTAAAGTTAGTAGCAATGTGCCATAATAGTTTTCATTACCTCTGTAGTCTGTTCTTGGAAAGCATAAAGAATACCATCAATCAGTTGTTCTTCAAGTTTATGATCAATATCTGCTGCTCCCAAATTACCCATAATTTTCTCAATTGTCTCCATCACCATTTTTCTGTACTGTTCGGCTTCATCTTTCAGATCATCCACAATCCTGGATATAATTTCTGCTGCACCTACTTTGTTTGCCAACTCCACAGTAGTATCAACTAACTAAAAAGAACAGAAAAACAAAAAACCTTTTAGACTGCTTTTCCAAGGAAATAAAGCAACATCATGAAAACCAAATACTCTAAATATACTACTTATTTAGCTAATAAACATGGTAAGAATGATTCATTGCTACTTATTAAAGTTGAAGAGAAAAGTGACCAAACATCGAAAAATGAGTATAAGTTAACATGATTCAAGGTAAAACTGTGTCCATGTTTCATCTAGCCAGATAAAGCACTGAATGTACCAGACAAAAACATCAATTCACAGTTAAGTATTAATCCTCGAATCCAAAATCAAAATGGAAGTTAACTGGCTGACTAAAATCCATCTCCTTTCATAATCAAGCACATATAAACTGTGAGATAATCAAGGCAAAAAATAATATACAACATGCATTCAAGTTGACTAAAGAATGAGTTGAAAGGACTTTTGAGAATATTCTTTTACAATAAAAGCTTACCTGTCGGTAATTTCTTCTATCCAAAGCCATCCTGTGCTGCCAGAAGTGTTTAAAAAAGGGAGGAAGAATCTCTGTTTTAATGTAGTTTGCTTCTACACCATCTGTCCCACAACACTGTTTTACCACCTAAAAGGTTAAGAAATAGTAATAATAAATCAACTGACCTGAAATGAAGAGAATACTCATTGCTGATTACGTGATTTTAAAAAATAAAATTTAAAAACAAATCAAACAGTATTCGTGTAACATACAGTTTTTTTTGTTGATTTTTAAAAACACTTTAAAATTCTGTTAGAACCATGAAACATATCCAGTTTACATTAACAAATCTGGAATAATTACCTTCAGCACAATTTTTTTCATTTCCTCATCAGGAGACTGGAATTCTCGAATAAGGATTAACATCACTTCTCTAGTATAGTAGTTGGCATATTCTGCATCCATAAGAGGAATAAGATACCCAATAGCCTTCAAGAAAGCAGCCAAACCCTATTTTTAAATAAAAAATATATGTACTTTAGTAATTTAGATTTATGTCGCCTTAACTTTAATGAAGATAAATCAAAAGGTAATTGGTGGATTTACCTTTCCTCTGTGTTGGCGGATACCCTTCCATAAAGGCTTTAACACAGAATCAAAAGATTCGATACCATAAGGAGTTGCTGCTTCAGCCAAGGCAGCAATGGCCAAAGCACTGATGGTCCGAACTTTCTGCTGCTCATCCACAAGACCTACAAAACCAAACACAGGTTTTAACTATGCCCCAACATTACCTAAGTTACACAATATCATCCAGATTCTCTCAATATATCAACTATTCAGCCAAACTGCAGAATATGTTCACATTAAACAAAATTAGGTAAAAGCAAAACATGAACCATAGCCTGTCAGCAGATAATATAACAAACCCATCATAAAATCTATAGTTTGTAGAGCTATGCCTTTCCATTTATCTCCCCAAATCAGTAGCCCAAATTTTAGGACAGCTGTCCTATTAAACATGGACAGGCTGTGTGTGTACCTCTAGTCCCAACTACTAAGGAGGCTGAGCAGGAGGATCACTTGAGCCCAAAGGTTTGAGTCCAGTCTGGGCAACATAGTAAGACCCTGTCTCCTAAAGAAAAAAAAAAAAAGACAAAGTTACATTACAACTTACCATGTTCAATGATTTCAACTAAACTTCTAAGATGTGGCAAGATGGCACAGCCCATAAGAATAGCTATCTGTTGTACAATCTTAATACCAGTGTGTCTCGCTTGCCAGGACTTCTTGCTTTTGCACACAGCTTTTAAGAAGGGCAATAAAGAAGGAATGCCCAGGGCAGAGGCTACAACAGCAAAAGCTCTAGCTGTTGTGTTACGGACATACTCATCCATGTTATCTATATCAGGTCTCATGGTAGAGATCATAGTAGCCAGACCAGCAGCCTAAAATGTAAACAAAGAAAGGACAGTCATGAGTTGGTAATATTAATCTTCAACCATTTCTTTCCATAATCAATTCCATAAACAGATATAAATTTTCTTCTCTAGAAATTAAATGTAAATACCTTTGCCAAATTAGAAATGATCTCTCGGCCTTCCACTCTAGCATAGTAATCTTCATCAATCAATAGCGGTTCAATGACCACGAGGATCTGAAAAAGAGAAAAGAGAAGAAGCTACACTTTCACATCAATTACTGATGAAATGCTCATGTACAGAATTAAACATACATAAGAAATTTAGAATTATCAGGACTTTTGTTAATCAAGGGACGAACTGTTTAAGAATTTTAATTATACAAGTTCAAACTCCAGACAGAGATGAAAATTTAAGAGAGCTATTAGTGACACACTAATATTCAATATTTTTTAAAGAAATAACTTATACACCCTATGAACATACTGCACCATAATTACCATCGGTGAAAAAACTGGTTCTTAATACTAACTGGCGTTAGTTCTCATATGTTCTCATCCTAATCTAATTTTAATAAAAGCAAATGAAAAAATTAAATAATATGAACCTCTTACGGCAAAGATGACAAAAACTAACATCTGTACATCTGTATAAAACTGTATTTGTACATGTATGGTGTGTACTTGTGCAAAGGAAAAGGTCTAGGAGAATATGTAAATTTAACATTGATTAACTGAAAAAGTTAAAACTTTAAACTATCAGAAACACTATTAAGGAGAACAAACCTTATGCACATATGGACGAACTAAGTCATCAAGTTTGTACAGTATCCTATCAATAACTTTCACAAGTAAATGACGCTCTTGATCCTCAAGTGTAGGAGACATCAGCAGAGGAAGAATCTGATTAAACAAAGGACCAGCTCCAAATTCACGAGCTTTATCAGTAATCTGACGCAATGCAGCCTGGGAAAAAGAGCAGAGTAATAGGTGTGGTTTCTTTATAATCAAACATTTTGAATGAGCAAATTACTCAAAGAAGATTTTCCATACTTTAATATTTTAGTGTTTACTTTTACACACATTTTACATAGACAGCATGAGTTCATTTCCATCCAAATTACTCTGGAATTTCAATTCCTGTGATAGAAATTTTATGTTAACTCAAAAGAGTAATTTAATAGAACGAACCACAGAGGTATGTACTAAATGCCTTCATTTCCCTGAAGTATCTTCCATTTCCAAGGCACATATAGTGTTAACATAATCCCTCACATAATTTCACTAATTATCTTCAAGCTTTAAGCATATTTTAAAGGCCTTAAGAACAAAAAGGAGAATCTCATTTTTCAGCATTTTTATTAGCTTTTTTAACCAAAGAATTTTGTGCTAACTCCAGCTGGGCACGGTGGCTCACACCTGTAATCCCAACACTTTCGGAGACTGAGGCAGGAGGATCTCTTGAGCCCAGGAGTATTTAAATAATAATAAAAACAAACGGCTGGGCATGGTGGTTCACACCTGTAATCCCAGCACTTTGGGAGACCGAGGCAGGTTAATCATTTGAGGCCAGGAGTTCAAGACCAGCTTGGCCAACATGGTGAAACCCCGTTTCTACTAAAAATACAGAAATTAGCAGGGCGTGGTGGTGCACGCCTGTAGTCCCAGCTACTTGGAAGGCTGAGGCACAATTGCTTGAACCCAAGAGGCGGAGGTTGCAGTGAGCCAAGACTACACCACTGCACTCCAGCCTGGGCAAGAGAGCAAGACCCTGTCTCAAAAATATATATATAATATTAATAATAAAAACAAGCAAAAAAGTTAAATCCTTCACACTACATAAATTTTTTCCCCTCATGCTATGTCCTTGATAAAGATGAAGACAGTAATTATAAATTCCTAAACACAAAAATATAACACTACCAAAAGTTAATTTTTTATGGGGAAGGCTTTCTAAATAACCTTTACCAATTTGGGCTATTTGGGAGAGTAAAGGAAAGACCACACTCCACAGCGGGCTATACCAATAGTTCACTACTATTTTGTGGTCTACATTTCCTGGTGAAAAAATTAAAAACATTTTTAAAAATATAAACATGGCCAGGTGCAGAGCCTCACACCTGTAATCCCAGCACTTTGGGAGGTAGGCCAAAGCAGGAGGATCACTTGAGACCAGCCTGGGCAACATGGCAAAACCCTGTCTCTACAAAAACTACAAATTTTTTTTAATTAAATAAATAAGCAACAAACATGACAATTTAACAAACTGGGACTTACCTTTCTCATTGGTGGTGTTCCATTCTTAATTTTTAAAAGCAACTTCATTATTTTTCTCTCTTTTTGCTCTTCTGGACTAAGTGTTGATTCATCAACATCAACCTATAGTAAAAAGAAAAAAATGTTAAGGGAAGTTGAAATGTTATGATTTATAATTCTGGAACACAATTAATAGTTTATTTCTGCTAGTATCACTTACCAATAGTTTATCAAAGTATTGAATATCATCAGGTTTTAAAAATGGAAGATTTCCAGATGGCTGGTCATTAACACTTTTCATAGTTCGATCTTCAGTTTGCATGTGGAAACCAGTCATACCACCCAAAGGTGTTGGAGTAGCTGTCAGCTTTCGAGCTGGAGTTCGAATAGGAACATAACCAGCTGGAGGAGGAAGTACCTAATAAAAGTTATAAGACAGTTTAGGATTTTCTTAACTTAAAAAACAGCATAATGAACAATATTTGCACTTAAAATATTTTAGTTTATTAGCTAATAAGGTTTTTATTTGCTTGGAGACAACATCTATCTTGCTTTTCTATCTTAATTAGAAACTTAAAATATATACTTCTCATCCACTAACTGATTATATCCGTGGTGTAGGGAACTGAGGAAACACAAGAGAAGAGCTTAGAAAATACTAATCACATTCAAACATGTTGTGGGTCAAAATGTCAAATTATTAAAAATTTGAAAATTATAAAATCTGAGTCAGCAATTCCAAAAAATGCTGTAGTCGAGCAAATAATGTTTCATAAGATTTATATAAAATGGAAATAAGCTCATATGGGGCATAAAACATAAAAAATTATATTTTAGTATTAAAATGTCACATAAATTCTTGCACTACAAAATCTTTTAAGTGTAAAACTCTACAAAAATTAGTTAAATGCATAAAAACTAAAACCAAAATGTTTGCCAAAGCCCTATAAAATACACACCACCTGATCAAACCTTTTGCAAAACGAGTAAAATTTCAAAAAATGCAGGCTGAAAATCACAAAGAAATTTTTTTTTTTTTTTTTAAAGCTGGTAACAGACTTCAAAAAAAAAAAACAACTTCTGGACAGGCCAGGATTACAGCACTTTGGGAGGCTGAGATGGGAGGAACGCTTGAGCCCAGGAGTTTGAGACCAGCCTTGGCAACATGGCAAGACCCCATCTCTATTTTATATAATTTAATATATAGTAAAAGAAAAAAAATACAACTTCTTGGAGAGGTCAATAAACCTATACACGTCTTCTCCAGTGAGCCTAAAATTGTTTTGTCTATTAAAGATTAAATTATGTTAAATTTATATTGATGCTATCTGTACTTTGCACAGATATTTTTTGTTGCTAGTTAACGTCTGCACCAGCACAGACCACTAAGCATTTTGGATAAAGTGGATACTCTAAAGATGTGAGGCCTAGAGAAATCAATGTCAAGTCCACAGGCATCACTTGCCATTAAGGATTTAAAGGTCTACTATATTTTTATATTCACTAGTAAGGACGTTGCTTATTAGTAGGATTCACTAAGGGAGACTTTTCCTCCTAGTGACACTAAGGAAATCAATGACTACGACTGAGAAAGACATGCAGGCAGTCAACAGTAAGTTCTGTCTATCTATACCCACAGTTCTATCTATACCCACAGCATTATGTGGAGGCTACAAAAAGCTTTAAGGCAAAACTTCATGCAAACTTGAAACAAATACTCTAACACAAATAACAGGGGATCAAAAACAAAACAAGGCTGGACACAGTGGCTCATGCCTATAATCCCCAGCAGTGTGGGAGGCCAATGTGGGTACTTTGAGCCTAGGAGTTTGAGACCAGCCTGGCAACACAGTGAGACTCCCGTATCTACAAAAAATAAAAAAATTAGCCAGGTATGGTAGTGCATGCCTGTAGCCCCAGCTACTCAGGAGGCTGAGGCAGGAGGATCACTTGAGCCCAGGAGTCCAAGGCTGCAGTGAGCTATGTCAGCGCCACTGCTCTCCAGTACGGGCAACACAGTGAGACCCTGTCTCTAAAACAAAACAAAACAACAAAAAACATACTCATGAACTGTTAAAAATCAATAGTCATTAACAGAAAAAGCTCTGTAAAGGCCATCAGATGACTTACAAAGTTATCTGGTTCCCCCTGGTTATGATGTCAGCTATACGACCACAGACTATCTTCAGACTAACAAATACTCCCTGAGTACCAGGTACCTAGAAAATTTTATAGTTCAAAATAAATTTTAGGTTGATATGATAAAAAGGCCAGGCACGGTAACTCACGCCTGTAATCCCAGCACTTTGGGAGGCTGAGAGGGACGGATCACTTGAGGTCAGGAGTTCAAGATCAGCCTGGCCAGCATGGCGAAACCCTGTCTCTACTAGAAATACAAAGATGAGCCGGGCATGGTGGTGGACACCTGTAATCCCAGGTACCTGGGAAACTCAGGCAAGAGAATCGCTTAAACCTGGGAGGCGGAGGTTGCAATGAGCCGAAATCACGCCACTGCACTTCAGCCTGGGCAACAGAGTGAGACTCCATCTTTTAAAAAAAAAAAAAAAAAAAAATTCTTTGTGTCCACTGACAATCCATAAACTTAAGTATATAAAATCTTGGTGAAGCACCAAGTAAAATAACCACAATCTCAACGAGCTTATTCCTGGGACTGCTAGAAAACTGAAGCACCAGCAGTTCTCAAAGTATAACCGATAGACCCATACACAAGTCTTTGAGATGTCTTTCAAAAAGTAATAAAAGTTTCATGTTGTTCATTTCTTTTCATCTCTATATGGAACTGAAATATACCTGGAAATAGCTAAGAGAATGGAATGACAATAGTAAATTTGGGCAAAGCCAATGCAAGCTTAATCAATTTTTTTCACTATTTAAAATAAATGTATATCCTAAATACCACCTCATTCAAATTTGATGTACTACCTTATATCCTTCTGGGAACATAGCATCTAATTCCTCATCAGAAAGTGGGCGATTTCTCTCATCAATTTCTCTTTCCCACCGCCAAGCCTGAAGCTGTTCAGGAGTCATACTCATTATGTGACCTACCAAGAAAAGCAAATTTTTATATAATCTATAGTACAAGACTGTATTATTACATACATTGAGATAAAAGACAGTTAAGATCAATCCTATTATTTGCTTTTATATTATAAACGCAAACCAAGACTTAAATTTGTATATCTCCTTATTCTTACTAGAAGTTGACATTAATAGTACACAGAATACCACAAAGGAAAAAATTAAATAATTTATGGAGAAAAAAACAATTATGTCCAATGAGACAGTTCTACCTGGAGTAGGGGTAGCCATGTTCATGGCTGGTGTGCCAATTGGTGTCTTTCCAGGGGTCAGAACTGGAGTGCTTCCACCCATCTGACTAGCTGGTGTTTCATCCCACCGTGATTTTCTTTTACTGGCTCCAGGAGTCGGTGTTTCACCAATAGAATCTCCACCTCGATCTGTTCGAGGAGTCTCAGCCCATCCACTTCCATGCCCAGGAGTATCTTTAAAAAGAAAGAGTGAGTAAAACCACAATTTTAATCACTGTTAAAATAATATTCTTTATTCTCAAACAGTTATACTCAAAACTATCAAGTTCTAAAATAGAATATTCCTAAAATGGTGACCCATTTAAAGTTGTTTGAGACCAGCCTGATCAACATGATGAAACTCTGTCTCTACTAAAAATACAAAAAGTAGCCAGGTGTGGTGGTGGGCGCTTGTAATCCCAGCTACTCAGGAGGCTGAAGCAAAAGAATCACTTGAACTGGGGAGGCAGAGGTTGCAGTCAGCCGAGAGCGCACCACTGCACTCTAGCTTGGGTGACAGAGCAAGACTCCATCTCAACAACAACAACAAAAAAAGTAAATTTGATGTTATGTACATTTTTCCATAATAAAAAACAAAGGGTAAGTCAGGCACAGTGGTTCATGCCTGTAATTCCAACACTTTGGCAGATCACTTGAAACCAGGAGTTCAACACCAGGCTGGGCAATGAAGCAAGACATTGTCTCTACAAAAAATTTAAAAATTAGCCAGGGGCCGGAAGCGGTGGCTCATGCCTGTAATCCCAGCATTTCAGAAGGCCGAGGGGGGCAGATCATCTGAGGTCGGGAGTTCGAGACCCGCCTGACCAGCATAGAGAAACCCCGTCTCTACTAAAAATACAAAATTAGCCGGGCTTGGTGGCGCATGCCTGTAATCCCAGCTACTCAGGAAGGCTGAGGCAGGAGAATCGCCTGAATCCGGGAGGTGGAGGTTGCAGTGAGCTGAGATCGCGCCATTGCATTCCAGTCTGGACAACAAGAGCAAAACTCCATCTCAAAAAAAAAAAATTAGCCAGGCATGGTGGCATGCCCCTATAGTCTCAGCTACTAAGAAGGCTGAGGTGGGAAGATCACTTGAGCCTAGGATGTCAAGGCTACAGTGAGCAAGACCCTATCTCTAAAGAAACACACAAAATCAAAGGTTACAGCCTACTAACTTTACTTTTACCTAAGGTTCTTCCTTAAATCTTAAACCACTTCAAGAAGTGGAAAAAATTAGGCATATGAACTGTTCTATTCTTAATCTGTCCCCCAAAAGCAGCTGGTTATTTATACGTGTCCACCCAGGAATAAACAGAACACATTTCAGTCTGTAAACATATCACTCAACATTTCACCCACACACCCATACTCCACTAGAAGTACCTCTCTCTGTTTTGGGGGTTTCATCCCATCTGTTTTTACGAGCACTGGAAGTTGCGCCTCCATGGCCTGGTGTCGCATGGCCTGGTGTATCACCTCGTCCAGGAGTAGCAGCTCCCGCTGGTGTGTGGCTAGGTGTAGGATCCCATATTTTTGAGCCTGGGGTTGCTCCAGGAGTCTCGCTTCCCTTTGCACGACCTGGTGTCTCATCCCATCTTAAGGAAGGAGTATGCCCAGGGGTCTTAAAAAAGCAAAAAAATTTTATTTCACACACCCACACAGAAATAATTAGAAAATTTCCATAAAATAAAAAACTTTAAACGAAAAATGTTTTAGTTCTATGCACTATAATTAATGAAAAGTTAGAAGACACTACCTCTACTTATAGGAAAAGATACCTACTTTCTAGCAAATGTTTATGATTAAAAACAATGTAAAGTTTCAATCCGAAGCACTGACAAAAGTCCCAGCTTAAAAAAACAAAATATTATCGATATGAATCTTTGATATGCCATTAATAGCTCTGTGACTGGGGGAAATCACTGAGGTTTCTCTATCTAGATCAGTAATCGAAGGCTTTCAGCTCTAATTACATTAGTACTTCTCAAAGTGGGGCTTAGAGACACATATTTAGGGGAGAAGGAATTCGTGTGTTCTAAGAAAATAGTCCTGTTGATGTTTTGTTTAATTGTGTGTGTTTAATTAATATAAACATGCTTTAGATCACCTATGTAATTTTTTTTTTTTTTTTTTTTTTGAGACAGAGTCTCGCTCTGTCACCCAGGCTGGAGTGCCGGGGCATGATCTTGGCTCACAGCAACCTCTGCCTCCCGGGTTCAAGTGATTCTCCAGCCTCAGCCTCCTGAGTAGCTGGGGTTACAGGTGCCTGCCACCACGCCGGGCTAATTTTTGTATTTTTAGTAGAAACAGGGTTTCTCCACGTTGGTCAGGCTGGTCTCGAACTCCTGACCTCGTGATCCACCCACCTTGGCCTCCCAAAGTGCTGGGATTACAGGCGTGAGCCACCGCACCAGGCCCCACCTATGTAATTATAACCAGATACCGTCACATGATTTCAATCTTGAGATCAGTTTGTATGTACAGTTACATGTGTACCAAATAATATTACCCTAGCTGATGCTGGCAAGATTAATGAAAAAAGATGAGAGGTGGATTTTCATTTGTTTTTTGACACAGGGTCTCACTCTGTCGCCCAGGTTGAGTGCAGTGGCACAATCACGGCTCACTGCAGTCTCCACCTACCAAGCTCAAGTGATCCTCCCATGTCAGCCTCCTGAGTAGCTGAGACTACATACAGGCGCACACCACCACACCCAGTTAATTTTTTATTTCTTGGAGAGATAAGAGTCTTACTATGCTGCCCAGGCTGAGAGGTGGGTTTAAGTAACATCAAGGGTTCCACAGTAGTTCAAACAGAGAGTAATAGTTGGACAACTGACTGCATGTAATAGCAAAAGAATCTCCACCAATAAAGATAGTATCATATCAAAGTAGCATAGAGTTGAGTGTAAAGAAAACAAAATTTGTACTTATATACTGCCTCGTAAGTATTCCACAGGATGTGTAATGTACTTTATATATTTGTTTTAAAGTTGGGAGCTCTTGGCCGGGTGCGGTGGCTCACACCCGTAATCCCAGCACTTTGAGAGGCCGAGGCGGGCGGATCACAAGGTCAGGAGATAGAGACCATCCTGGCTAACATGGTGAAACCCCGTCTCTACTAATACAAAAAAAATCAGCCAGGCGTTGTAGCGGGTGCCTGTAGTCCCAGCTACTCGGGAGGCTGAGGCAGGAGAATGGTGTGAACCCGGGAGGCAGAGTTTGCAGTGAGCCGAGATAGCACCACTGCACTCCAGGCTGAGCGACAGAGTGAGACCCCGTCTCAAAAAAAAAAAGAAAAAAAGTTGGGAAAGTTGGGAGCTCTTATAGACACAAGGACTTCATCTACCTTTATGTTTGCAAATTTGCATGGTACCATTAAACAAGTTTAAGACTCAATAGTTTTTCCCTTAAAAACATACTACTCAGGGCTGGGCATGGTGGTTCATGCCTGTAATCCCAGCACTTTGGGAGGCCAGGCAGGCAGATCAATTGAGGCCAGGAGTTGAGACCAGCCTGGCCAACATGGCAAAAGCCCATCTCTACTAAAAATAAAAAATAAAAATAAATAAAAATAGCTGGGTGTGGTGGTGCACACCTGTAATTCCAGCTACTCAGGAGGGTGAGGCATGAGAATTGCCTAAACCCAGGAGGCGGAGGTTGCAACAAGCCAAGATCACGCCACTGCACTCCAGCCTGGGTGAGAGTGAGACTCTGTCTCAAAAAAAAAAAAAAAAAAAGATTTTACTATTACTCAGGGTTGAAAAATTCTGGATTAGGTAAATAAAGCACACAAATTGTTTAAAATCTCCATTCTGGCATCTGTCCCTCCTGCTGAATTATAAGGAAAGGTGGGAAATGAATTCTATTATCTATTGTAATTCCTACAATTATGACTAGGGTACAGTTGTATTAAATGAACAGAATTTTTAAAAAAGTCTGAGTCTCTGATTTAATTTATTTATTTATTTATTTATTTATTTATTTGAGACAGAGTCTCACTCTGTCACCCAGGCCAGAGTCCAATGGCGCAGTCTCGGCTCCCTGCAACCTCTGTCTCCCGGGTTCAAGCGATTCTCCTGCCTCAGCCTCCTGAGTAGCTGGGATTACAGGTGCCTGCCACCACACCTGGCTAATTTTTTGTATTTTTAGTAGAGACGGGGTTTCACCATGTTGGCCAGGATGGTCTCAACCTCTCGACCTCAGGTGATCTGCCCGCTTGGCCTCCCAAAGTGCTGGGATTACAGGCGTGAGCCACCGCGTCTGGCCGAGTCTCTGTAGTTTTTATAAGAAAGATATCAGCATATCAGCTCTCATGCCAGGCGCAGTGGCTCACACGTGTAATCCCAGCACCTTGGGAGGCCAAGGCGGGTGGGTCACCTGAGGTTGGGAGTTTGACACCAGCCTGGCCAACACTGCGAAACCCTGTCTCTACTAAAAGTTAGCCAGGCGTGGTGGCAGGCACCTGTAATCCCAGCTACTTGGGAGGGTGAGGCAGGAGAATCACTTGAACCTGGGAGGTGGAGGTTGCAGGGGACCAAAATCATCACTCTAGTCTGGGTGACAGAGCAAGACTGTTGTCTCAAAAAAAAAAAAAAAAAAAAAAAAAGATATCAGCTCTTGTGTCTAGTTATGTGCATACAGTTAAACAATTAACAGGAGGACAAACTTCTTTCTCTTTCTCAAACTTAGTACTGAATGTCATCCATAGAATTAAAGTTACTAGTTACTTGGCTGGACATGGTGGCTCATAACTGTAATCCCACCACTTTGGGAGGCCAAGGTGGGGGGATCACTTGAGGCCAGGGGTTCAAGACCAGCCTGGCCAACATGGAGAAACCCTGTCTCTACTAAAAATACAAAAATTAGCTGGGCGTGATGGCACATGCCTGTAATCCCAGCTACTTGGGAGGCTGAGGCACAAGAGTCACTTGAGTCTGGGAGGCGGAGATTGCAATGAGCTGAGATTGCACCAATGCACTCCAGCTACCCATGGGTGACAGAGCAAGACTCTGTCTCAAAAATTAAAATTAAAATTAAAAATAAAGCTAGTAGTTACTTATATTGAACAGAACCAAATCCCTCCTACATATAACCAAGCAAATGAGAAGTCCTCACCTTAAACTAAATTGTTTAGAAATTATGTATTAGGTTTTATATATCCCTGTTCTGGGTTTGGGGAAATACTGCATGATCTGATAGGTTTTTTCTTGGTTTATAAATTAAATCTATAGCAGTCTAGGCTAGAGCTAATAGTGATTTAGACTAGGATGGTAGAGGCAGAGATCATGAAAAGTGGCTAGCTCTTTAATATATTTAAAGGTGATGCCAAGAAAATGTATATGGGTAGGATATGGGGTAAGAGAATAAGGAGTATAGGATGACTCCCTAAATGTTTTTTTGTTATTGTTGTTCTTGTTTTGTTTTGTTTTTTTTTTTGAGACAGAGTCTCGCTGTGTCGCAAGACTGAAGTGCAGTGGCACGATCTCCTCTCACTGCAACCTCCACCTCCCGGGTTCAAGTGATTCTCCTGCCTCAGCCTCCCAAGTAGCTGGGATTACAGGTGCCCGCCAACATGCCGGGCTAATTTTTGTATTTTAACTAGAGTCGGGGTTTTCACCATGTTGGCCAAGCTGGTCTTGAACGCCTGACCTCAAATGATCCACCCACCTTGGCCTCCCAAAGTGCTGGGATTACAGGCCTGAGCCACTCTGCCCAGCCCTTAATGTTTTGCTTGAGCCAAACAGACACAGGAAAGACCAGGGGAGCAGGACTGAGAAGACATGTATGCGAAGAAAATCAATAATTTTCTTTTAGAAATACTGATTTTGAAATGCCCATTGAACAGCCAAATAAATACGTCAAGCTGAACAAATACGCAAGTCTGCGGAACAGAAGCAGAGGACAGATTTGTAAGTTTGGCAGCTATCTTATACAAACGGTACATAAAGACAAGAATGAGATCCTAGGGATTGAGCACAGATGGAAAAGAATCCAAAAGACTCAGCACTACTATAACACCCCAAAGTTCAGAGGTAAGAAGAATGAGGATCCAGCAAACAAGACTAAGGAGTAGTAGCCACTGAGATTTTGAGGGGAAGCAAGAAAGACTAAAACCCAGAGACTGAGAGAGAAAAGGGTATGAAGAAATGTCAAATATTCTTGGTATGCTAAATCATGTGAGAAATGAAAATACACTTTTTAAATTTATCAATTAGGGGCCAAGTGACCTTGACAAGAGATTTTAGGTGGAATAGACTAGAACTACATAAAAAGACTAGAAATTACATAAGACTAGAACTATGTAAGCAGGGAAAGCAAGTACAAACAACTCATTCAAGGCATCTGTGGCTCATGCCTGTAATCCCAGCACTTTGCAAGGCTGAGGCAGATGGACTGCTTAAGCCCAGGAGTTTGAGATCAGCCTGGACAACATGGTGAGACCCGTTTCTACAAAAAAATAAAAAACTAGCCAGGCATGGTGGTACGTGTCTATAGTCCCATCTACTTGGGGGGTTGAGGTGGGAAGATCATTTGAGCCCAGGAGGTGGAGGCTGCAGTGAGCTATTATTGCGCCCCTGCACTCCAACCTTGGCAACAGAATGAGACCCTACCTCAAGAAAAAAACAAAGAACAAAGCACTTTGTTCTAAAAAGATATAGAAACAGGATTGTAGCTGAATGCGGATGTGAATGGGGTTAAGAGATGTTTTCTGCAGGTTTTTTGTTGCTGTTATTAAGACAAAGCACGATAAAACATGTTTGCTGGTGCTGATAATCTAGTATGGAGAAAAAAATTAATGGTACATGATGAGAGTCTCCAAGAGGGGAAGGGAAATGGTGCATAAGCAAAAGAGTAGCTTTAATTATTTATTTATTTATTTTGAGACAAAGTCTCACTCTGTTGCCCAAGCTGGAACACATTGGCGTAATCTCAGCTCACTACAACCTCCACCTCCCAGGTTCAAGTGATTCTCCTGTCTCAGCCTCCCAAGTAGCTGGTACTACAGGCACACGCCACCATGCCCAGCTAATTTTTTTTGTATTTTTAGTAGAGACAGGGTTTCACTACGTTGGCCAGGCTGGTCTTGAACTCCTGACCTCAAGATCCGCCTGCCTTGGCCTCCCAAAATGCTGGGATTACAAGCGTGAGCCACCGCACCCAGCCGCTTTATTTTTCTAGCAATGATTAAATATTTTCAAGTGCTTTCTAAAAAATCAATTTTAAAGACCTTTCTATTCAGGATAATGACAAACATAATAAAGGCACATATGACAGTTTAACATAATTAGCTACTTTTATGCAGCACTTATATCTTTTAGTCTGCAAGTATATTATTAAATGATAGAAAACATCTAATACAACCATTTCTACAGAACTAGGAAATACATTTCTAAGAAAGATTTTACAGATGCCATCGTTTTGTTTTTTTGAGACAGGGTCTTACTCTGTCACCAGGCTGGAATGCAGCGGCATGATCATAGCTCACTGCAACCTCTACCTCCGGGGATCAAGGGATCCTCCCACCTCAGCCCCCACCACCCCCCATACCCCAGTAGCTGGGACTACAGGCATGCACCACTATGCCCAGCTAATTTTTTTTTTTTTTTTTGTAAAGACAGGGTCTCCCTCTGTTGCCCAAGCTGGTCTCAAACTCCTTGAGCTCAACCAATCCTCCCACCTGGACCCCCAAAGTGCTGAGATTATAGGCATGAGCCAATGCATTCAGCCTCCAAAACAAATGTTTAAAAAAAAAAAAAGGTAGGAGAGTAGACTGGCCAAGAGAAAGGAGTAGCATTGACTATTTGCTGCCAGTAGTGAGGGGCTTAAGTTATCTATCCAGAAGATAAGGAAGACCACTATATCATACTCAACCTCCACAATGTAACATACCTACAGGTCTGTATTTAATATTCTAAAAAGAACTTTCCTTATTCCATAATATGGACTAAATTGCATGCCCCTCAAAATCTGTATGTTGAAGTCCTAACCCCCAGTGTGACTGTATTTGGAGACTGGGCCTTTAGGGAGGTAAATTAAGGTCAAATGGGGTCATGAGGGTGGGGCCCTAATCTAGTAAGACTGATGTCCTCATAGGAAGAGCATGGACAACAGAGCTTGCTGGCACAGAGAAAGGCCATGTGAGGACACAGCAAGAAAGCCCTCAACAAACACCAACCCTGTTGGCACTCTGATCTTGGATTTCAAGCCTCCAGAACTGCGAAAAAAATCAATGTCTGTTGTTTAAGGCACCCAGTCTGTGGTATCTTGCTATGGCAACCCAAGCAGACTAATACAGTCCATAACAGAAAAAAATTTTTTAACAGTAATAACAAAAAACAAAAAGAAATTACCTCTGCCTGATCCCAACTTGATAGTTTTTTGGGAGTGGCACCAGGAGTCTGATCAGCTGTTTGATCCCAACGCCGTTTTCGTTTTGATGGAGGCTGGGACGCTGCTGCTCCATTGACGACTTTTAGTTCTCCAGCTTTAGCTTTTTCTGCTAGCTGTTGCCTAATTTCTCGCTGAAAAAAACAGTGAGTATTTACCTTTAAAATGCTTTCAATGTATTTTTCTACCATTAGCGCAATCACTTCCACTTAACATCCTATTTTATACTTTGCTCATTCTCTTTTCTATGTACTGGTGATCTCCTTTCTACGCTCGCTGGTTCCATAGTCTGTGCGTCTTTATTTCGTTTTACATAATGCCTTTCTAAACAAAAGATAAGCAAGTTCAGAATTCGTAACATAGCACACTGTAGTTTATATACTGGAGGTGAAGTAAAATCTTCAGTCAACAATGGAGAACCATAATGCTTCCACTGAAAAATAGGGTTTTCTTCAAAACTCATATAAATAGCAATTAAGACTATGGAACAAGATAGAAAAATGGTAAAAGATAAAAATAATAAAATTGTTTTATTTATACTGACAAATTATGTAAATATGCATAGTGATAATGGATGCACATTTAATTCACTCTGTACTGTTAAAATGGGGTTTTACCATCCCATTTAACTCATTCAACATATAAAATCTATTATATATTCATAATAGTAATGGAGGAGGCTGGGTACGGTGGCTCACACCTGTAATCCCAGCACTTTGAGAGGTTAAGGCGGGCAGATCACCTGAGGTCAGGAGTTCGAGACCAGCCTGGCCAACATAACGAAACCCCACCTCTACTAAAAAAAAAAAAAAAAAAAAGAAATATGAAAATTAGCCAGGCATGGCGGTGCACACCTGCAATCCCAGAAACTCGGGAGGCTGTGGCAGGAGAATCGCTTGGACCCAGGAGGCAGAGGGTGCGGTAAGCTGAAATCGCACCACTGCACTTCAGCCTGGGCAACAAAGGAAGACTCCACTCAAAACAAACAAACAAAAAGTAGGCAGTTATTAGACAAAATGGCATAATCTCTGTAGGCCAAAAGGAATTATTCAAAATTCTCCACTTACATCCAAACCGAAACTTACAGAATCTCACACTGAACTCTGACTTTTCCCTAACATACTGAGTTCAGATACACACCATCAACCTTCTCCACACAGAAACCACCCCTGTAATGGCCAGGCACAGTGGCTCACACCTGTAATCCCAGCACTTTGGCAGGCCGAGACAGGCAGATCACCTGAGGTCAGGAGTTTGAGACCAGCCTGGCCAACATGGTGAAACCCCATCTCTACTAAAAATACAAAAATTAGCTAGGCATGGTGACACACACTTGTGTTCCCAGCTACTCGGGAGGCTGAAGTGGGAGGATAACTTGAACCTGGGAAGCAGAGATTGCAGTGAGATGAGATCACGCCACTGCACTCTAGCCTGGATGACAGAGTGAGACTGTGTCCAAAAAAAAAAAAAAAAAAAAAAAAAAAAAATCCCTTGTGAGACACATACATACAAACATATACAGCCAAGGGGCCCAGGACTAGAAAAGGATATAGAAATGAAAAGTTTTACTTGGAAGGTGGTATAATTTGGGGGTAAGATTCTTTCTCAGTTAATTTTTATTAATACTATTATTTGTGCAGCAAATAGCAAAAAAGAAACCTAACAGTCTCTCAATCACAACTGTATTTATATTCTTTCACAACCATTAAAACAGGAGACAGGTTTACATACTTCTTCTTTAGTCAAGTGTTGTTCTCGCATTACATCCATGTAAGTCCTAGCATTCATTTTAGGATCAGGGGTTTTCCCTCCTGCAGAAAAGAACAGCAACAGGAAAAAGAGTACAATAAATAAAAAATAAGCAGGTTCAACTGATTTATCTGCCCTGCTCTAAATATTATGTTATTCCATAATCATTTAAATTATTTTTTGATGGAAAACTTTAATAATTATACATCTTACTTTTTATTGAGTTTGCTGATCAATTTAACCTGTTTGAACACAAACATCTACAGCAGTTTAAAACAAATATTTTAATGCATATAAAAACAAAATGACAGCACAGTTTAGAGTCTTCAGAAGTGATGGGTTCCTGGGTTGCTAATCCGGAATACGTACACTTTCGTGCCTTTGTCTCCATCAGCAGTTCTGACTTCAAGCAGCAGAATAGAAGCCTAGAAAATTATCTCTTTACCATTAGTAACACTTTGGAAAGATATTTATATTCAAAACATTACCTGTTGCAAGCTGTTAAAATCCTGACTACAAATAACTATGACTAGATAAGTTCTTCATACAGTGTTCTAAAACAATTGTAGTTTAGAAAATCTGATTTTAAAAATATACCTATAATCTTATTCTGATGTCACGTTACTAAAAAGGGCTTCATGCTTTAAGTTTTGTTGACCCAGAAAACATATTTTTATTTCTTAGAAAGCATAAATTAAAACTGGAAACATATTACTTTAAATATATTACTTCTACCAGTTATTATGATGCACACAGAAGCAACGTGGTGTACAAAGAGATGTGTCAGTCTCTTGGTTAAAGTTTCAGTATTTGCTTTTCAAACTTCAAAATATCTTACAGAAGCCCAAACAGTATATAACAAGATTCACAGAGGCACACTATGCTTTAGAAATGTGGTAACTAGCTATACAAGTAGTATAGCATCACAATTTAGGAAAAAATAATAAAATTCTAAGACATTTCCTATGCTGAAGATCATGCCCAATTGGTAGTGTCATTCTTTCTGACACTAGCTCTGATAAGACTTCCTTTGGAATACTTTTTCACCATAATCTAGAGAGGATGTGTTGAACTGCACCCTTAAGAATGCAGACAGGACTGGCATATAGCAGTACTGCTGTAGGAAAGAAATTAAGGACAGTTAGTATGGGCCTGTGAATTCTGGCATACATGTTTAAATCAATTACAATTATGCAAGTAAAAAAAGAATATCCCTACTAATTCATGCAGGCTGAAAAGTCTAGTATGTAAACCTGCAGCAGAATCTAATTTTAAGAAACAGGCACCTAATTTTGATTGTGAAACTCACTCACCTGAGGAAAGCTTCCATCAGGCTCACTATGCCCCTTGTGCTGACTTGCACACTAAAATTAGCAAAACAGACTCCAACTATTAAAAATATCAAACTCTTCGTATACATACTTTTGTTTTAACTTTAAGTATGCTTAGAGCAAAGTAGGTGCCTTTACTAAGCTATATTTAGAGCACTATGGGGGGAGCTCTAGTGTGAGAAACAGTTTCTCAAGGGTAACAATCCTAAAAATCTAGGATTTGGAATGAAAACTTTCAATAATTTGAAAGTATTTTGAGCAGAAAAATACATTTGATCCAAGTATAGAAAGCGTACCCAAAACAAAAGTAAAAGTAAAACCTTTAACCCTTTGCGTTTCTATGGCATTGGCTCATTTTTTTCTTGTCCTTCTACCTGGAAAGAAAACTTGCATTATAAAGATGAAGAATATGGCATCTGTGACTTCAACCACATCTATACAAATCTATAGTAAGGGGGATTTTTAAAAAGAAAAGCAAATTCAGAAGCATGCCAAAAAAAATCAAAGGGCTAAAGACAACTTAATACAAATAAATTTCTGAATACTTATAGAAAAGTGGGAAAGAATTACCATCTGCAAAAGGATCAAGACGCTCTGGGGAAATTATCATGGTCCGCCTATGCTTTTTGTATTCATCTTCCCGGTCTGCAATCTTTGGAGGTCTGTGCTCAGCAAATGGATCATACTGAAAAGAGGTATGTCTCACTTAATATCCACTTTATTAAAATAACAAAACAGAATATCATAAACAAAAATCAGAACACCATAAAGCACAAATGTTTAATACATGCCTACTAATATTCTGTACCGTTTCACAGATAAATGTTAAATATAAAAAAATAAGGCACATGGAAACAAGGTAATATACATATCCACATTTCCATAGTTCAATGCTTCATTAAATGATTACAGCCAGGCATGACAGCCTGTGTGTATAATCTCAACTACTTGGGAGGTTGAGACAGGAGGAATCCTTGAGCCCAGGAGTTTGGGATCAGCCTGAGCAAGACAGCAAAACCTTGTGTCAAAAAGAAAAAGATTACACCTTTACAAAATAAGTTATTATTTATAATTATCCTTAAAGCATCCTAAAATTTATGGATTTCTATGGGAACTCAGACATTCACTTTTCTTTAGCTGAATAAACTATGCTTTTAAAATGAAAGATCACCTGTTCTGTTGACTGTGGTATATCATTAAGCAATGCCACAGGGGCATGATATCCTGGCTTCTTCTGACCAAGCAAACTCGTAGATGATGAATAGTCATCGTCATCCTGCAATGAAAACCCCCCAAAAAGCCATAAACAAAATGTTAGAACTTAAAAATTAGAAAGAATATGCAAAGATTCAAAATGAAATCAAAAGATCTATTGACAGTGTGATGTCTAAGCCCTCCTTCATAAAACTTAGAAACACAATTGGTCTTCTTTCACTTCAAAAATCTATTAAATTCAATTCAGTAAAGTTATCTTTACTTTTAAAATGATTAAGCAAGGAATATTTTCTATAGACGTCAATTAAGATAAAGTAGGTATGGACTAGAAAAACCTGTGCATTTAATTTTTTCACAGAAGACAAAATGTTTTTTCAATTTGATAACTACAGCTTATTTTAGAACTTTCTACTTTCTTTTTTTAACTCATGTTTTTTAACACAATTTAACAACCATAGAAACAAATATTTAATTTTAAATTTATTTGCCCCTAGTAGTATGTTTAAACAGAACAATGTTATACTGTTACTTTTCTAGTATAAAAAGTACAACTGTTTGGGAGGCCAAGGTGGGAGAATGGCTTGAGTGTAGGAGTTTTGAGACTAGCCTAGGCAACAGAGACCCAGCTGGGCAAGGTGGCTCACATCTATAATCCCAACACTTTGGGAGGCCGAGGCAAGGGACTAATTGAGCCCAGGAGTTCAAGACCAGCCTGGGCAACATGGTGAAACTCTGTCTCTACCAAAAAAAATACAAAAATTAGCCAGGCGTGGTGGTGTGCATACGTAGTCCCAGCTACTCAGGAGGCTGAGGTGGGAAAATTGCTTGATCTCGGGAGGCGAAGGCTATAGTGAGGCATGATCTGGCCACTGCCTTTGGTCTGGGCAACAGAGCAAGACTTTGTCTCCAAAAAACAAAACCACATACATAGTGAGATCTCATCTCTATTGTAATAAAAATAAATAAAAAATAAAAAGTGCAACACGGGGTAATTCTCCAGATCTTAACACCTCACTTATTTTATTTAAAGATAAAGTGACAATTTCCCCCTCAGCTTCTGAAACCTATAGCTATCACTTTCTTTTACAATTAGGGTATGAGACCCCCAAATAAAGTGCTAACTAGTCCATGACTGGCTTCTAGAAATTTCACCTTTTGGGATTTTTAAATTTCTCTCAAGAAAAAAAAAAGAGGAAGAGAGCCAACTATAAAATGTGACTTGAATTTCTTAAAAATAACCAGTTGGCACCGCATGTTCTCACTCCTAGGTGGGAACTGAACAATAAGAACACCTGGACACAGGATGGGGAACATCACACACCGGGGCTTGTCATGGGGTGGGGGTAGGGGGGAGGGATAGCATTGGGAGATATACCTAACGTAAATGACAAGTTAATGGGTGCAGCACACCAGTATGGCACATGTATACATACGTAACCTGCACATTGTGCACATGGACCCTAGAATTTAAAGTATAATAATAATAAAAAAAGAAATATACATCACCTATCCAAAAATTAAAAAAAAATAAAAAATAACCAGGCGCGGTGGCTCACGCCTGTAATCCCAGCACTCTGGGAGGCTGAGGCAGGTGGATCACGAGCTCAGGAGATCGAGACCATCCTGGCTAACACGGTGAAACCCCGTCTCTACTAAAAATACAAAAAATTAGCCGGACTTGGTGGCAGGCATCTGTAGTCCCAGCTACTCGGGAGGCTGAGGCAGGAGAATGCTATGAACCCTGGAGGCGGAGCATGCAGTAAGCCAAGATTGCACCACTGCATTCCAGCCTGGGCAACAGAGTGAGACGAAAAAAAAAAACCAGTTTGATAATCTATATACATAAAATAAAATTTATCTGTAACTGAATCACCAAATTTGGAGTTTGGAATGGTCTGATAAAATATAAGCTACCTGGAATACATAAAAAATGCTTTGAGGGAACAGATTTCAAAATGAAAGGCAGTCCTCCTCCATAGGAATTCAAACAGACATGAAAAGCTCATCAATATCAGTACTAAGAAAAATTCCAGGCTGGGCGCAGTGGCTCAAGCCTGTAATCGCAGCACTTTGGGAGGCCAAGGCAGGTGGATCACCTGAAGGCATGAGTTCCAGACCAGCCTGGCCAACATGGCAAAACCCCATCTCTACTAAAAATACAAAAATTAGCCAGGCATGGTAGCAGGCGCCTGTAATCCCAGCTATTTGGGAGGCTGAGGCAGGAGAATCACTTGAAACCGGGAGGCGGAGGTTGCAGTCCACTGCACTCAAGCCTGGATGACAGGTGAGACTGTCTCAAAAAAAAAAAAAAAAAGATAAGAAAAGAAAATCCATTCACATTAAGATACCAAGAGGAGAAAAACAGTATCAAGTACAAGTCAGTAATCAAATCACAAGGACAGATGGCTATTTACAATTAAGTCACTTCTCACACAGGCTACTCTAGATAGAGCTGATAAGTAATGGTAGGGATTTACTTTACTCTTAACTTTATAAAGGTAATGGCTGGCAGGTGCTTCACTGGATAAACAAACTAGTCTTTACCATAAATTCTCAGAACAAAGCATTTCCAGTGAAGTTTCTGAACCTTAGAGAGGATACCTCCAGTAGTTTTATCCTCTAAAAGATCCCAAAAATGTTTCTCCAGATTAAACCAGATGGCTGCAACAAAAGTTATTCATATTTCTTGCTCTCTCAAAAAAATAACTGCCTCTTGTACATAATTTGTAACTTACATCTTCAAGTTCAGTTGCAGCAATTGATGTCACGTATCCAGCAAATCTGCTGTCACTTCCACCATAAATTTCCTGGTCATAATAACCTGTAGAATCGAGGCCCACTCCTTGAGCTTCATCAAGAGCTGCCTTCTTGCCTTGAATTTCTCGAATCTGTGCTTCAATATCTATAAAAAGATAACACAGACTTTCTTAATTTCACTTTCCAAAAGAACTCCCAACACAATGCATTTCTTTACTAGGTAATTATCAAAATACTCTCTTAAATACAGAAAATGTACAATAATTGCACCATATAAGAGACTAGTAATCACAACAGCGTAAGCAAGCTCTAGAAATTAAACCATGATAGGCTGGGCATGTGGCTCACGCCTACAATCCCAACACTTTGGGAGGATGAGGTGGGCAGATCTGGGTGCTGTGGCTCACGCCTATAATCCCAACACTTTGGGAGGAGGAGGTGGGCGATCACTTGAGGTCAGGAGTTCGAGACCAACCTGGCCAACATATAGCGAAACCCCGTCTCTACTAAAAAATACAAAAAGTAGCTGGGCGTGGGGGCATGCACCTGTAGTCCCAGGTATTTGGGAAGTTGAGGCAGGAGAATCACTTTAACCCGGGAGGCGGAGGTTGCAGATCACACCACTGCACTCCAACCTGGGTGACAGAGCAAGACTCTATCTCTCAAAAAAAAAAAAAAAAACCGTGACAAAATATCATCTAACAAACATATAACCTAGCTTAAAATGTCCCCAGTTGCCCTAGTAACAGCTTCTATAGATTCTTTTTTAACCCATGATCCAATCAAGCACCATACACTGCATTTAGTTGTCACTCTTTGCTCTTCTTTAAATACAGACTAGTCTTCCATTTTGTAGTCTTTCCTGACACCAGGTTAATTTTGCAAAGTAATGTTTTGTTTTAATAATCTAAATAATACATAGATGTATAAAGAAATAGTTTCGATTGCAAAAGATTTCCATGGCCTGACAAATAGCTGTTTAAATTCTTGCCAGCCCATGCTGAATTAAGCCCTTTGACACCAGGCACTTTTAAAAAGCTTACTTGCTGGCCGGGCGCGGTGGTCCACGCCTATAATCCCAGCACTTTGGGAGGCCAAGGCGGGCGGATCACCTGAAGTCAGGCATTCGAGACCAGCCTAGCCAAGATGGTGAAACCTCCTCTCCAGTAAAAATACAAAGTTAGCCAGGTGTAATGGCGCACGCCTCTAGTCCCAGCTACTCAGGAGGCTGAGGCAGAACTGCTTGAACCCGGGAGGCCAAGGCTGCAGTGAGCCGAGATCACGTGCCACTGCACTTTAGCCTGGGCAAAGAGCAAAACTCATCTCAAATAAATAAATAAATGAATAAAAATTAGGCCGGGCGCAGTGGCTCACACCTGCAATCCCAGCACTTCGGGAGGCCGAGGTGGGCAGATCACCTGAGGTCAGGAGTTCAAGACCAGCCTGGCCAATGTGCTAAAACCCCGTCTCTACTAAAAATACAAAAATTAGCCGGGCATGGTGGCAGGCGCCTGTAATCCCAGCTACTCGGGAGGCTGAGGCAGGAGAATCACATGAACCCGGAAGGTGGAGGTTGCAGTAAGTCGAGATCACGCCATTGCACTCCAGCCTGGGCGACAAGAGCGAAACTCCGTCTCAAAAAATAAATAGATAAATAAATCAAATAAAAAATAAAAAAGCTCAATTGCTAGCTGCATGAATCAAAAGATAAAGATTCAAATAGCATCCTGTATTTGCAAAACCTCCCACCCCCCCAGCTAAGGGAGAAAGCCCTCTATAGTTCCTCAAGATAGATGTGCAGGATAACAAAATGTCCTTATCTAGTCTAAGGCACGGCTGGGTCACATTTCCACATAAGAAAGGAACAGGAGCACGTCTCACAAACTGGAGGCAGACGCGGTAGCTCACGCATGTCATCCAAACACTTTGGAAGGCTGAGGTGGGCGGATCACTTGAGCCCAGGAGTTCAAAACCAGCCTGGGCGACATGGCAAAACCCTATCTCTACAAAAAATACTAAAATTAGCCAGGTATGGTGGCAAACCTATAGTCCCCTGCCACTTAGGGGGCTCAGGTGGGAGGACTGTTTGAGCCCAGGAGGTCAAGGCTGCAGTAAGCCACGATTGCTGCCACTGCACTCCAGCCTGGATGAGAGAGAGACTGTCTCAGAAACAAACAGAAAGAAAGAAACTCAAAATGATAGAATAGTTTTAATGCTGAGTTTAGCAGCCCCAGTTGTGATCGGATCTCAAAATTATTATAGTGTGTTGTGTTACACAGCACCACTACATGCACAGATGTTACTTTGTCCCCAAACCATTATAGCAGCCCAGGCAGCCAGAAATATCCTCACATGAGCAGGGTGGTTCTTTTTACTATGATCTCTACTTTTGTTTCTGTTTGTAGTTTCATATTTTGAAAAATTTAATCTACATTTGCCCCACTCCCACCCCCTTCGGGCATCTTCTTTTCTTTTCTTTTTTTGAGGCGGAGTTTTGCTCTTGTTGCCCAGGCTGGAGTGCAGTGGCTGGATCTCGGCTCACTGCAACCTCCGCCTCCCAGGTTCAAGCCATTCTCCTGCCTCAGCCTCCCAAATAGTTGGGATTATAGATGCCCACCACCACGCCCAGCTTCAGGCTTTTTTTTTAAACCACAGGTGCATTTATCACTTTTACCTAAATAGGTTTTTGTAAAAGGACCACAAATGCTACTTCCATGAGGATTTAGGTAAGAAACAAATGGATGAATCAGGAGAAATAGTCTGCAATCTCCTCTACAGCATTAGTCTAGTATAAGGACCACCTACAAAGAAATGACCTGGTGCACCTGTTACAAAGGTAGAACCTTAGGTCTTGGATACACTAACTCTGAAACTCCAACTCAGGCTGTGAAGCCCAGGATTCTGCATCATTAACAAACACCCTAGGAAACTATTTTACCTGGCCCTTCACCCCTCCCATTTCCAACCCCAGCCCACCCCTACCAAATTTTCCAATTTAGAGCATCATTTTATACTTTTCTCTACCTCATACACAACTAAAAAACAGGAAAGGGGTGCTGTTTTATAAAAACTGCACACTACACATATTGTGCAACTTGCTTTTTCCCCCTTATCAGGCATCTCTCTTATTTTCCATCTAAACAACTTTTCCATCCTGAAGTTTCAGCAACTAGTTTCTCATTTGGATAACACTTATTCTGGAACTAATTTCAGCTACTGAATTTTAACTATTGATTTTATGTACCTGCTGATTAGCATCAGAGTTTTCCAATTACAAAGGTTCATAAAGTACTGAAATAGTGTTGGTATGAAATCTATGTAAATCATGACTAGGTTCTTATTAAAATTTAGTAACAAAATTACCCAGCCCAAAATCTCCTGGGGCTAGGCAGCTGTTTGTAGTTAATTAATCCTAAGGTGAGTATATTACTGAACTTCTTATAGGCAGTACAATTAAATGTTTATATGCAAATCAGGCATTGTTTTCTGTCTGCTGGAAACTATAGATATAAAGTCCAAACAGCTTAATGGGCTTTGTTAACACACTGCAAACTGCAGCACATTTACACATACACCATGTGATCCATAAAATTAAGCCGTCAGATTCCATAAAACTCAGCAGCTTATTATGCAATTCAGAGAACTAAAAACTCAGAAATTTCTTAATAAACTATGTGCTAAAATACCAAATATAACATACCCAAATATTTATGAGCAAACAAATTATTACCATGACATTCATAAATAAGGTAACTTTGTGTCTGAGGTTTCGTTTTCAAAATAAATAAAAAGGTGGGAAAAAATACGGCAGAAAATGAAGAACTGATAAAGCTGAGCAGTGGGTTAGTGTTCATTATATTTTGTCCTATTCTCTTCTGCATGTTAAAATATTTCATAAAAGGTAATCTGGGCCGGGCATGGTGGCTCACGCCTGTAATCCCAGCACTTTGGGAGGCCGAGGCGGGTGGATCACGAGGTCAGGAGTTCAGGATCAGCCTGGCCAAGATGGTGAAACCCCATCTCTACTAAAAATATAAAAATTAGCCAGGTGTGGTGGTGGGTGCCTGGAATCCCAGCTACTCAGGAGGCTGAGTCAGAGAATTGCTTGAACCCAAGAGGCAGAGGATGCAGTGAGCCGAGATCGCACCACTGCACTCCAACCTAGGCGACAGAGCAAGACTCCGTCTCAAATTAATTAATTAATTAATTAATTAATTAAAAGGTAATGAGGCTGGGCACTTTGGGATGCCCAGGCAGGCAGATCACTTGAGTTCACAAGTTCAAGGCCAGCCTAAGCAACATGATGAAACCCTGTCTCTACAAAAATTAGACAAAAATACAAAAATTAGTCACTACAGGTGCACACCTGTAGTCCCAGATACTCAGGAGGCTGAGGTCAGAGGATGGCTTGAGCCCAGGAGGCGGAGGTTGCAGTGAGCTGAGATCACACCACTGCACTCTAGCCTGGGTGTTAGAGCCAGGCCTTGCCTCTAAATAAGTAAGTAAATAAATAAATAGGTAATCTGTAGAAGTAATTAAAAGTAATTTTCCAAATTTTTCTCTCCCCTATCCATGCCAGCCAAGGTTTGTAAAATTCCACTTCAAATTTTTTATCTCTGGGAATAACAATGTTGTCTCTAACTCCGTATTTTCAAAACCAACACTAAGTTACAGCCTGGTGTGTAAGTATTCCTATAATTTCTTAAATATAAACTGACTAAAAATATGCAAATAGATCATTTCTGACAACAAATGATCAATGCATAAAACTGCTTGGCAACTGGCTGAGCGCGGTGGCTCACGCCTGTAATCCCAGCACTTTGGGAAGTCAAGACAGTTGAATCACTTGAGATCAGGAGTTCAAAGCCGGCCTGGCCAACATGGTGAAACCCTGTCTTCACTAAAAATACAAAAATTAGCCAGACATGGTGGTGGCACGCCTGTAATCCCAGCTACTTGGAAGGCTGAGGCATGAGAATCGCTTGAACCTGGGAGGTGGAGGTTGCAGTGAGCCGAGATCACAGCACTGCACTCTGGCCTGGGCAACAAGAGAATCGCTTGAGTCTGGGAGGCAGAGGTTGCAGTGAGCCAAGATCACGCCACTGCACTCCAGCCCGGACGACACAGTGAAACTCCATCTCAAAAAAAAAAGGCGGGGGTTGGCAACTATGAAAATAAAAAATGAGAGAACATACCAAAATGAGTAACCAGAGGTCAAAAACAATGAAGACTTGAGGCAAAGAAACGTCTATGCTAATAATCTCTTCCAACTTCAATTATGACCAAAATGAACAAATCCTGTTCCAGCCTAATCCCTTCCCAGTTTGGACTCATAGTTCAATACATTCAGATGTGAAGACAAAGAAAAAAGGGATACTGTCTGCTAGTGACTGAGCAAGAAGAGACTAGGACTTCCTATTGGCCACACAAAACTGCCAAAAGCTGGCACTCTTTAACCCATTTAAACCCTTAAATATTCCAATTTCCACACTGTTGTGCACATCAATAGTTTCTGCCTTTTTATTACTGGGTAGTATTCCATTGTACTACAGTGTGTTTATCCATTCTCTAGCTGAAGTACATCGAGCTGTTTGCAGTGATTACAAGTAAGGCTACTGTAAACATTTGTTTAGAGGTTTTTGTGTCAAGACAGGTTTTAATAACACTAAGGCAGGCCGGCACGGTGGCTCACGCCTGTAATCCCAGCACTTTGGGAGGCCGATGTGGATGGATCACCTGAGGTCAGGAGTTCGAGACCAGTCTGGCCAATGTGGTGAAACCCCATCTCTACTAAAAATACAAAAATTAGCTGGGTGTGATGGCGCGCGTCTGTAGTCCCAGCTACTCGGGAGGCTGAGGCAGAAGTATCGCTTGAACCCGGGAGGCGGAGCTTGCAGTGAGCCGACATTGTGCGACTGCACTCCAGCCTGGACAACAGAGCAAGACTCTGTCTCAAAAAAAAAAAAAAAAATTTCCTTCCCATGACTAGCACAATCTAAACCTGAAGTATGATTTCAGAACTATGCTCATACTTAGAGCCAATAATTTTCTGGGTGCTTCCATTGCTTGTAGGCCCCCTAACATCTTGATTGCAGCAGTAATGGGAAGGAGGGAACCAGTTTAGACAGCCACTTTCCCCAATTCCTCCAGACTGTGCGAAACCACAGGACAAAGGTTCTGCAACAAATGAAGTGCAAGGAAAAAGAAAGAGACAGGAGGAACCTATGAACTGAAAAAGATTTAAGAGATAAATCATTAAATCACAATGTACTGTGAAATGAAAAAGATATAAGAGAAACCAACCAATCAAAATGTTATCAGTTTTCTTGGAAGCCTGACTGAAACTGAAAAACAAAGTTTAAAAGAATGGGTAAAACAGAACAGTGACTAGATATTTTATTATTTTAATTTTAGGTGTAATCATGGTATTATCTTTTTAAGTCCCTACACAGAAATACATACTGAAATATTTATGGATAAAGTGGTATGTCTAAGATCTGCTTCAAAATAATGGGAAGAGTAGAAGTGACCAGTGTACAAATTAAACAAAGCTGGCCTAAGCTTGTAACTGTTGAAGCTAGGTGATGAGTATATGAGGGGTTCATTTTACTACTCACGGTAGTTTTTTTTGTTATTTTGTTTTGAGACAAAGTCTCACTCTGTTGCCCAAACTGAAGTGCAGTGGCACGATCTCGGCTCACTGCAACCTCCACCTCCTGGTTCAAGAGATTCTCCTGCCTGAGGCTCCCAAGCAGGTGGGATTACAGGCACGCACCACCAAACCCAGCTAATTTTTTTATTTTTAGTAGAGATAGGGTTTCACCATGTTGATCAAGCTGGTCTCAAACTCCTGACCTCTGGTGATCCATCCACATCAGCCTCCCAAAGTGCTGGGATTACAGGCGTAAGCCACCGTGCCCAGCCTACCCTAGTGTTATTAAAACCTGTCTTCACACACTGTGCCCGGCCTGTTGTTTTGTTTTTCTGAGACAGAGTCCTGCTCTGTTGCCCAGGCTGGAGTATAGCGCCAGCCGCTCTCTACTTTTCTGTATGTTTGCAGTCTCAAGCAATCCTCCTGTCTTGACTTCCCAAAATGCTGGGATTACATGCGTGAGCAACCCCTGGCCTCCTGTATTTTAAAACTCAGACCTACATATCAAGCTCTTGAGAAAAACAATTCATATCACTGATAGCAGAAGGTCACATCTGATAAAACTATTTAACTGCTCCCCACCAATTCTGTCCCTCTGATTTCCCCTCCTGTGCCTTTTCTTCTTTTTTTTTTTTTTTTTTTTTTTTTTGAGACAGAGTTTCACTCAGTCGCCCAGGCTGGAGTGCAGTGGCGTGGCGTGATCTCAGCTCACTGCAACCTTCGCCTCCTGGGT
Organism: Homo sapiens; assembly: GCF_000001405.40. NCBI lineage: Eukaryota > Metazoa > Chordata > Mammalia > Primates > Hominidae > Homo > Homo sapiens. The sequence goes on from NC_000002.12 coordinate 197,431,215, forward strand.
TCAAGCGATTCTCCTGCAACAGCCTCCCGAGGAGCTGGGATCACAGGCTCACGCCACCATGCCCGGTTAATTTTTTTGTACTTTTAGTAGAGAGGGGGTTTCACCACGTTGGCCAGGCTGGTCTGGAACTCCTAACCTTGGGTGATCTGCCCACCTCAGCCTCCCAAAGTGCTGGGATTATAGGTGTGAGACACCATGCCCAGCCCTTTTCTTCTTTCTAAGCCTTAGATCCTGCTAAACCCAACTTGTAGCACTTCTTCCTCCTTGATTTTTATTTTTCATTTTTCGTCTGAATTATTTTCAGTGTTCTAATCACTGCTCATTACATGTTACACAGATACTGCCCTCAGATGTTAATGTCTCACCTACACCTTTCAGTCTGGTCCCTAAGTGATATCTACTCTCCTTCAGCCAGATATAACCGGTGAACAACTATTTCCAAAATACAAGGCTTCTAAAAGACATCACAGAAAAACAGGAAGTATATTCTGAATCCCAACCCTCAGCTTTTTCATTAAACAAAACTCCAATAGGACAACTAACTATAATATAAATCATTTTACTGAACACTACAAACAATACTGATAAATTGATTCCTAAATGATTAATTCTATTAAAAAAAATTTCAAGGCCAGGCATCGTGGCTCACACCTGTAATCCTAGCACGGTGGGAGGCCAAGGCAGGACTGCTTGAGCCCAGGAGTTCGAGATCAGCCTGGGTAACATAGCGAGACCCCATCTCTAAAAAAAAATTGTAAAAATTAGCCAGGCATGGTAGCACACGCCTGTAGTTGTAGCTACTCAGGAGGCTGAAATGGGAGGATCACTTGAGCCCAGCAGTTGTAGGTTAAGTGAGCTATGATCACGCCACTGCACTCCAACCTGGGCAACAGGGCAAGACCCGGTCTCAAAAATAAACACAGGAAAAAATATATAGATCAGCAAGATACACAATAACAAAACTATAACTATTCCAGCCATTTATCAAGCAAAGAATTAGGGAAAAAACTTTTTCAGCTTTGTGATGTCCCAAAAAATCTAATTCAAAGGATTAGTGGCAAAACAAGCTGATATGTAGGATTTTTGGTTAAACCATTTTCCCCTTACAAAACAGAGAATAATGTGTGTTCCCTGTTTGTATGCCAAAGTCAGCAGTATCTGAAGAACTGCTGGATGGCAAGATTATGCATATTCATAACCATACACCTGACATAATACGTGGAAAGATCTAAAAGATTTTATCTGATTTGAGTAATTCCAGTTCTTTTTATATTTCAATCCTGGAAAGCATAAGCCACATTGGCCAGGGTAAAATATAATCAGATTGGTTAAAGAGGATGTGAGGCCTGATCCTAATAGAAATGTTTGAAAGGGTTCAGGCATGGTGGCTCATGCCAGTAATCCCAGCACTTTGGGAGGCCAAGGTGGGAGGATCACTTGTGGTCAGGAGTTTGAGACCAGCCTGGCCAACATGGCGAAACCCTGTCTCTAAAAATACAAAAATTAGTCGGGTGTGGTGGCACATGCCTGCGATACTAGTACTCAGGAGGCTGAAGCAGGACAATCGCTTGAACCTAAAAGGCGGAGGTTGCTGTGAGCCGAGATTGCACCACTGCACTTCTGCCTGGGCAACAGAAAAAGACCCTATCTCAAAAAAAAATAAAAAATAAAAAAAGAAATGTTTGAAAGGAATATGACAGCAAAATAAATAAATAGTTATCAGTTTATCTCAATCTTGGAGCTAAGGAGAAGAGAAAATCTTAACACAACAGACTATTCTAAGCAATATAACATTTATACTGAGTACTATAGCAGCACTGCCCCAAAAAGCATTAATTCTGCTTCAGTTTATCAAAAATGGCTTAACAAGAGAAAACAGTGATGGACCATGAAGAACTAGAGTTCCATTAGGAAGGAAGCAACAAGCTATGTCAGTATTATGTGTATTTCTACTAAACATTTATCATCCCCTGACATATCCCATAGGGATGGGCACAGACAGTGCTCAAGTATTGAATGTTCTGCTATTTTCTTATGGTATCACTTAATTCACATTGATAGAATAATCTCAAAAATAACAAGTTTGGCCAATGAATAGCAATAGACCAAAGTTTTTAGCTGGGTTTCTAAAAAATTCAGGAAAACTGATCAGAATTCTGATTTTCCTGTCTGAGGGCATCTTATACTGAAGTTACCAATAAATAAGTATCAAAGCTATACTATCAATATCCCCAAATGAATAACATCCTGAATGAACAAAAACAGCACAACTTTATATTTTCTACTTACTTTGCAAAAGGTTATATTTGAGATAGTCTAAAGACAAAATAATAAAGCCTAGGAATACTAAGAGAGCATTTAAATCCTAAATACCTAAAATGGTATACTAATATTAAAGTCATTGACAATTCATTAGCATGTTTGATAAATAGCAGAAAGCTGGACTTCAGGTCCTCTGGGTGACCCAACTATTCAAAGCCATTCACATTCTGGTCCTAATCCAACCTTTCCAGATTCATTTATTTCTTCTCTACTTGCACCCTCTGTTCCTGCTACAGTGGACTACTACTCAAACACACCTTTCACGATTCAATACCTTGTTACAAGATGTTCTCAGGCTCAGATGTCCTTCCCGATTTAAAACTGACTGATCCTTTTAAAACACGGTCATGTAACCTCCTCAGTGAAACAACCCTAAACATAATCATTCCGTTACCCAGGTTCCCAGAACATGCTGCTTTTTCTTCTACTTAAGCATGCATCTGGCCTCATGAGAGAATGAGAACATACACATCTGTTTCTCCTATCAGACTGTAAAATTTTGGATGGCCTCAGTCTCTTACCTCTCACAGACTAATACCGAGCCAAATACCCAGAAAGAACATATGAAACAAAAGTGACTTAGAAGTCTCGTTCTCAGTGAAAATCTCGGATTCCAAGTCAGAAATCAAAGAATGCAGTTCCAACTTCTCATGCCTCGTCTTTTCTGAAAAGTGATCCCATTTTCTGTCATCTCTGGATACTTCCTAATGAACTCCAGTCTATTCCCAACGTTTTCCTAATTTGCACACTCTGTATTCCATAAAACGATCAACTAGCTTGAAAGCTTCGGCCATTAATGAAAGTAATTTATGTTTTCCTCTTCCATCTGCTCCTCCAATAACCAGTCTCCAAAGAAAAAGATCAATATTATACTAAAAGTGACTAAGGGAGGGAAAACAACTACCAGATTTTATCCCCAAATCGTTTCGTGCAAGAAAAATAAACAAGTAACTGACGCTTGAAGACACACAAGGGTAGGAGTAACGGAATCTCGGTTTAACCAAATTCGATTCAGTCTGCCGGAAAAGCGGCTGCCGTATTTCAGTGCTTTTCTGACCCTCTTCTGCACAAACTATGGGGACGACAGTGTCGAGAGGCGAGTGAGACCTTCTCCCCACGCCCGCTTCCCCGATCCCTTGCCCACGAATCCTACTGAGGAAGCCGCTTAAACGAGGCCCTCTGGTCAGAGAAGAGAAGCTACTCTGAAGTAGCAGGTCCCAAACACTGAACAAAGCGCCTGTCGGGGGTGTAAGAGGAGGACGCCATTACGCGGGGCAGTGGCCTGCGCCGCTGGCGCGGAGGAGACGACCCTTGGCCCCGAAACGCGGGCTCAGCTCCTACGAAAGAAACCATAGAAAAAGGCAGAATCCTAGGAAAAAAGGCTTTTATTAGGCTAGCAACGAAGAAAACACGTAAGCAGGGAAAGACCGCTTACCTTCGTGAGTCTTGGCGATCTTCGCCATTTTGTCCACTCGAACACACAGACGGAACTGGCGCTCCCAAGAACTTCCGCTCGTCGCCGCCGCCACGGAGAAAAATAGCTGGGGGCTGCACTCTGCGCGTGCGCCAAACGGGAGCGCGCTCCGTCGGGTGACACGTGACAGAACTGCCACCTAGAGGGAACCGCGAGGTGCATTGTGGGTGGGGGAGGAGACACGGTTGGGCCCTGAAGTCGCCTGCGTGGTGACCCAGGAAATCCCCGAGCCGAGCCGTAAGGTCCTTAAGTGAGTAACTTTGCCCTGGAGGAAAGTGGATTCTACGAAGGGAGTTAAGAACAGACACTGAGTCCCAGCAACTCTGGAGGCTGAGGCGGGAGCATCGCTTGAGCCCAGGAGTTCGAGGCAGCCGTGAGCCGTAATCGTGTCGCGCCACTGTACTCAAGCCTCCAGACCGGGCGACAGAGCAAGACCCCGAGACCCCTCCCATTAAAAAAAAATGAACACTGTACGAAACGCTGCGGTTTCAGAGCTGGAAGAGACCTCAGACATTCAATCCCTTTTCCCAAAATTCACTGGAAGAGCTCGAGGAAAACTTTCCCTTGCAGCTGTCTCAGTCTTTACAGTGCTTAGTTACGAAGACAGTCTTAACAGTCCCATCTTTCGCCCTGTAATTCAAGGTCATTTTTCATTCTTTCTGTTTAATAATTGCAAATAATTTGGGTAGGAATTTCGTTGAGCCTCACAAATCGTTGCTGAGTTGCACAGTGACAATCTTGCCACCCTTTTAAAGCCTTTTACTTTATGGGTTCCTAGAAAACCACTCATCGTCATTATTAACATTCATTAGATGTTTCTCTTAAATCCTAGACGGTATTCCTAAATCAGGAATTTTAATAGATCAGAATACGGCAGTCTGTTTTCCTGGGCATCAATTATAATATAACCTTGTACTGTCACACTGGTCTTTGACTTCGACGATGAAAAAGAAAGAAAGGCTCAGAAAGATGGGTCCCGGAAGCAGCCGAGGAAAACAGGTAGTTATCAAGGTTAGAGCCATCACAAAGAGAGGAGTACCTCGCTATGTGATAAACCTGCAACCCAAATACTAACCATACCATGGGTCAGTATGGTCGTTTGAAGGGAGGGAAATGGTATGGGTGTATTCCTCTTGCAGGAAGACCCCATATCTACTTTGGGTAAAGTGAGGAGCCATTTTCCTGAGGCTAGCGGTAGGTGGGAGATATATGGACAATGGCACTGGACTGAGAGCTTAGATAACCTGTCCCTGGTGACTCCTGACCTGCAGCCTTGCTCCCTCTTTCCCTCTCACCAGACTCCCTCCCTTCTTCAGATCAGGTGACACAAACGATTTTTTTTCTGTTTTTTTGACACACAGTCTTGGTTTGTTGCCCAAGCTGGAGGGCAGTGGTGCGATCACAGCTGACCCTAACTTCGACCTTAAGGTTCAAGAGACTCTCCTGCCTCAGTCTCCAGAGTAGCTAGTACCACCAACATGGGCCACCATACCCAGCTAATTTTTATTTTTTGTAGAATGAGATCTTACTATATTCCCCAGGCTGGTCTCAAACTCTTGGCCTCAAGCAGTCCTCCTGCCTCAGACTCCTAAAGTGCTGGGATTATAGGCGTGAGCCACCACAGATTTTTATTAGCATCAGTAAAGGAATAAATTTGATAAATTAAAATTTTTGGCCAGGCGTGGTGGCTCATGCCTGTAATCCCAGCACTTTGGGAGGCTGAGGCAGGCGGATCACAAGGTCAGGAGTTCAAAACTAGCCTGACCAACACAGTGAAACCCCATCTCTACTAAAAATACAAAAATTAGCCGGGCATGGTGGCACCTGCCTATAATCCCAGCTACTCAGGAGGCTGAGGCAAGAGAATCGCTTGAACCCAGGAGGCGGAGTTTGCAGTGAGCGGAGATAGTGCCACTGCACTCCAGCCTGGGCAACAGAGCGAGACTCCGTCTCAAAAAAAAAAAAGAAAAAAAGATGTGATGGTTAATTTTAAGTGTCAACTTGACTGGATTAAGGAATACCTAGAAACCTGGTAAAGCTATTTTGTGGTGTGTCTGTATGGGTGTTTCCAGAGATTAGCGTGTGAGTACAAGTGGGCTAGGTGGGGAAGATCGGCCCTCCGTGTGGCCAGGTACCATCCAGTCTGCTGGGGACCCCAGGAAGAACAGAAGCAGAGAAAAGGTGAAAATGTCAATTTATGTGCGAAGGCTGGCTACATCCAATCTTCCTCTATTGTTGTTTTTGGACAACGACCCCAAGCTGCTCAGCCTTTGGAATCCTGGATTTACACCAGCAGCACCCTATCCCCACCCCTTCCTCCTGGTTCTCAGGCCTTTGTCCTTGGACTGAGTTACATCATTGTCTTCGCTGATTCTAAACCTTGGGACTTGGACTGAGCTACCAGCATCTCAGGGCCTCTAGTTTGCAGATGGCCTGTCAAGGGACTTAGTCTCCAAAATTGCAGGAGCCAGTTTCCCTAATAAATCCCAATGTGATAGTTCTTATCCCACAGGCCCACTTTAGTTCAGTTTAGTTTTGCTTTGTTTTTAGAAATGGGGTCTTGCTCTGTTGCCCCAGCTGTAGTGCAGTGGCTCACTCCAGCCTCAAACTCCTGGGCTCTGGCGATCCTCCCAACTCAGCCTCCTGAGTAGCTAGGATTACAGGTGCACACCACCATGCCCAGCTACTTTTTAATTTTTTTTTTTTGAGACAGAGTCTTACTCTTTCACCCAAGCTGGAGTGCAGTGGCGTAATCTCAGCTCACTGTAACCTCTGCCTCCCTAGTAGCTGGGACCACAGATGTGTGCCACTACACCCAGCTAATTTTTTATTTTCAGTAGAGACAGGGCTTTGCCATGTTGGCCAAGCTGGTCTTGAACTCCTGGCCTCAAGTGACCCACCCACATCGACCTCCCAAAGTGCTGGGATTACAGGCGTGAGCCATCTCACCTGCCTACTTTTTAAATTTTTTGTAGAGACAGGGTCTTGCTATATTGCCCAGGCTAATCTCGAACACCTAGCCTCAAGCGATCTTCCCATCTGGGCCTCTCAAAGTGCTGGGATTACAGGCAGGAGCCCCTTAACCAACTTCGAGAACTTGGGAAATAAGATGTGGTGGGTTCTTGCCACCGTGAGCCAAACCTGGGTCAGAACTTCATGTGTGATCTGGCCCCTACATACACCCACTCTGATAGGATATTATGACACTTTGGATAACAATGTCGATTTGGACCTTGTGTCCCACAGGTCTTAAAATATTTGGTTATTCCACTTTTCCCAGTGTATAGTTACCAGAGCAAATGATAGTTCCCTTTGGAGAAGTATTAAGGGATCATTAACAAATACTAACAAAAAAAAGGAAAACAAAACAAACACTGTGGTGTTACACAGTCCTTCCTGGGGACCTAGCTTCTGCTTCAATTAGATGACCTGAACTCATTTCTAGATCTGAAAACTACCTTAGGTCTGGAAACTAGCTGAAGATCACTTTTTTTTTTAAATTGGGACAAGTGCCTTCAGCCTCCTAATGATTCATGTTTTATTTCTCTTGGTTGCACAGATTGAGCAGTACCCTTGTAGGCTGCCCATCAATCTTGCCTCTAAGGATACCCAGTTGTATGAATCATATATTTCTGCAGGTCAACCATTCTGACCTTATGCTAATTGTGACAATTGTGCCCACCTTGCTGCTGACAGTTAAGCATCACTAAAGTAGGAAATAGGGTCCAAACCGACACTACTTAAGGAGGGCAAGTAGTGATGGGACCTCATCATCCCATTGCTATCATGGAGCTCATCACTGTCACTGCATCTGCTGCTTTCACCTAAGGTCTGTAAAAGACAGCCACATTGGTGACAGTACCAAGCTGAGCTGTATCAGTGAAGTCAGAGGCAAACGGAAAAAGCAGTAATAGTGATTCTTTTTTTTCTGTTGTGTTTTTTGTTTTTTTTTTTTGAGACGGAGTCTTGCTCTGTTCCCCAGGCTAGAGTGCAGTGGCACGACCTTGGCTCGCTGCAACCTCTGCCTCCTGGGTTCAAGTGATTCTCCTGCCTCAGCCTCCCAAGTAGCTGGGACTACAGGCACATGCCACCACGCCCGGCTAATTTTTGTATTTTTAGTAGAGACGGGGTTTCACCATATTGGCCAGGCTGGTCTTGAACTCCTGACTTCGTGATTCAACCACCTCGGCCTCCTGAAGTGCTGGGATTACAGGCATGAGCCACTGCGCCCAGCCTAGGGCCATGCTACTCTTAATACTAATTCCTAGGTGGAGTGTGGTGGCTCACATCTATAATCCCAACAATTTGGGAGGCTGAGGTGCAGGGATTGCTTGAGACCAGGAGTTGGAGACCAACCTGGGCAACATAATGAGACTTTGTCTCAATTAAAATAAAAATCAGTCCTGGAGCTGTGGCTCACGCCTGTAATCCCAGCACTTTGGGAGGCCGAGGCGGGTGGATCACCTGAGGTCGGGAGTTTGAGACCAGCCTGACCAACATGGAGAAACCCCATCTCTACTAAAGATACAAAATTAGCCGGGTATGGTGGCACATGCCTGTAATCCCAGCTACTCGGGAGGCTGAGGCAGGAGAATTGCTTAAACCTGAGAGGCAGACGTTGCAGTGAGCCAAGATGGTACCATTGCACTCCAGCCTGGGCAACAAGAGCAAAACTCCATCTCAAAAAAATAAAATAATAAAATAAAATAAAAATCAGGTCAGGCGCGGTGGCTCACACCTGTAATCCCAGCACTTTGGGAGGCCAAGGTGGGTGGATCACTTGAGGTCAGGAGTTCAAGACCAGCCTGGCCAACATGGTGAAACTGTGTCTCTACTAAAAATGTAAAAATTAGCCAGGCATGGTGGCAGGCACCTGTAATCCCAGCTACTCGGGAGATTGAGGCACAAGAATTGCTTGAACCCGGGAGGCGGAGGTTGCAGTGAGCCGGGAGCATGCCACTGCACTCCAGCCTGGGCGAGCGAGACTCAGTCTCAAAACAAATAAATTAATTAATTAAATTAAAAATAAAAAATTTAAACAATATTTGAATTAGGGACAGTGTCTCATTATGTTGCCCAGGTTGGTCTTGAACTCCTGGGCTCAAGCGATCCACCTGCATCAGCCTCCCAAAGTCCTGGGATTACAAGTGTGAGCTACTATGCCCAGCAAATTATTTTTAAAGGAATCAAATATATATATGTGTGTGTGTGTGTGTGTGTGTGTGTGTGTGTTAAGTCCTTGTCCTGACCCTCAGCTTTTTCTACTCTCTGACAGCCAGAGATGAGACTCTTTATATACTGCCAAGGATGCCCTTCAGCTTTCACATTTAACCTACACTGGGGATTAATCACTCTCAACCTTTCGTTTTCTTTCTCCAGTATCTCTGTAGAAGCTATTAATGTTTCACCTACCACCAGTGAGAGAGTCCTCGTTGCTGGCTAGATAGCAGGTAATCCAGATCTAAAAATCACATTTTTGAATCTCCTTGGATAACTCTTGGATCCCAGTTGTCACAGGTTGGGTTGCCTTTGAAGCCAACTCTGAGATGAAGATCTGCATGCAAGAAGTTTGCAAGGATCTAGCCAAGCATGGTGGCTCATGCCTGTAATCCCAGCACATTGGAAGGCCGAGGCAGGAGGATCGCTTGAGCCTAGGAGTTTGAGACCAGCCTGGGCAACATAGTGAGACCCCTGTCTCTCTTAAAAACAAACAAAAAAAAAGTTTTTTAAAAAAAGAAGTTTGCAGCCAGGTGCAGTGGCTCACGCCTATAATCCAAGCACTTTAGGAGGCCGAGGCAGGCAGATCACTTGAGGTCAGGAGTTTTGAGAACAGCCTGGCCTACATGGCGAAACCCCGTTTCTACTAAAAATAAAAAAATTAGCTGGATGTGGCGGCGGGCACCTGTAATCCCAGCTACTGGGGAGGCTGAGGCAGGAGAATCACTTGAACCCAGGAGGCGGAGGTTGCAGTGAGCCGAGATCATGCCATTGCACTCCAGCCTGCACGACAAGGGTGAAACTCCCTCTGAAAAAAAGAAAAAAAAAGCTGGGCGTGGTGGCTCACGCCTGTAATCCCAGCACTTTGGGAGTACAAGGAGGGCAGATTATGAGGTCAGGAGATCGAGACCATCCAGGCTAACACAGTGAAACCCTGTCTTTGCTAAAAATACAAAAAATTAGCTGGGTGTGGTGGCGGGCGCCTGTAGTACCAGCTACTCAGGAGGCTGAGGCAGGAGAATGGCGTGAACCCCGGAGGCAGAGCTTGCATTGAACTGAGATCGCGCCACTACACTCCAGCCTGGGCGACAGAGCAAGACTCTGTCTCAAAAAAAAAAAAAAAGAAGTTTGCATGCAAGATTCCTGTGAGGATCCACACCTGTGGGAGAGTAAAGGCAGCAGGTTGGGCAAAGGAGGAAGTTGAACTGCCACTCAGTTACAACAAAGACCTAAACCAATGATGGAGGAACTCTGGTGATGAGATGTCCCTTCAGAGTTGTCATGAATTGAGGTAAAGGGGTTGGAACTTTATACTCCCATATCAACAAGAATTTGGATCTTGGCTTCCACAGGAGGAGGGAAGAGGCAGCTCTCTTTTAGCCACAAGCAATCCCCAGAGAGGGATGCATTGGAGAGCTGTTACCCACAGAACTCCCAACAGCTCTAGTATTACGGGAAGGGGAAGGAATCCGGGCAGCCCACCATAGCATCCTCTACAGGTGTCCAAAAGTGCCTTCCATGAGATGGACAATGATACAGAAATAGAGTAGATGGTGACACTGTGCCCTAGGGATCTAAACCTTAAAGAAGTTTGGGTTTTCTGGCTGGGCGCAGTGGCTTATGCCTGTAATCCCAGCACTTTGGGAAGCCAAGGCGGGCGGTTCACAAGGTCAGGAGATCGAGACCATCATGGCCAACATGGTGAAACCCCGTCTGTACTAAAAATACAAAAATTAGCCAGGCGTGTGATGGCATGCGGCTGTAGTCCCAGCAACTCAGGAGGCTGAGGCAGGAGAGTTGCTTGAACCTGGGAGGTGGAGGCTGCAGTGAGTCGAGGTCGCACCACTGTACTCCAGCCTGGGTGACAGAGCGAGACTGTCTCAAAAAAAAAAAAAAAGTTTTGGTAAGGTGGGTATATTATGATCCAAGAGAAGTAGTGAAGAGTGAAGGAGACATTAGTCCTGTTCTCTTGGCCTTGAAGTACTTGGGTAGCAAGGGTTATCAAACACCCCCTTTTTTAATTTTTTTGAGATGGAGTCTTACTCTGTCTCCCAGGCTAGAGTGCAGTAGCACGACCTTGGCTCACTGCAACCTCTGCCTCCCGGGTTCAAGCAATTCTCCTGCCTCAGCCTCCTGAGTAGCTGGGACTATAAGCCAGCACCACCACACCCAGCTAATTTTTGTATTTTTAGTGGAGATGAGGTTTCACCATGTTGGCCAGGATGGTCTCGATTTCCTGACCTCTTGAGCCACTGGGATTACAGACATAGGCCACTGTGCCTGGCCAAACACCCCTTTCTTTCTTGGAATGGTGATTAATTGAAAATAATTTTGAATGTACTGTTTTCTTTATGGCAGTTTATCAATGGCTATGCTTCTCCAGGAGCCTCTAAGTGTGAAAGTGGGGTTGGAGGAAGAGTGCAGCATGCTGTGTGTGTGTGTGTGTGTGTGTGTGTGTGTGTGTGTGTGAACCTCCTTTCCCTCCCACTAACGCAGTGATTCTCAAACTCTAAGGGCATCCCCTGAAGAGCTTCTTAAAATTATAGGTTGTGGGCCCAAACTCCAGAGATTGATTGAGTAGGTTTGAAGTGGAGCCCAAGTGCTGATAATTCTCTACAGGTGGCCAACTTTGAGAAGTGTGCGATCTCAAAGCCTCTTTTCTCAGCTATGTTTGAATTCTGGGAGAAGGCAGACAGGTCTCCAGTGTTCTATGGTCAGAAGAAAGAAACGTATCCAAATATTCAACAGCATGTGTGATCTGTCACCCCCGCTACTCACCCCAGTGTGAAAATGTGCCTATGGTTGAGAAAGAATAAGCAGCCTCGTATGAGAGAGGAAGCACAGGGCAGCTTCACAGGGTGCCACGAGTCAGCCAAGGAAATTGTTCTGAACCCTGTAAGACACATGACCCCCTCCACTCTCCTGAAATAAAATTCATAGAGAATAGAATCTGATCACACAGGTAATTTTGAAAAATATCAATTAATGCCCCAACTGAAATATAAAAGGAGAAATCAGAGGGAAAAAAATGCTTATAACAAAAGATGTATTTTGAGGATTTGGGAAGTTTATAAATCACAGATTAGGGGTTCCAGAAGGCACAAAGGGAAGGTTTGAGAGAAAAAAGTTAGTGGAAAGGAAGCAGTGAGCTGTATAGTAATGAGGATAAACAGGAGAATGACTATTGGAGGGGCTTTTAATTTAGATGGCAAGAATAACAAGTGGGGATATCTGGCTATTAGATTATCATTAACATATGTGGTCTCAGGAATTCTCAGGTGAGTGCAGAAAGAGGTAAGTGAACACCCGGGCCATAATCTATAATGCGACAGCAATCTCCAACCCATGGGCTATAGCTGGCTGCCACACCTCCCTTTTCGTGTGGTAAAATATATATAATATAAAATATGCATTTTAAATATTTTAAGTGTACAATTCAGTGGCATTAATTACATTCAAACTGTTAATACGACTATCACCACTACCTCTATCCAAATTTTTTTTTTATCACCCCAACCGAAACTCTGGGATCATTAAGCAATAACTTCCCATTTTCCCCTTTTCACTTAACTCCTTGTAACCTCTAATCTACTCCTGCAGTGAGATTTCCTGGATAGGGTAACACCAGATCAGTCTTATAGATGAGGTAAAAATGATGAAGGAGATGGGGGCAAGAATAGGACACAGGACCCTCTAGAAAAAGAGGACAATGTAGGCAACAGACACCATAGTGTCTGTAGGGGACCTCAAAGCAGTTCTTTGTGGCTAAGTGCCATAGTATGTGGCAGGAAGCTGCAAAAGAGGAATTCTAGGATTGGCTCAGAGGCTGGTTATATAAACAGGAAGAATCTGTTTCCTTGATCTACTCTGAGTTCCCTGAAATAAGAATTTCTGAATCCCAGCACTTTGGGAGGCCGAGGTGGGCAGATCACGAGGTCAGGAGATTGAGACCATCCTGGCTAACACGGTGAAACCCCGTCTCTACTAAAAAAATACAAAAAAAAAAATAGCCGGGTGTGGTGGTGGGCACCTGTAGTCCCAGCTACTCCGGAGGCTGAGGCACGAGAATGGCGTGAACCCGGGAAGCGGAGCTTGCAGTGAGCCAAGATCGCGCCACTGCACTCCAGCCTGGGTGACAGAGCCTGGGTGACGTCTCAAAAAAAAAAAAAAAAAAAAGAATTTCTGTATCTGGAAAGCTAAGTATGTTGTCATCCTTTGTGGCCCTGCCTAGATAATTATCTTATTTTCTGCTGAAATTTCTAGTTTTGGCTTACTTAAATTGAATTATTTTATTTTATTTTTATTTTCTTTGAGGTGGAGTCTGGCTGTGTCAACCAGGCTGGAGTGCAGTGGCACGATCTCAGCTCACTGCAACCTCCACCTCCCAGGTTCAAGCGATTCTCCTGCCTCAGCCTCCTGAGTAGCTGAGATTACAGGCGCCCACCACCAAGCCTGGGTAATTTTTGTATTTTTAGTAGAGATGGGGTTTCACCATGTTGGCTAGGCTGTTCTCAAACTCCTGACCTCAGGTGATCTGCCTGCCGCAGCCTCCCAAAGTGCTGGGATTACAGGTGTGAGCCACCACACCTGACCTGAATTGAATTTTTTTTTTTTCTCGAAATGGAGTCTTGCTCTGTCGCCAGGCTGGAGTGCAGTGGCACGATCTTGGCTCACTGCAACCTCTGCCTCCCAGGTTCAAGTGATTCTCCTGCCTCAGCCTCTCAAGTAGCTGGGACTACAGGCGCATGCCACCATGCCCAGCTAATTTTTTGTATTTTTAATAGAGATGGGGTTTCACCGTGTTAGCCAGGATGGTCTTGATCTCCTGACCTGGTGATCCGCCTGTCTCGGCCTCCCAAAGTGCTGGGATTACAGGCTTGAGCCACCGCGCCCAGCTTGAATTGAATTGTTTTTAAAAAATAATTCTAATATGATAGTATTACAAGGTTGCTGCTACATTTTTCAAGAAGTCATATAAATTATAAAAGCATCCTGACTCAGATTCAGAAGATGTGGATTTTCTTGCTGGCTCTGCTGCTTTCTAGTTTGTGCAAGTTACTTAATATCCCTAAAGCTCAGTTGCCTAAGGTCTTAGTAAATGTGTACTGAAGGATTTAAATAAAACAAGGCTTCATCACACCTTCCCAGATGCACCAATACCAGCCAGTGCTTCCTCCGCAGAAATCTGAGTACCAGGTTTGTGGTGCTTGGGGATAGAGGGTTTGTCTCTTCTATGCTTCCTAGACACTAGCATCAGCCAAGCAATGTCCTCGCCTCAAAGATCTGGGTTCTAGCATTGTGAGAATCTGCCACCAAGTTTCTAATGATAACTCCCAACTTCTTCCTTTTGTTCCCCTGCCCCTAGAGGTATGTGCAGAAAAGTGTTAGGCCTGACTGCTGTCCTTTGAAAGACCTCCTTATAGGTTTGTCCTTGGCTGGCATTTGGTAACTGGGTTTTCAGAAGGGTTCCCGTCATTCACAGAACTGATGAGTGTGTCTCACTGTGCCTATGCACAGTGTATTGTTTGCATAAACCATATGGTTTCTGCTGAACACCATTTTGGAGTCTGGAATTTGGGTACATACCAGGCAGAGAGGATGCTTATGTGAGCAGGCCCCCATAAAAACCTTGAGCCTTGAGTCTCTAAGGAGCTACTGTGGTTGGCAATATTTCACATGTGTTGTCACAACTCCTTGCTGGACTAATTAAGCATTTCCTCTGTGACTCCATGACTTCACTGGGAGAGGACCCTTGAAAGATTGCTCATGGCTTCCTCCAGATTCCTAACATGGACCTTTATCCTTGCTAATTTTGCTTTCTATACTTTTCCTGTCATAAATCATAGCTGTGAGTATAAATATATGCTGAGTCCTGTGAGTCCTTTTAGCAAATCATTGTACCCGGGAATGATCTTGGGGACACAAGGTGATACCTACTTCTTGAAGTTAACTGTTTTCTTATCTCAGTATTCCCTTTTATGTTTTTGTATTGTGGGGTTTTAAAAATTTATTTATTTTTTGTTTTTTATTTTTTTTGAGACAGGGAGTCTTGCTCTGTCACCCAGGCTGGAATACAGTGGTGCAATCTTGGCTCACTGCAACCTCCGCCTCCCAGGTTTGAGCAATTCCCTGCCTCAGCCTCCAGACTAGCTGGGATTACAGGCGCCCGCCACCAGGCCCAGCTAATTTTTGTATTTTTAGTAGAGACGGGGTTTCACCATCTTGGCCAGGCTGGTCTTGAACTCCTGACCTCGTGGTCCACCCACCTCGGCCTCCCAAGTGCTGGGACTACAGGTGTGAGCCACTGCACCTGGCCTTGTTTTTGTATTGTTTTTGTTGTTTTGACACAGGGTCTCACTCTGTGACCCAGGCTGGAGTGCAGTGGTGTGATGTTGACTTACTGCAACCTATACCTCCTGGGTTCAAGTGATTCTCCCACCTCAGCCTCCCAAGTAGCTGGGACTACAGGTGCACATTACCATGCCTTGCTAATTTTTGTATTTGTAGAGATGAGGTCTCACAATGTTGCCCACGCTGGTCTCGAACTCCTGGGCTCAAGTGATCCACCTGAGTCAGCCTCCCAAAGTGCTAGGATTACAGGCATGAGCCACCATGTCCAACCTCTCCTTTTTTGGGGGGGGGGGTCAACTTAATTCCACAAACCCTTTTAAACAATATCCCTATGTTTTCTGTTTAATTGGTATAATTTCTGTTTTCCTGATGCTCCCTAAGCAGCATCACCAGTCAGTAAGGGCAAAATGCCTAGTTAATGTCCTTTGCTATTCCCCTGTTTATCAGAAACTAACATATGTAATAGGGCTAATCTCTTGTAACTCAGTTGCAAGAGGTGTTCAAGGAAGTTGCTCTTTAACAAGGAAGGTGGTGTTTAAACCAAACACTTCCCACAGACAGTCTCTATTTTTGTTTTGTTTTTGAAATGGAATCTCACTGATTGCCCAGGCTGGTCTTGAACTCCTGGCCTAAAGTGATTCTCCCTCCTAGGTCTTCCAAAGTGCTGGCATTACAGGCGTGAGCCACCACACCCATTAAATATGGTAGAGAAGCCAAGGCGCAGTGGCTTACGCCTGTAATCCCACCACTTTGGGAGGCCGAGGGGGGCGGATCACCTGAGGTCGGGAGTTTGGGACCAGCCTGACCAACATAGAGAAACCCCGTCTCTACTAAAAATACAAAATTAGCTGGGCGTGGTGGCGCATGCCTGTAATCCCAGCTACTCGGGAGGCTGAGGTAGGAGAATCACTTGAATCTGGGAGGTAGAGGTTGTGGTCAGCCAAGATCGCGCCATTGCACTCCAGCCTGGGCAACAAGAGCAAAACTCGAAAAAAAAAAAAAAAAGTAGACAGAAAAGGTGCCAGTAATACGATTATGTTAACTTTTAAAACTAACTTTATTTCAGGAAAAAAATATATATGATGTTTAGGTAAAGATCTTGTTCTGTGGTTAAAATTCATCCTGTATTTGTTTTGATTGGAGGAGTGACTAAAAGTGCTGTTACTGTGCTCGCCTCAGCAGCACATATACTAAAATTGGAACAATACAGAGGAGATTAGCATGGCCCCTCTGCAAGGATGACATGCAAATCTGTGAAGTGTTCCATATTTTTATAAAAATAACAGAAAAAAGAAAACAATGCTGTTACTACTAGAAATCATTGCCATCTCTATCTACTCGAAGACTTTCTGGTTCTGTTCAGTCTATAGGGTTCCGAAGAGTGAGCAAAATCTATAATAAACAGTATGATTCTAAGTGGAAATCAATCAGGAGGATTTCATTTGGAAAAATCACATAAAGGCAGAAATAAAAAGGTACAGAAAAAATGTTTTATTATGGAAGATTTCAAACATCCACAAAAATTAGATATGACTATGAAGAACTCCCCATGTACCCATCATTCAGTTCACTGATTATCAATATAAGCTTAATTTTGTTTCATCCACTGTATTCCCCCAACCCCTTTTGGGTTATTTTAAAGCAAAGCACAGACATCATATTTCATCTGTAAATACTTCTGTATGAATATCTGAGATAAAGATTCATTTAAATAAGGTAAATACACCTACAATTTTTTAAAAATTTAAAACTTTTTTTTTTTTTGAGACAAGAGTGTCACATTCTCGCCCAGGCTGGAGTGCAGTGGCGCCATCTCGGCTCACTGCAAGCTCCGCCTCCCGGGTTCACGCCATTCTCCTGCCTCAGCCTCCCGAGTAGCTGGGACTACAGGCGCCCGCCACCATGCCCGGTAATTTTTTTTTTTTTTTGTATTTTTAGTAGAGAGAGGGTTTCACTATGTTAGCCAGGATGGTCTCGATCTCCTGACCTCATGATCCGCCCACCTCAGCCTCCCAAAGTGCTGGGATTACAGGTATGAGCCACCATGCTCAGCCTAAAAAATGAAAAACTTTTATTTATTTATTTTTTTAGGGACAGTATCTCACTCTGTCGCCCAGGCTAGAGTGCAGTGGTGCTATCCTAGGTCACTGCAGACTCCAACTCCTGGATTCAAGTGATCCTCACATCTCGGTCTCCCAAAGTGCTGGGATTACAGGCATGAGCCAACTGCACCCAGCCTTAATAATTTTTTTTTTTTGAGACAGGGTCTCGCTGTGTCACCCAAGCTGGAGTGCACAATCCCGGCTCACTGCAACCTCTGCCTTCCGGGTTCAAGCATTCCTCCTGCCTCAGCCTCCTGAGTAGCTGGGATTACAGACACGAGCCACCACCCCCAACTAATTTTTGTATTTTTAGTAGAGATGGGGTCTTACCATGTTGGCCAGGCTGGTCTCGAACTCTTGACCTCATGATCCACCTGCCTTGGCCTCCCAAAGTGTGGGATTACAGGTGTGAGCCACCGTGCCCAGCCTCTCTACCATAGAGCTTAACTTTTAGCACATTCAAGAAGTATTCACAAAATAAAGTATATACAATTTAAAATTTAGTTGCTCAAAAAAGATGTCATCGCCGGGCGTGGTGGCTCATGCCTGTAATCTTAGCACTTTGGGAGGCCGAGGCAGGCAGATCACCTGAGGTCAGGAGTTTGAGACCAGCCTCAACATGGAGAAACCCCGTCTCTACTAAAAATATAAAATTAGCCAGTCATGGTTGTGCATGCCTGTAATCCCAGCTACTCGGGAGGCTGAGGCAGGAGAATTGCTTGAACTAGGGAGGCGGAGGTTGCGGTGAGCCGAGATTGCGCCATTGCACTCCAGCCTGGGCAACAAGAGTGAGACTCGGTCTCAAAAAAAAAAAAAGGCATCATATAGACAGTAGGGCAAAGTACCCACGTAAAAAGATTAGTTCTATGATTACAGTGAATTTGACATCAACCAGTAAATGTGTTTATAATCGTAACACAGTCCTTACTAACAATGTAATCAAGGCTTTTTTTTTTTTTTGAGACCGCGTTTTGCTCTTGTTACCCAGATTGGAGTGCAATGGCACGATCTCAGCTCACCGCAACCTCCACCTCCCGGGTTCAAGTGATTCTCCTGCCTCAGCCTCCCGAGTAGCTGGGATTACAGGCATGCGCCACCACACCTGGCTAATTTTTGTATTTTTAGTAGAGACAGGGTTTCTCCATGTTGGTCAGGCTGGTCTCAAACTCCTGACCTCTTGATCCACTCGCCTCTGCCTCCCAAAGTGTTGGGATTACAGGCATGAGCCACTGCACCCGGCCAAAAATTTCTTAAAATCATCTAGTATCCAGCTTTCAAATTTCTTAGTCTCATATACCTTTTTTTAATATTTAGTTTGTGCAAAAGAAAATCAAAATAAAGCCTTTTACATCTTTTAAATCTACAACTGTCTCCCCCTTCCCTTCCTTTTTTACTTGATATTTACTCACTGAAGAAACTGGGTGACTTGTCTTATAGAATTTCCTGCATTCTGGAGTTGGCAGATAGTGTCCCCTTGGTGTCATTTAACATGTTCTTTTCTTTTTGGTTTGAATCAAGGTCTCACTCTGTCACCCAGGCTGGAATGCAGTGGAATGATCACAGCTCATTGCAATCTCAAACTTCTGGGCTCAAGTGATCCTCTTGCTCAGCCTCCCCAGTAGCTGGGACTACAGGCGTGTACCACCATGCCCAGCTAATTTAAAACATTTTTTTTGTAGAGATGGGGTCTCGCCATGTTGCCAAGGCTGGTCTCAAACTCCTGGCCTCAAGCGACCCTCCTGCCTCAGCATTCCAAAGTGTTGCGATTTCAGGCATGAGCTACTGTCCCTGGCCTGAAAATGTGCTTTAAAGAAGACCTTACTGGAATACTGGAAATATTTAAGATTTAAAGAAGAGCAAGTGAGAGGTGACAACGTGCTGGCAGCCCTCGCTTGCTCTTGGCGCCGCCTCAGCGTCCGCTCTGGCCACACTCCAGGAGCCCTTCAGCCTGCCGCTGCGCTATAAGGGCCCCTCCCTGGGGCTGGCCGAGGCAGGAGCCGGCTCTCTCTGCTCGCCGGGAGGTGTGGAGGGAGAGGCACAGGTGGGAGCCAGGGCTGCGCGTGGTGCTCGTGGGCTGGCACGGGTTCTGGGTGGGCATGGGGTCGGCCGGCCCCGCACTCGGCGCGGCCGGCGCCTTCTGGGCTTGATCCAGGGACGAGCTCCCTCTGGGCTGCCAGAGTGCCTAGGCTAGGTGCTGCAGAGACCCCGGGAGTACCAGTGAGAGGTGAAGCCGGCTGGACTTCCGGGATGGGTGGGGACTTGGAGAACTTTTCTGTCTAGCTAAAGGTTTGTAAACGCACCAATCAGCACTTTGTGTCTAGCTAAAGGATTGTAAATGCACCAATTAGCACTCTGTGTCTAGCTCAAGGTTTGTAAACGCACCACTCAGAACCCTGTGAAAACGGACCAATCAGCTCTCTGTAAAATGGACCAATCAGCAGGCTGTGGGTGGGGTCCGCTAAGGGAATAAAAGCAGGCTGCCTGAGCTAGCAGCAGCAACTCTCTGGGTTCACCTTGCATGTTGTGGAAGGTTTGTTCTTTTGCTCTTTGCAATAAATCTTGCTGCTGCTCACTCATTGAGTCTGTGCCACCTTTAAGACCTGTAAGAGTCACCACGAAGGTCTGCAGCTTCACTCCTGAAGCCTGGGAGACCACAAACCCACCGGGAGGGATAAACAACTCCAGATGCGCTGCCTTTAAGAGCTGTAATGCTGCAAAGGTCTGCAGCTTCACTCCTGAAGTCAGTGAGACCACAAACCCACCAGAAGGAAGAAACTCCAGACACGTCTGAAAGTCAGAAGGAGTGAACTTGGGACACACCATCTTTAAAAACTGTAACACTCACAAGTGAGGGTCCGTGGCTTCATTCTTGAAGTCAGCAAGACCAAGAACCCACCAATTCCGGACATACAAGGATTGTGTATTTGAAAGTAGTTGATACAGAATTGTCCATGCAGCTACAGAACCACCTCAATCTACAAGTACATCATGTGTTGTACTGCAAAATGTTTGACAAACCTTGTAGCTGATGATTTCAATGTATCTAGTAAGGGGTGACTGCAATAAACCAAGCAAGAGGAGAAAATAATCATAGGCACAACAGCTGGAATATTGCTTTAAATGTAAATCAGATCAAGTAACTGTTCTGCACTCAAACTCTAATGGCTTTCCTTCACGCTTAGAATACAATAAAAAATTGGTAGCATACTATGGCTTCCGTGGCACTAAGCTCTGCCTACCTCGCTGACCTTATTTCCTACCACTTTCCTCCTCTCACTGTGCTCCAAACTCCTTGCTCTTCCTAAAGCATGCCAAGATTGTTCCTGCCTGGGGCCTCTGCACTTGCTGTTCCATACACCTGAAAGTCATTTTCTTTTTCTTTTTTCTTTTTTTTTTTTTTTTTTTTTTTTTGAGACGGAGTCTCGCTGTCGCCCAGGCTGGAGTGCAGTGGCGCAATCTCGGCTCACTGCAGGCTCCGCCCCCTGGGGTTCACGCCATTCTCCTGCCTCAGCCTCCTGAGTAGCTGGGACTACAGGCGCCCGCCACCTCGCCCGGCTAATTTTTTGTATTTTTAGTAGAGACGGGGTTTCACCGTGTTAGCCAGGATGGTCTCGATCTCCTGACCTCGTGATCCGCCCGCCTCGGCCTCCCAAAGTGCTGGGATTACAGGCGTGAGCCACCGCGCCCGGCCCATTTTCTCCCAAGTAATCAGAGTTCACTTCCTCACTTCATTTTAGGCCTTTGTTCAGTGTCATCCTCTTAGAGCCCCTCCTAACCACCCTATATAAAACAGCACCCTACCATATTCCTCCCTCTTCATCTCCTTACCCTGCTGTACTGTTTAGTCTATGGGACATATAACAAGCTGCCATTGCACTATATACTAATTGGTTTCTTTCCCCCACTAGGATATAAGCTCTGTGACAGTGAAGACTTTTGCTCACTTCTCCAGCATCTAGTAGGTGCCACACAAATATCTGACTACATTTAATCAACAATCTCATTTACACCCAAACTATATTAAATAGGTAGTATTGTCATCCTCACTTTACAGTTTGCAGGAAAACTATTGGTGCACAAACCTTAAGTAAAGACCTGAAAACAAACTGAGGGAACAAGAAGTCTGGACTTGATGACTGATCACCAAAACAAGTAAATCAAAGCGAAGTCGTCTGATTAGTATGGAATAAGGGAAACCCAAATCATACGAGAACACCAATTAAAATGTGGGACACGCAGGAAGAAGGCAGACGGAACTGCTGCTGGATAACTGAGTCTTTCCTAATGACAGGACCTTATGTTGCCCTCACAATTACCCCGTGAGATAGGCAAGGCAGGCATTGTATTAGACAATCATTAACAAGCAGGACGCTGACAGCCAGGCTTCGCAGCCAGGAGTGGTGGCCTGTCTGGCTCCGCACTCACGGGTTCGGACAGTTACAGAATTAACACTCAAGCCCTGGGGCTTCCCGCAGCCCCCGGGGGGGTGGGGCTCACTGACTAGCCTCCCGGAAGCGGACCCCAGGAGAACCAGGCAGTTGGTTAATCCAGGAACAGCTCCTGCGCGGGGCGTGGACTGAGCAGTCACTGAGTATTACGCAAATTGCGCGAGCGCACGGGAAAAGCGATTGGTCGGTCAGGAGAGAGAGGTGTGTCCTGGCGGGCCCGCAGCTCCGATTGGCCGACAGGCTGACGGGAACGTTTACGGTCAGCGTGTGTCAGCGACGTGCAACCCGGAAGGGAAGAAGGGGCGTGTCAGGCTGCGCAGGCGGCCAGTCCATTGGCTGGAAGAGACCGGAGCCGGGCTCCGGGCCCGACCAGAGGAGGGCGGTGCTGCAGGGCTGGTCCGGGAGGTGACGACCGGCTTCGGAGAGTCTATCATGGCAGCTCGGACTGGTCATACGGCCTTGAGAAGGGTAGTCTCGGGATGCCGTCCGAAGTCGGCGACAGCGGCCGGGGCGCAGGCGCCCGTGCGGAATGGCAGGTAATCAACAGCGGGGGCGCTGAGACGAGAGTAGTTTTCGATTTTGGCTGCCGAGTTGGGGGACCGGAAGGATTTGGGGGTGAGGCAGAGCCGGACTCGGTGCATTTCCGTGTCTTTAGAGGAGAAGGCTTTTTTTTGCGTTTGGCATCTGAGGGACTCAAGAGCGGCGCGCATCACCTTGGGCCCAAGGCTGTGTTCGTGGCTCGTTTGCCTCGTGAGAGGCGGTGAATCATCGGCGAAGCGACTTTGGAAGCAATTTGGCCATTGGTGCCTTTGGGCTCTTCCGGTCTCCTCCCCTATGGCTTGTTGCTACTGCTGTTGGAAAGTTTTAACTTTGCGCAGAAGGGTTGCCGGCTGCTGGCTGTATGGGAGTTTGTGTTTGGCGGTGAGCCCCCTTCTCCGGTTCCTTCTACCTGCCAGATGGTCAGATGCGTTTTCCCAATTTCTGAAAGAGTGCTTTGCCCTCGCCATTTAGTGTTTACAAAACTAAATACAGCCAGCATAAGGGACTTGGATTTTTTCACTCTGCTGTAACTTACAGGTCCTGTAACCTTGAAGCATAGTCAGCTTTCGATTTTCCTGGTTGGTTCATTTTTTGGTAGGTGGGGGTGGAGATGGAGGTCGGGACACGGATACCATACTTGTACGACTTAGTTTCCTTTTACTAATAACATTGTAATATTCTTGAAAATTAAAGTTAGTGTGTTTAAAATGAATTCAGGTGTACAAAATACGAGGTGGGGAGAGAAAACACAAATCTAGTTGAGCCCCAGGACATTTAGATTAAATGAAGATCCGACCCTACTGGAAACAAGGAAATAATTTTTTTAAAAAAAGATTCAATGAAGAATTTTTAAAAACACCAACAACCTTACCAAATCCAAATCCCTTTAGACAAATGTTGGATGAGACAAACAAAATCATAAAATTACTCCTGCTTTAGGAAATAACCTCAAAAAGTAGTTTCAAGCAGAATAACGCCATCATACTTGAGATCTGTTTGTATTACTCTTATAAAATGTTGTCTTGCAAATAACACTTACTTTTGAGAAAAATACAGTTGCTTTAATGATCAAATTGAGGCTTCAGTTCCAAGATAAATACTGTTTATGATAATGAGGGCGGCAGTTTGCGTTCATTTCCAATGTTAAGCATCAGATTCTGACCTTTATTATACTTAAGTATATGAGAGAGTGGTACTGGAAGACGAGTGACAAAAAAGCTGTTCTCCATGTGGTCCAGTTGTCCAGTATTCATTTCATGGTTTAACTGTATATATGAATGTGTGTATCTTCATATCGTAGTTTAAGACATAGTATTCCTGGCAGTGCATGAAAATAGATGTGCTGTCCAGGCCACTGTAACTATAGCATGCAGATTGATCAGAAAATGTCCTGTTAGTTTGCTTTAAACACTGGTGTTTTCCTTAGGCTTGTAATCAGATTGTGTAAGGGTATTTTTTTGGGTAGGCTGGGAGGCAATACATGAACCTGGTACAAAGGTTCATGTATTGCCTCCCAGTAAATACATGAACCTTTATATATAGTAAAAAGTCAACCAGATACCCAATTCACCTCTTTAGAAGCAAAGGTCTCATCTTTTTTCAAGTAAAGGTTTCAGCACTGTTCACAGTAGTTAAGATACAGAATCAACGTAGGTGTCCAACAACAGATGAATGGTACTGGGCGCAGTGGCTTATGCCTGTAATTCCAACACTTTGGGAGGCTGAGGCGGGAGGATTGCCTGAGCTCATGAAACCAGCGTGGACAACATGGCAAAACCTTGTCTCTACCAAAAAAAAGAAAAAAAAATGTGTGTGTGTGTATACACATACACATATACAGAAAAATTAGCTGGCTATGTGTTAGTGCAAGCTTGTGGTTCTAGCTGCTCAGGAGGCTGAGATGGGAGGATCACTTGAACCCAGGAGGTTGAGGCTGCAGTGAGCCTTGTTTGGGCCACTGCACTCATTCCTGGGCAACAGAACCAGACCCTGTCTCAAAAAATAAACAAGGCCGGACACAGTGACTCACACCTGTAATCCCAACACTTTGGGAGGCTGAGGCAGGAGGATCACTTGAAATCAGGAGTTTGAGACCAGCTTGGGCAACATAGCAAGACCTTGTTTCTACAAATAAGTAAAAAATTGGCAGGGCTTGGTGGCGCATGCCTGTGGTCCCAGCTCATTGGGACTTGGGGTGGGAGAATCACCTGAGCCCAGGCAGTGGAGGCTGCGGTGTGTCATGACTATACCACTGCACTCCAGCGTGGGTGATGGAGTGAGACCCTGACTCAAACACAACAACAACAATAAAACAGAAGAATGGATAAAGAAAATGTGGTGTATATATTAATACACGATGGGAATACTATTCAGCCATAAAAAAGAATGAAATTCTGTCATTTGCAGCAACGTGGATGGACTTGGAGGGCATTATGTTAAATGAAATAAGCCAGGAACAGAAAGTTACACATGACGAGTCCTCTCTCATATGTGGAAGCTAAAAAAAGTTGATCTTGGCCAGGCACGGTGGCTTATGCCTGTAATCCCAGCACTTTGGGAGGCCAAGGTGGGCGGATCACAAGGTCAAGAGATCAAGACCATCCTGGCCAACATGGTGAAACCCCCATCTCTACTAAAAATACAAAAATTACCTGGGTGTGGTGGCGGGCGCCTGTAGTGCCAGCTACTCGGGAGGCTGAGGCAGGAGAATCGCTTGAACTGGAAGGCAGAGGTTGCAGTGAGCCGAGATAGCACCGCTGCACTCCAGCCTGGCGGCAGAGCGAGACTCCATCTCAAAAAAAAAAAAGTTGATCTTGCTGGGCGCAGTGGCTCACGCTTGTAATCCCAGCACTTTGGGAGGCTGAGGTGGGCGGATCACAAGGTCAGGAGATCGAGACCATCCTGGCTAACACAGTGAAACCCCATCTCAACTAAAAATACAAAAAAATTAGCAGGGCGTGGTGGCGGGCACCTGTAGTCCCAGCTACTCGGGAGGCTGAGGCAGGAGAATGGCGTGAACCCGGGAGGCAGAGCTTGCAGTGAGCCTAGATCACACCACTGCACTCGAGCCTGGGTGATAGAGCAAGACTCCATCTCAAAAAAATAAATAAGTAAAAAATAAATTAAAAAAAAATTGATCTTAGAACAGAGGATACTAAAGATTGGGAAAGCTGGGAGAAAGGAAGGGATAGGGAGAGATTTGTTGAAGGATACAAAATTAATGCTAGATAGGAGGAATACATTTCTAATGGTCTGTACCCGCGATTTCCCAACCTTTTTGGCACCAGAGAACAGTTTTGTGGAAGACAGTTTCTCTACAAATGGGGGTGGTGGGGTGGGGGATGGCTTCAGGATGAAACTGTTGCACCTCAGATCATCAGGCATTAGTTAGATTCTCATAAGGAGCAAACAACCTAGATTCCTCGCATGTGCAGTTCACAATAGAGTTCTGGCTCCTATGAGAATCTGATGCCACCGCTGATCTGACAGGAGGCAGAACTCAGGCGGTAATACTCACCTCCTGCTGTGCAGCCTGGTTCCTAACAGGCCACGGACAGGTACCAGTCCATGGCCTGGGCGTTGGGGATCCGTCTTCTATACCACTGTAGGATGACTATAGTTAGCAATAATATATAGTTTCAAATAGGTAGAAAGAGTATATTGAATGTTCCTAGTGCAAATAAATGTTGAATGTTTGAGATGATGGATGTGTTAATTACCCTGATGTGATCACTATGCATTGTATGTATCGAAACATAGAATTATGCTCTTACCACTATTATAAAATCAACTACTACTTGTGATGTCCCAGAAAATTTAGAATTCACAAAGCCATCTTGCTTTTTTATATTTTCATTCATGAAGTGTTATTTATAGCTGAATATATAGGAATCTTAAAATCTTAAAAGGTCCTAATAAGTTTACCCATATACAGTTTATGTGTCTTTTCAATTACTTTTTTTTTTTTTTGAGACGGGGAGTCTTGCTCTGTTGCCCAGGCTGGAGTGCAATGGTGCCGTCTCGGCTCACTGCAACCTCCGCGTCCCAGGTTCAAGCATTTTCCCTGCCTCAGCCTCCCGAGTAGCTGGGATTACAGGCACGTGCCACCACACCCGGCTAATTTTTGTATTTTTAGTAAAGGCAGGGTTTCGCCATGTTGGCCAGGCTGGTCTTGAACTCCTGACCTCAGTTGATCCGCCTACCTCAGCCTCCCAAAGTGCTGAAATTACAGGCGTGAGCCACCGCACCCGGCCTCCATTACATTTTAACAGATAGTCATGTAGTATTTACCTTAAGCAAATTCACTGACCTCTGTTTCATTTTCTCTGTAATAAGTGTGTTCAATTTTTATAAACAGCTCTAAAGTTCTTCATTGTATTATAGAGCCCAAATTTGTCTCTCTCTAATTGGGGTTGTGTTTTACACTTTGGGGTCATATTTTCTTTTTCTTTTTTTTTTTTCTTCTTTTGAGACGGAGAATCACTGTCGCCCAGGCTGGAGTGCAGTGGTGCGATCCACTCCATTTACATATATATGTATGTACATATGTATATGTATTCATATATATAAATAAATGGAATGAGGTATTAAATGCTACTAATGCCTATGTGTATTAGTATATACATACACACGCACACACACAGTTATTATATATGTACACACTTCTTTTCTCTCTTTGCATGGCTAACTCCTTGTCCACTATGTCTCAGCTAAAATCTTTTAAGGGATTCCTAGGTCACCCTGTCTAAAGGAGGTCCTAATTACACCTCCCTCTTCCCTGCATCTCTTCTTCAGCACTTTTTTGAATCAATCTTCAACTAGAATATAATCTTCATAAGGCTTATGTTTGTTCTATTCACCATTATATCCTTAGTACTTAGCACAGTCTTAACTTAGAATAGGAGCTCAGTAAATATGTGGATAATTTAAATTGAATTATCCTGGCCAGCAATGACTAAATGACTAGTAGTGTCAAATAGTCAAATAGTTACGTAATAATCTTTTTTCTTTTCTCTTTTTTTTTTTTTTTTGAGACGGAGTCTCATTCTGTTACCCAGGCTAGAGTGTGGTTGCACAACTTCGGCTTACTGCAACCTCCGCCTCCCGGGTTCAAGTGATTCTCCTGCCTCAGCCTCCTGAGTAGCTGGGACTACAGGCGCCTGCCACCACACTCAGCTAATTTTTTGCATTTTTAGTAGAGATGGGGTTTCACCATGTTAGTCAGGCTGGTCTTGAATTCCTGACCTCGTGATCCACCCGCCTCGGCCTCCCAAAGTGCTGGGATTACAGGCATGAGCCACCTCACCCAGTCACTTATGTAATAATCTTATTAAGGAAAGTTGAAAATATTTAGGTGAACAAGCATATAGCAGACATTTGTACATAGAAGTACCTCAAACAATAAGTTTCTGGTTAACTAGACATGTTTTTACATATATGCATTGAAATGGAGACTGCAAGGTAAAGGAGAACGCAGCAACAGTTGGTTTTTATTTGTTTTGTTTTTGCTTTTGTTGAGATAGAGTCTCGCCCTGTCACCCAGGCTGCAGTGCCCGTGGTGTGTTCATAGCTCATTGCAACCTCGAAGTGCTGTATTCAAGCGATCCTGCTGCCTCAGATTCCTGAGTAACGGGAACTACAGGCACATGCCACCATGGCCGGCTAATTTTTAAATTTTTTTGTAGAGACAGGGTCGCTATGTTGCCCAGGCTGGTCACAAACTCCTGGCCTCAAGGGATTCTCATGCATCAGCCTCCCAAACCACTGGGATTACAGGTTTGAGCCACCATGCTTGGCATCAGTACTCACCATCTGGTAGGTGGTCCTACCAGATGTCTGCCAAGAGATTTGAGACCTAATTTTAAGTCTCACTGGAGTGGATCAAGAATTAAGAAACACCTGTGGATCCAGCTAGGAAAACAACGTGGGTAGACAACACAAATCAGAAAATAGATTTGTGTATCTAGCAAAGCTTATGGTAAGAGTAAGTTGTAACATGTGACTACAGAGTGAAAGCCAACTTTCTGGGAGAGATGCCTTTTATGCCAGAAGCTTCTAACCTAACTAAGCTGTTATTTTTGTTTTTTTTTTTTACAGTGTTTAAGAAGCTGTGCTTTTTCTGTGCCCGTGTGTGTGTATTTTTTCAGAAACATTCTGAAGTTGCAAAGCCTTACAAAGTGGATAATTACTTTATAGTTTCTATAATTTGTGCTTCCTTTTAATTTTTACTGTCACTCTAAATCAGGTGATTTTTGTCTTTTCAGATATTTAGCTTCCTGTGGTATACTGATGAGCAGAACTCTTCCACTACATACCTCAATTTTGCCTAAGGAGATATGTGCACGAACTTTCTTCAAAATCACTGCACCATTAATAAACAAAAGGAAAGAATATTCAGAGAGAAGAATTTTAGGGTTCGTATATGATAAGAATTCTACTAAAAGAGCATGTTCACAATTTTCCGTGGGGTATCGTGTTGTGCCTCTTTCTCTCTGGATTATCTTCTTACAGACTAAGCTCTCTTTTCTAGGTTGGCCTTTTTCTTTTTTTTTTTTTTTTCTTTTGAGATGGAGTCTCACACTTGAGTGCAGTGGCGCAATCTTGGCTCACTGTAACCTTCGCCTCTCAGATTCAAGAGATTCTCCTGCCTTAGCCTCCCGAGTAGCAGGCACATGCCACCATGCCTAGCTAATTTTTGTATTTTTAGTAGAAACAGGGTTTCACTGTGTTGGCCAGGCTGGTCTCAACCTCCTGACCTCATGATCCACCTGCCTTGGCCTCCCAAAGTGCTGGGATTACAGTCATGAGCCACTGCTCCTGACCTAGCCATTGCTATTTTATAAATATTTGTTGAATGAATATAATTATATGGTAACTCTTTAGTATAGACTTAAATCTTTGACATGTAAAGAAAATTATTTATGACTTACATTTTTTGTACATTGTTCTTTTCTGTATTAGCAACATTACTGATACATTGGGCCATATGTTTACATAGCTTCCTCATGTATAGATATACATAGATAAGTACATACATACTAAGGCTCCTCATCTAGAGCCTTTGGTAAACATTTTCTGTGAAGGGACAGATAGTAACTATATTAGGTTTTGTGGGCCATAGGGACTGCTCAGCTCCTTCATTGTAGTCCGAAGGCAGACATAGATAATATTTAAATAAACGGGTGTGGCCACATTCCAGTAAAACTTTATTTACAAAAACAGGCGATGGGCCAGGTGTGGCCCCTGATCTAGGGGTAAATAGAGCAGATGGTAAAGACACTACAGTTCTGCTAAACCGGAAATACACCATCCCTCCATAGGGGAATTTCTACAAATGGCTCTTAATTCCTAACTGGCCATGAAGCTTTGTGAAAGTGCATTTCGTTAATTTTACTCATTTGCTTTTGTTCTCCCTATTTTTCTGTAGTAAAAGACTTAACAGCATTGTTCACTAAGTTCACCTTTATTACTAGCTAGTCTCTGTATTAGTTAAGGTAATGCTAACAGCCCTATAGATAATACCCAAGAGTTTATTTTTTTTTCTCATGTAGAGTTCAAATGGGTGTGCCGTCTACTGTAGTCCAAGTAGTGACTCAGAAACCCAGGCTACATCCAACTTTTGACCTCTGTAATTACTTAGTCTTCAGAATGTTGATCACATTGGTCTGGAGGTGACACACAACACCTCCTCCCAGATATTACTGGCAACAGCTAATTGTGACCCCATCTAAACGCAGTGGAAATGAGGACTGGGAATTGTTGCTCCTGATGGGCAGGTACTTCCTAGCAACAGCACCACGTAAAAAGAGTGCAAATCTTTGGATAGACATCATTGTCACAGGTGTTACCTGTTAAAAAGAGAAATGGCAACTAAAAAAATACTGATTTAGTCTGTGTGTGTGTGTGTGTGTGTGTGTGTGTGTGTGTGAGGGAGGGAGAGGGAGAGGTGTACAGGGTCTCAGAGAGAGAGAGAGAGAGAGAGAGAGAGAGAGAGAGAGGTGTACAGGGTCTCACTCTATAGCCCAGGCTGTGGCATGATCTTCACTCACTGCAACCTCTGTCTCTTGGGTTCAAGCAAATCTCATGTCTCAGCCTCCCGAGTAGCTGGGATTACAAGCGTGTGCCACCACACCTGGCTAATTTTTGTATTTTTAGTAGAGACCGGGTTTTACCATGTCGGCCAGGCTGGTCTCAAACTCCTGACCTCAGGTGATCTACCCACCTCAGCTTCCCAAAGTGCTGGGATTACAGGCCACCACTCCTGGCCATACTCTCAATTTTTAAATGCTGGCTACTAAAAATTTAAAAACTACCTCTTTAGGCCGGGCGCGGTGGCTCATGCCTGTAATCCCAGCACTTTGGGAGGCCGAGGTGGGCGGATCACCAGGTCAGGAGATCGAGACCGTTCTGGCTAACACAGTGAAACCCCATCTCTATTAAAAGTACAAAAAATTAGCTGACTGTGGTGGCACGTGCCTGGAGTCCCAGCTACTCGGGAGACTGAGGCAGGAGAATCGCTTGAACCCGGGAGGTGGAGGTTGCAGTGAGCCGAGATCGTACCACTGCACTCTAGCCTGGGTAACAGAATGAGACTCCATCTCAAAAAAAAAAAAAAAAATTACCTCTTTATGTCAGATTCAACCTGTGAGATGCCAAATTGTGATCTCTGCCATATCATGTATGTGTTTATTTAGAGACCTTTTATTTTCTGTGTTGCTTTGAGGTCATTGATTCCAGAATGTGGTTTAATATATGTGCTGAATGATTTATTTATCATACACAGTAAGTTTTATACATATTCACTTTAAAGTATGCATATATTATATAACTAGATGGAGTTAACACCTCTTTTTTATTTTTATTTTTTAAAGATATTCAATGCAGGAAATGTATGATGTAGTATCGGGAGTGGAGGATTACAAGCATTTTGTTCCTTGGTGCAAAAAATCAGATGTTAT
Organism: Homo sapiens; assembly: GCF_000001405.40. Classification (NCBI taxonomy): domain Eukaryota; kingdom Metazoa; phylum Chordata; class Mammalia; order Primates; family Hominidae; genus Homo; species Homo sapiens. The sequence goes on from NC_000002.12 coordinate 197,462,626, forward strand.
ATCAAAGAGATCTGGATATTGTAAAACAAGATTAGAAATTGGATTTCCACCTGTGTTGGAGCGATATACATCAGTAGTAACCTTGGTGAAACCTCATTTAGTAAAGGTAACAGTTTTGTTTTTTGTTGTTTTTAAATATTCTTCCATATATTAACTTTGTCAAATGAGTTAAAATGTAATAGCCTAAAAAAACTTATTTAACCTAACAGGAGGAGGGTAAAAAATTTATTATATCTCCTAACTGTGTTACTTTATACAATGTTAGCATTATTCTTTCCAAATAGAAATTTGAATATAATATGGGAATGGGAAACTTTTCCCTTTTTTTTCCCTTCTATTGAGGACTACTGACCCACAGGACAGATCACTTGCGCCACCCAAGTGGGAAATGTTTTAATTTAATTTTTCAACTGTTTTAAAATATGAATTAAATACTTTTATTATTGGGGGAAGAGTAAATTTGTTTACTAAATATATAGTTTTTTAAGTTAAAGAAGGAATGGTGGGGAAGAAGGAAGGAAAAAAATTAAAGTGGTGAGAGGATAAAGAAAGGTAGAAAAGATATAGGCATAGCGCTGTGGCTCACGCCTTTAATCCCAGCACTTTGGGAGGCCAAGGCGAGCGGATTACGAGGTCAGGAGTTCAAGACCAGCCTGACCAACATGGTGAAACCCCGTCTCTACTAAAAATACAAAAATTAGCCGGGCGTAGTGGTGCTTGCCTGTAATCCCAGCTACTCAGGTGGCTGAGGCAGGAGAATCACGTGAACCCGGAGGCAGAGGTTGCAGTGTGCCGAGATAGTGCCGCTGCACTGCAGCCTGGGCAACACAGTGAGACTCTGTCTCAAAATTAAAAAAAAAAAAAAAAGATATAAATATGTCATGTCAGGCAGCTGAGATGGGAACCCAAGAAGTTGAGGCTAGAGAGAGCTGTGATTAAGCCACTACACTTCAGCCTGGGCAACAGAGTGAGACAGTGTCTCAAAAAAAATTAAATAAAAATGAAAAGAAAAAATATAAAAATATTGGGGGGCAAAGTGGCTCACGCCTGTAATCCCAGCACTTTGGGAGACTAAGGTGGGTGGGTCACCCGAGGTCAGGAGCTTGAGATTAGCCTGGCCAACATGGTGAAACACCGTCTCTACTAAAAATACGAAAAAATTAGCCAATATGGTGGCAAGTACCTGTAATTTCAGCTACTCAAGAGGCTGAGGCAGGAGACTCACTTGAACCCAGGAGGCAGAGGTTGCAGTGAGCTGAGATCGCGCCAGTGCACTCCAGCCTGGGCAACAAGAATGAAACTCTGTCTCAAAAAAAAAAAAAAAAAAAAAAAAAAAAAAATATATATATATATATATATATATATATATATACACACACACACACACACACACACACACACATACATACACACACATATATATATACGTATATATATATATACACACACACACACATATATATATATACATATATATGTATAAACATTGTTGAGATTATCCTGCCAAGTACCAGGTACTGAAATGCCAACTGCTCTTACATTATATTAATCATCTTATGCTTGTCAGAGGAGGATACACATGTAGAAAAGGGTACCGACCTTAAAAACAAAAAGGCAGAATTCCATGGGATAATGCATATTTCTTTTGCATTCCCATTTTGGAGTGGCCAAAGATTTTTAAAACTGAGTTATTTTTTGCCCACAGGATTTAATGATGATATAATTTCTTGGTAAGTGGCCAGAGCCAAATACCTTAGTCAGCTCTTTGTTAGGCATTGAAGGGGGTGCAGCTCTCAGATGTGCTCTTTCTGGTGCAGCTAGAAAGAAAGAGAACACTGTCACTGTCCAGTGAAGCTAAGACCCTATCTGCCCTATTCTTACCCTTAAAACTTCAATTCCACTTAAAATGCTGTGGACTAGGATTTTGCTATTATTACAAATGCTTTCACCTGCTTGCCTCATTGTTTTAGAGTTTTTAAACTACTTTCTGTCGTAATAGCTAACATTTACTGAGCCCATTTTACTGCTTTACTTGAATTACTCAAATTTTCACAAAAGCCCTTTGAGGTTCAAGAGTTATTATTTATTTTAGAGTTGAGGAAACTAAGGCTTAGAAGAGATAGAAAACTTGCCCAAGGTCACAGAGCCAAGACTCCAGCTGTCTGACACCAGTGAATATTTCTATAATCTTAATTTTTTTTTTCTATTTCCTGAGCTCAATTTACCATTCAGTCCCTTAGAACTTAAATCTTTTTTTTTTTTTTTTGAGATGGAGTCTCACTCTGTCGCCCATGCTGGAGTGCAGTGGCGCTTCCAGTGGCGTGATCTTGGCTCACTGCAAGCTCCGCCTCCTGGGTTCACATCATTCTCCTGCCTCAGCCTCCCGAGTAGCGGGGGCTACAGGCTCCCACCGCCAAGCCTGGCTAATTTTTTATATTTTTAGTAGAGACAGGGTTTCACCGTGTTAACCAGGATGGTCTCGATCTCCTGACCTCATGGTCTGCCTGCCTCAGCCTCCCAAAGTGCTGGGATTACAGGTGTGAACCACCGCACCCATCCAGAACTTAAATCTTAGTATATATATTATGCTGCTTCTAACTAAAAGAACTCTAAATAAACCTCATTTTTTCCTCACTGTCTACCTTTCTTCTGTTCCCTGCCGCCTTTTTTTTTTTTTCCTTTGAGACAGAGTCTTGCTCTGTTGCCCAGGCTGCAGTACAGTAGCACAAGCACAGCTCACTGCAACCTCTGCCTCCCGGATTCAAGTGATTCTCCTGCCTCAGCCTCCCAAGTAGCTGGGATTATAGCCATGTGCCACCACGCTCGGCTATTTTTTTTGTATTTTTAGTAGAGACGGGGTTTCTCCATATTGGCCACGCTGGTCTTGAACTCCTGACCTCAGGTGATCTGTCTGCCTTGGCCTCCCAAAGTGCTGGGATTACAGCCATAAGCCACCAGGCCCAGCCTCTCTCCCCTGCCTTCTTAAAACCTACAGGATAAGCTAGGTTTGGTAGCATGCACCTGTAATCCCAGCTACTCAGGAGGCTGAAGCGGAAGGATCGCTTGAGCCCAGGAGGTTGAGGTTGTAATGTACAGTGATCATGCCTGTGAATAGCTACTGCATTCCAGCCTGGGCAACATAGCAAGTAAGACTCCATCTCTAAAAAACAAACAAACAGGCTGGATGTGGTGGCTAACACCTGTAATCCCAGCACTTTGGGAGGCTGAGGCCGAGATGGCTGCATCACCTTAAGTCAGGAGTTTGAGACCAGCCTGGCCAACACGGTGAAACCCCATCTCTACTAAAAATACAAAACTTAGCCAGGCGTGGTGGTGAGTGCCTATAATCCCAGCTACTCGGGAGGCTGAGGCAGAAGAATCACTTGAACCCAGGAGGCAGAGGTTGCAGTGAGCCGAGATCGCGCCATTGCACTCCAGCCTGGACAATGAGTGAAATTCCGTCTCAAAACAAACAAACACAAAACAAAAACAAAACCACACAGGATAAAGTAAATCTCTTTATCATTGCACATTGACCCATTTACTTCCCTGCTCCCTCCTCCCACGTAATACTATACTTGATGTTCAGCTAATACCGAATGTCTTAAAAGTTCCACGAATGCACAGTACAGCACTATTCCACAGCCGTGTGCCTTTGCATATTGCTTATTCTTCTATCTGTAATGCACTTACCTTCTTGATATTCCTTCAAATTCTGACCATCTGGGGTCATTTTCTCTCTTTCCTTTCATATTGATAAGTAGCACTACCTTGGTGATTCTCCTGTGCTTTATTCATGCTTTCTTTTATCACTCTGTAATATATTTCTTCAACAGGATTTCTCCTTGACAAGACTGTGGTACTTGAGGGAAGGAGCCCCTGTCTTTTTCATCTCTGTAACCTCAACAGCAATACTATAATGATGGGAGTCATGAAGCCTCCTTACTTATGAAGCTTTCACTACCTGTATTTTTGGATTATTGCAGATTCAGAGACATTCATAATAATCTTAGAGTAAACTTTCAGCACTGCTAAGGGAGGGATAAACTGTATTAGAAAAAAAGTAATCTTCATAATAACCTGCATTAGATGATCATAGCTATCTCAATTTTATGAAGCTTAAGGAGATTAAGAACCTTGGGCAAATTCACACTTGCATGTGTCTGACTCCAAAACTATTTTTTCTTTTTTTTTTTCCTACTCTCCTTCCCCCTATTTTTTCATTATAAGTTGCCTCACATAATAATGCTAGTTTGTTTTTTAAAGACATACTTGAGAATATATGCTCAACTTTCAGTTGTTCCTGGGTTCAGTTTCCAGATTTTTTTTTTTTTTTTGAGACCAAGTTTCACTCTTGTTGCCCAGGCTGGAGTGCAATGGCATGATCTACGGCTCACCGCTTCCTTTGCCTCCTGGGTTCAAGCGATTCTCCTGCCTCAGCCTCCTGAGTAGCTGGGATTATAGGCACGTGCCACCACACTGAGCTAATTTTTGTATTTTTAGTAGAAACGAGGTTTCACCATGTTGGCCAGGCTGGTCTCAAACTCCTGACCTCAGGTGATCTGCCTGCCTCGGCATCCCAAAACACTGGGATTACAGGAATGAGCCACCATGCCTGGCCTGGGTTCTGGATTTTATTTATTTATTTATTTATTTATTTATTTAGATGGAGTTTCGCTCTTGTTACCCAGGTTCTGGATTTGATTGATTGATTGATTGAGATGGAGTTTCACTCTTGTTGCCCGGGTTCTGGATTTGATTGATTGATTAAGATGGAGTTTCGCTCTTGTTTTCCAGGCTGGAGTGCAATGGCGCAATCTCAGCTCAGCACAACCTCTGCCTCCTAGGTTCAAGCGATTCTCCTGCCTCAGCCTCCTGTGTAGCTGGGATTAAAGGCATGCGCCACCACGCCCAGCTAATTTTGTATTTTTAGTAGAGACGGGGTTTCTCCCTGTTGGTCAGGCTGGTCTCGAACTCCCGAACTCAGGTGATCCGCCCGCCTTGGCCTCCCAAAGTGCTGGGATTACAGGCATGAGCCACCATGCCCGGCCAGGTTCTGGATTTTAATACCCAATAGACAACACAGTAAAAATTATTATTTTTTACCCAATACAGTAAAAATTATTATAAGGGAAGAACAGAAGCCATGTGACAGTTCTGTGAATTATTAGCTGACCAAAACATGCCTGTCACTTAATATGTCAGTAATTCTAGTCTACACTAATCTTTAATGGCCAGAAGCCCTTGAACATTTTCAGAGAGGCAACAGTTCAATGACTTTTACTGCCTGCTTCATGATAGAAACATTTTGTATGGATTAGTTTATATAATGGTCTAAATCAGTTCACTCAGAACAGTCAGTAGTAGGTCATCATTATGACAGCTTCTACTATTCAGTATCTCTGCTCTTAGAAATGAGGTCTTTGGCAAACTCTTCGTGTCAAAACATAACAGTAAAAATCCGTGCGTCCTTGGGCTAGATAATTGGAGTGAGTGAAATACTGCCAGATTTTGTATAAAAGTAGTCAGAGGAGGCCGGGTGTGGTGGCTCACACCTGTAATCCCAGCACTTTGGAAGGCCGAGGCGGGGGGATCAGGAGGTCAGGAGATCGAGACCATCCTGGCTAACATGGTGAAACCCCATATCTAGTAAAAATACGAAAAAAAATTAGCCGAGCATGGTGGCGGGCATCTGTAGTCCCAGCTATTTGAGAGGCTGAGGCAGGAGAATGGTGTGGATCCAGGAGGCGGAGCTTGCAGTGAGTCGAGATCGCGCCACTGCACTCCAGCCTGGGTGACAGAGTGAGACTCCGTCTCAAAAAAAAAAAAAAAAAAAAGTAGTCAGAGGAAGGTGCTATGTTACAGTGAATACTCCCAAAACCTGTTTATCCTTTAATGTTAAATTTCCTATAAGCTTCTTAAATGATTGTAAAGAAGGGCAGAATGTATTATCCTAAAGTTGGGCAACTGAAATAACAAGATTTTATTATAGACTCTTGATGCTCTTAGAAATTACCTGTGCACTTTAGGAATGCTCTAGATTATTTGTGTGGATGAGGTGGTTCACGCCTGCTGTAATCCCAGCACTTTGGGAGGCCAAGGCAGGAGGTTCACTTGAGCCCAGGAGTTCATTACCAGCCTGGGCAACTTAGGGAGAACACAACTCTACAAAAAATGAAATAATTAGCTGGGCATAGTGTCACACACCTGTGGTCCCAGCTACTTGGGAGGCTGAGGTGGGAAAAAATAAAAATAAAAATAAAAATAAAATGCTGAGCATCTCTCAGGGTCATAACGAGCATAATCAGTCCTAACAATGAACTAGTAACTATGGTTCTGGTTACCATTTTCAGATTGCAGATGGCATCTCTTTCATGGATCTCAATAAATTTTTTTATTTTTTATTTTTATTTTTATTTTATTTTTTCAGACAGTGTCTGGCTCTGTCACCCAGGCTGGAGTTCAGTGGCGTAATTATAGCTCACTGCTGCCTCAGTCTCCTGGGCTCAAGCAGTCCCCTCACCTCAGCCTCCTGGGTACTTGGGACTACTGGCATGCATCACTAAACCTGGCTAATTTTTAAATTTTTTTCGAAGAGACAGGGAATCTCGTTCTGTTGCCCAGGCTGGAGTGCAGTGGCATAATCATAGCTTACTGCAGCCTCGAACTCCTGGGCTCAAGTGATCCCCCAACCTTGGCCTCCCAAAGTGATGGGATTACAAGTGTGAGCCACCACATCCAGCCACAATAAGTATTTTTTTTATGATACAAAATAGGAACTACCAAGATGCCCTGCACATAGTATGGTTAAGTATTGTGATTGTGTGCATACTGAATATAAAGTATACATGTGCATTGAAAAAATCAGAAAGAAATGGATCAGGGCTAAGGGCCAGGACTACACAGTTAGGAAAACTAGATAGAGGCCTCTAGGAATAAGGAGCAAAGAGTGAAGGAAAGACTATACGTGATTAATAAGAGAACAGTCTTTGAGTAGGAGATAAATGTGTACCAGGTACCTTATTAACATTTCAGTGATCTCATGATATAAAGTAGGTATTATTTTACAGATTAAGGAAATAGGGTATGGGGATTTAACTTGTTCACGATCACTTATATGTGGCAGAGCTAGAAATAAGCTTCCAAGAAGCTCCCTCTTTTGCTTCTAGAGGAAGGAAAGCTAAGTAGCAAAGCAGGTGTTAGCAATGGAAGAGAAAACACCTGGCAATCTTAGGGATCCCTGCAGGAAAAAAAAAAAAGGCTAATATTGGCAAGACATTACTTCCTAGTACCAAGCTAAAAATTAGATATCTTTATCTCCTATGGTCTGACCTATAAAAATTATTACTTATGAAAGAAATCAGCCTCAGTCATAGTAGATTCTTAGATTATGTCCAGTAGCAAAGGTATTTAACTGTGGTTTTATTTTTTCATTTTGTTGTAGGCATCTTGTACTGATGGGAGACTTTTCAATCATTTGGAGACTATTTGGCGTTTTAGCCCAGGTCTTCCTGGCTACCCAAGAACTTGTACCTTGGATTTTTCAGTAAGTCTCATAAAGCCCTTGATTTGTTCCACTTATGAGGTAAAATTGGTAAAAAGTAATCATTTTTTAGAACACAGAGGCCATAATTATATTGAATACCTTTTTCTGCATAAATGCTAATGAACATTTCTTTTTTATTCTATTTCTTGCAACCTTGAATATTCCTTCATTCTGTTTTTTACAAATCTGTAGATTGTAAGATACATGCCATGACTTTACAACCAGCTTAATAACAGTTTTAAACTTAATAATAGTTTTAAATTAACACCAAATGAAAGAACACATTGCATATAAGATGCAGAAACAGGCTAGGTGCAGTAGCCCATGCCTGGAATCCCAGCACTTTGGGAGGCTGAGTCAGGTGGATCACTTGAGGCCAGGAGTTTGAGACCAGCCTGGGGAACATAGCAAGACTTTGTCTCTAGTGAAAATAAAATTATCGGCTGGATGGGGTGGCTCACACCTATAACCCTAGCACTTTGGGAGGCTGAGGCGGGCAGATCACCTGAGGTCAGGAGTTCGAGACCAGCCTGACCAATATCATGAAACCCCGTCTCTAGTAAAAATACAAAAATTAGCCGGGCGTGGTGGCATGTGCCTGTAATCCCAGCTACTCAGGAGGCTGAGACAGGAGAATCACTTGAACCCGGGAGGCGGAGGTTGCAGTGAGCCGAGATCGTGCCATTGCACTCCAGCCTGGGCAACAAGAGCAAAACTGTCTCAAAACAAATAAAAATAAAAATAAAATTATCCTTGTGTAGTGGTGCCCACCAGTAGTCCTAGCTGCTGAGAAGGCTGACGAGCAGATCACTTGAGTCCAAGGGTTCGAGCTTGCAGTGAACTATGATCACATCACTGTACTCCATCCTGGGCAACAGAGTGAGACCCTGTCTCAAAAAATTTAAAAATAAAACATGCAGAAATAAGGTAATATATTTTTTTCATTTTTTTGCATCTAGAGTCTGGTAACTTTCTTTTTTTATTTTTTTGAGATGGGGCGCTACTTTGTCACCCAGATTGGAGTGCAGTGCTGTGATATTGACTCAGTGTAACCTCTGCTTCCCTGGCTCAAGTGATCCTCACACCTCAGCCTCCCGAGTAGCTGGGACTACAGGAATGCACCACCACACAGGCTTATTTTTGTATTCTATGTAGGGATGGGGTTTTGCCATGTTTCCCAGGCTGGTCTCGAACTTCTGGGCTCAGGAGATCTGCCTACCTTGGCCTCCCAAAGTGCTGGGATTACAGGCGTGAGCCACCGCACCCAGCCTAGTAACTTTCTTTTTCATATAATCGTAGTTATAGAAAACTTAAAGCAATTTGTGGCTTTTTCTTTGCCAACAGGTAATATGGGAGTTGTTCTCTGTACAGGCAACTTGGGCATTGAATTTTAAGAAATGGTGGCAATTTTGACTAAATTATCGTGTGCTGTTCTCAGCTCTTGAGTAATTTTCATTAAAGCATTATAGACATTAATAGGACAATTGGGGCCAAGCACAGTGGCTCACGCCTGTAATCCCAGCAATTTGGGAGGCCGAGGCGGGCAGATCACTTGAGGTCAGGAGTTTGAGACCAGCCTGGCCAACATGGCGAAACCCCATCTCTACTAAAAATACAAAAATTAGCCGGGTGTGGTGGTGCATGCCTGTAGTCCTAGCTACTTGAAAGGCTGAACCAGGAGAATCACTTGAACCCAGGAAGTGGACGTTGCAGTGATCTGAGATCGTACCACTGCACTCCAACCTGGGTGACAGAGTGAGACACTGTCTCAAAAAAAAAAAAAAAGGACAATTGGGAAAATTTGAATAAGGTCTATATAAATTAGATAATAGCATTATTATCTAGTAGTAGTAACTCCCTCTGTTAATTTCCTGATTTTGATAATTGCAGTATGGTTATTGAAGACATTAAAATAGGGAAATATGGGTAATGGGTACATGGGAATTCTTTGTATTATTTTGTAGTTTTTTTTTTTTACAAAAATGAAATTATTTCGTAATGAAAGATAAACATTTTAATATTTAGAGGATATTTGGTCCTTAAAACACAGTTCTCAAACCAGTTGTCTTGAATTCTATATGGAACAATGAGAGGGTATAAATAAAGTTCTGAAAGGGTATCCAAGGGAGAGAATACAGTCATGGGTTCTTAGTTTCTGTTTCTGGTTGGGCCAGTAAAGCCTCTTCCTCATCCCTCTTTTCCACTTAACCACTAGAGACAGAAACTAAAACCCATGGCTTCAGGCTGTTAAAAGCCTAAAACAAAACAAAACAAAACAACAACAACTACAAAATAAGGTGGATTGGACAAGCTTGTCCACATCATTGGCTACTTTAAGATTGAACCACGTGGCCGGGCGCAGTGGCTCATGCCTGTAATCCCAACACTTCGCAAGGCCTAGGTGGGTGGATTACCTGAGGTCAGGAGTTTGAGACCAGCCTGGCCAACATGGTGAAACCCCGTCTCTACTGAAAATACAAAAATTAACTGGACGTGGTGGCAGGTGCCTGTGGTCCCAGCTACTCTGGAGGCTGAGGCAGGAGAATCGCTTGAACCTAGAAGTCAGAGGTTGCATTTGAGCCGAGGTTGGGCCATTTCCAGCCTGGGCGACAGAGCAAGGCTCCATCTCAAAAAAAAAAAAAAAAAAAAAGAAAGATTAAACCACTTACACCATCTGCCCTGTGGGTTAGGCACACATGTGCATGCACACTTCCAGCCTCCTCTTCCTGCTGGTGCTTCTCAGTGATACCTATGAGAAGGATCACTTTCCTTCCTTATTTCCTTTTGTGGGATAGGATGGATCTAAAAGGGACACATTAATAAGAAGGCATAGTGATTAATGTATTCAGCAAAGGTTTTTTCCAGTCTTCTCTTATTAAGAAACAGACTTTTTCCCTTGAAATGAGATTTCATTGGCCTTCTTTATGTAAGCTTATTGTGCCAGCAATTGTGCTTGTTGCAGTAAAAGAAGATTCCCTCTTTTGTGGGGGTGCTAAAAATCCCACCTACATACATCCACACAATTCTACCTTAGATACCCAGTTCATAGTGTGAACACCACTGTCCTAAGTGGAGATTTAGTTTAAAAAAAATCTTTCTGGCTGGGCACAGTGGCTCATGCCCATAATCCCAACACTTTGGGAGGCTGAAGTGGGCAGAATTGCATTAGCCCAGGAGTTTGAGATCAGCCTGGGCAACATGGCAAAACCCCTTCTCTACGCCCCCCCCCACAAAAAAAAAAAAAATATATATATATATATATATATATATACACATATATACATATATATATATGTATATATACACGTATATATATGTATATACGTATATATATACGTATATATATACACACACACACACACAAATTAGCCACATGTGGTGGCATATGCCTGTAGTACCAGCTACTTGGGAGACAGAGGTGGGAGGATTGCTTGAGTCCAGGAGGTTGAGGCTGCAGTGAGCCGCAATTGTGCCACTGCACTCCAACCTGGGCAACAAAGCGAGAGTCCCTCTCCAGGAAAACCAAAAAAAAAAAAAAAGCAAAAAATAATTTTTTCTAAAATAATTTTCAATATTTTCCTACAGATTTCTTTTGAATTTCGATCACTTCTACATTCCCAGCTTGCCACACTCTTTTTTGATGAAGTTGTGAAGCAGATGGTAGCTGCCTTTGAAAGAAGAGCATGTAAGCTGTATGGTCCAGAAACAAATATACCTCGGGAGTTAATGCTTCATGAAGTCCATCACACATAAAGGCAAAAAAGAACTGGTGCCACCTGCTTCTGACTTTAGTTTGTTCACTTTTAGGAAGTATTTTCATGACATGTTTTCAGAAGCCAGAAAGCATTTGTTAAACGCAGCTTTGGTTATAAACCTGCACCATTGAAAATTTGCACATAGAATATAGACTCACTTGTACATAGAATTATTTCTTCAAGTATAATTCAAAATAATATGGACATTATCATGTTCTGCATTACAATAATGGGATGTCATCACCATTGCTAGAATACTGGCATGATTCTTCTGAGCAGAAGTTGAAACTGTAAATTTAAACCTTTTAATTATCACCTTACCTGAAAGAGGTTAGTTAAGATATTCACACAGTATGTATTATATTAACCATATCACACTTAAGTTATTAAATTCAGACTATTTGTAACTTATTGTTATAGGGCCTGCCGTATGGCTTAGGATATTTGAGTAATCATATATTTAAAGTAAAAACTTTGGGCTGGGCACAGTGGCTCACACCTGTAATCCCAGCACTTGGGGAAGCTGAGGTGGGCAGATCAGTTGAGGTCAGGAGTTCTAGACCAGCCTGGTCAACATGGCGAAACCCCATCTCTACTAAAAATACAAAAATTAGCTGGGCGTGGTGGCACACACCTGTAATCCCAGTTACTTGGGAGGCTGAGGCACAAGAATCGCTTGAACCCGGGAGGCGGAGGTTGCAGTTAGCCAAGATCGCCCTGCTGCACTCCAGCCTGGGCAACAGAGGGAGACTCTGTCTCCAAAAACAAAAACAAAAACTGTTAGTGAAGGTTCCCTGGGACTTTTGATATTTTAAAAATTGTTCTTATGACTAGTAGATAAATTCATTGCCATAATGAGGCTAGCTCCCAGATAAACAGTGTATTTTCTTCTTTTTTTTTTTTTTTTTGGTGAGTGGTCCAGAGCTTTAAGCTACTTTTCCAGTAGTTTGCCACTTTCTCCGAGGTAGTTTGGCTGCTCTTTCAGTAATGCTAATTGTGTGTCAAATTTTGTCTACAACAGTAGGCAACAGATGAAGATAAGTTGGTTGAATGTCTCCAGCACTATGCATCCCTATTTTCTATTTATTGTGTACACTCACTTTCAGTAATGTGTTTCAAACTGGTATTTTTTAAAAAACAAATCAATGTAAGGACTGAAGTTGAAGTAGCAATGTAATAAAGTTAATTTGTTTATTTTTTGTACAGTTAGTTTGGTTATTGAAATCTTCCTATATTGTTTAAATGTGTATTTGCATAGACATAGTAAAGTGTTACAGCATTTCATGTCTTAAAAATATCTATGAAGATATCTAAAATATCTATTTCTATGAAGAAACAGACTTTAACAAATATAAGCAAAATTCAGTTTTCTTTTAACCAGTCATTGATCTCCTGTCCTCCTTTCACTACATACCAACAACCCTCTGGCATTAAACTTCCAGTGATAGTGCTATTAACTTTGTTTCCTCAGGTCAACAAGGGACCTCAGTAATTAGTTCTCTACATAAGTATATATATGGGTATTAATTTGTTTAATAAATCTGTTTTGAGCACCTGCTTTCAATCAGACACTGGGTATAGAGTGATGAAGGATTCATATCAGCCTCTACTCATGAGGAGCCAGGTTGTGCTCTCACACAAGGTAAGCAGTATCTTTCCACTTACAGATGAGGTATTTGCCAAGAGCATAAGTAGTTTGTATATAGTTATATACCTTTTTTTTTTTTCTTTTCTTGAGACGGAGTTTCGCTTTTGTTGCCCAGGCTGGAGTGCAATGACGCGATCTCAGCTCACCGCATCCTCTGCCTCCCACGTTCAAGCAATTCTCCTGCCTCAGCCTCCTGAGTAGCTGGGATTACAGGCATGCACCACCACACCTGGCTAATTTTGTATTTTTAGTAGAAACGGGGTTTCTCCGTGTTGATGAGGCTGGCCTCAAACTCCCAACCTCAGGTGATCTGCCTGCCTCAGCCTTCCTAAGTGCTGGCATTACAGGCGTGAGCCACTGTCCCTGGCCAGTGTACCAATGTAGCTTTTTAAATAACAAAGTTTTTTTTTTTTTTTTGGCTGGGCACGCTGGCTCATGCCTGCAATCCCAGCACTTTGGGAGGCTGAGGCAGGCAGATCACGGGGTCAAGAGATTGAGACCATCCTGGCCAACATGGTGAAACCCTGTCTCTACTAAAAATACAAAAATTAGCTGGGTGTGGTGGCGTGCGCCTGTAGTCCCAGCTACTCGGGAGGCTGAGGCAGGAGAATCACTTGAACCCAGGAGGCGGAGGTTGCAGTGAGCAGACATCACATCACTGTATTCCAGCCTGGCGACAGAGGAAGATTCCACCTCAAAAAAAAAACAAAAAACAAAAAACTTTTTTTTGTTGTTTCGTTTTGTTTTTTGTTTTTTTGAGACAGAGTCTCAACTCTGTTGTCCAGGCTGGAGTGCAGTGGCACAATCTCGGCTCACTGCAACCTCCGCCTCCCAGGTTCAAGTGATTCTCCTGCTTCAGCCTCTCAAGTAGCTGGAGAGTATCAGCGCGCACCACCACATCGGCTAATTTTTGTATTTTTTAGTGGAGACGGTTTCACCATGTTTCCCAGGCTGGTCTTGAACTCCTGACCTTAAATGATCTGCCGGCCTTGGCCTCCCAGGGTGTTGGGATTATAGGCGTGAGCTACTGCACCCGGCCACAAAGTTTTTTTAAAATGGCAAAGTCATTTAAAGCTTTTTAAAAATAAGACTCAGACATTTTATTATCTCCATGTACTGTATTCTCTTTTTTAAAAAATTATTTATTTATTTATTTATTTTTAGAGACAGAGCTCCCTTTGTTGCCCAGGCTGGTCTCAAACTTCTGGGCTCGAGCACTCCTCCTGCCTCAGCCTCCCAAAGTGTTGGGATTGCAGGCCTTAGCCACCATGTCATGCCTGTATTCTCTTTTGATGGAAATAGGAACCCATACTTTATCACTCCTTTTACAAATGCCAGCCAGGTACAGTGGCTCACACCTGTATTCCCAGCACTTTAGGAGGCTGAAGTGGGTGGATTGCTTGAGCCCAGGAATTTGAGACCAGACTGGCAACATGATGAAGCCCCATCTCTACAAAAAATACAAAAACTCATTTCCCCTTTGCGAGGGTGCTCATTGGTTTATGTTAAATTTTAAGGAAGTTGTAAACTTGGGGCTAAACTCAGTTGCCTATGTCTCTCAAATTCTAGAAATTAGTACTAAAATTATCCAGGTGTGGTGGTATGTGCCTATAGTCCCCGCTACTCAGGAGGCTGAGGCAGGAGGATAGCTTGAGCCTAGGAGGTCGAGGCTGCAGCGACCCGTGATCATGCCACTGCGTCTCAGCCTGGGCAACAGAATGAGACTTTATCTCCAAAAAGAGACAAAAATGGTTCTAGTAGTGTTCTAATAGTTAACTCCAGTGTTCCCTTTATACAACAAACACAGTGATCATTTGAGTGTTAACAAATGGATCTTGGGTCTTTGCAGGTACTTAAGGCCAAGTTTAGAGTGTCAGAGTTTATATATCTGGAGTCCATCTGATTCTGCGTAACAGCATTCTAAGCTCAGACCTTCCAAGAAGGAGATAGACCTGGTCAGGAGTTTTTCTGAGGGCAATTTTACGATACTCTCCTTTTATTTTTCCTCCCCTGTTTATAAGAGAAAGAGTTCATAAGATCGTGATATATAGACCTCTGGAATTTCATGGGACTGACCACCTCAGTTTTCAAGGCTCAAGTTTTTAGGCATTTAACAAAATTATTTTGTTTTGCACACTTACATAGCACTAGATGCCAGGCAGTTTAAAATGCCTTGTAAACATTTAATCATAACTTTTTGAGGTAGATACTATTATCCTCATTTTACATAGAAAAAGTTTTATAAAGAGAGGTTAAGTAACTTTTCTAAGGTCACAGTGACTGGTAAAGACAGGATGAAAACCCCACACATTCTGGCTCTAATATCTATGCTCTCTTGTTTGCTTTATCTAGCCCAACAGTCTTGAGGCCATGACTTCTGATTCTGTGGTGGGCAGGTCTATGCAAACCTAGCCACAAAAGCTGAGGAAACTGAGAGGCAGAAGAAAGGTGGACAAATCCAGTTTCTCAGAAAGAAACATTTAATAGGGACCTACACACAGGAGCAGAAGCCATGTTTCGGGGCGGCTGCAAGATAAGATGGTGGATCCCCTGATGGATCATCATGGTCCCAGGGCTTATATACCTTAGGCAACTAAGGGGCGGGATTTGTAGTATGTGTTACAAAGCAACATCAAGCTTGTTTTGACCTAAGGGCAAGATTTGCAGTGAACAGTAGATAAAGTAGAACTCTTAGAGGCATTGTAGACTTAAAACTTGGCATCTATGCTTTACATATAATAAGGGGGAAAACAATATCATGTCTATAAACTTTTTGAAAATGGCATCTGGCCAGTGGAATCTGAGTGGAAGACTGGTGGGATGGGGCTGTTAGATAAGATTTTTCTCTTTGTGGGAGGATCCTTCGAAGAGAAATTCTCCTTATTTTTACCTGATTTGAGAACATGAAGTTTGTAGCTACATCTGCCATCTTTTCGCTATGAGGAAGAGCCAAGGTAATTCAGAGAAGCCAACTCAGAGTTCTAACATCATTAAGGGTGAATGAACCAACCCTGTAGTTGCCAACTTTGCACTTTTGGTTATGTGAGATAACAGACATCTAGTGTTGAATTCACTTTTAGTCTGGTATCAGTGGTTACTTGCAGCCGCCCTTCTGCCCCAGTCTGAACTGGTTGCTCTCCAGGATGTTGCACAGCTATAATTGCAGGGCTTCCTTGCAATCATCCTGGGACTTCCCTTCCTCTTTCCTCTTTGGGACCTGCTATTTCCTGAATTTTTGGCTTCCTCTTATTTTGATGTGCTCTCTCAAAATGCTGGGGCAAATCCACTAGTGGCTTCCTGAGAAAGGGCTAGTGAGAGTAAATTTTTTTTTTTTTTTTGAGACAGAGTCTCACTCTGTCACCCAGGCTGGAGTGCAGTGGCGCAATCTCGGCTCACTGCAGCCTCCGCCTCGCGGGTTCAAGCGATTCTCCTGCCTCACCAGTAGCTGGGATTACAGGTGCCCACCACCATGCCCAGCTAATTTTTTTGTATTTTTAATAGAGATGGGGTTTCACCACGTTGGTCAGGCTGGTCTTGAACTCCTGACCTTGTGATCCGCCCACTCAGCCTCCCAAAGTGCTGGGATTACAGGTGTGAGCCACAGCACCCGGACTCAAGTTTTTATTTTTATACTTTCTTTTTTTGTATTAAGAAAAGCATGGGCAGACACGGTGGCTCACACCCATAATCCCAGCACTTTGGGAGGCTGCAGTAGGCGGATCACCTGAGGTCATGAGTTTGAGACCAGTCTGGCCAACATGGTGAAACCCCATCTCGACTAAAAATACAAAAATAGCCAGGCATGGTGGTGGGGGCCTGTAATCCTAGCTACTCAGGAGGCTGAGGCAGGAGAATCACTTGAACCCGGGAGGCGGAGGTTGCAGTGAGCCGAGATTGTGCCACTGCACTCCAGCCTGGGCGACAAAGAACAAGACTCCGTCTCAAAAAAAAAAAAAAAAAAAAAAAAGAAAGAAAGAAAAGCATAATTACTACAAATTACAAAGGATTAAAGCCAGACTGGAATAATGAATGAATCACATCAGCCCAGAAAGCAGATACTCTCAATAATATTAATATTATAATACAAGCTTGTTCAAGTATTTTACATTTTTTGTGTGTGGCCTTTTTAAGTGTGATATCCTGGCACATAGTAAAGATAATGTACTATGAACGTAAGCCAGATGGCCAGTTTCACTCTCCAGTGAGAAACAGGCTGTAAGTTCTTACCTTCTCTGCCATCAACATGGCTGAAGGTAGAGACGGGTGGGGGCTGGGGAAAATCCAGGGACCCTTTCACACAGGAGGAACTCTAGGGTTCCATCCAGGAGGGTGCCAGATAATCCAGATTACTCTACTTAGGCTGTTGGCAAAAAACAACCCTCATCCTCCCTAACTAGTCACTGATGATCCTTGCCCCTACTCCTCACTTCCAGGGCCTTCTGAGCTGCCTACTTTCTTTTGTAAATTCAATCATCAGGAAAGGGAAAAGAGCTATAATTGAACAAAACTTAAGACGTGTAATAACTGTGATGGGCTCAGCACCTCTATCTGAGCTGGGGCAGGGGCGGATGGCCCTTCTCTATTAGTGCATTTGCTTGTCACAAATACATTGGTCCTATATTCATGTGTCTTCAGAAAGTGAAGAGGTAAACTTTGCAACATTAACTCCTAACATGTTACGAAAAGTCATTTGCCAGGCAGAGTGGTGCATGTCTGTGGTTCCAGCTACTCAGGAGGCTGAGGTGGGAGGATTGCTTGATACCATGAGGTCAAGGTTGCAGGGAGCCAAGATCGCACCACTGCACTCCAGCCCGGGCAACAGAGTGAGACCCTGTCTCAAAAAAAAAAACAAAAACAAAAACAAAAAGTCCACGCCCCCACCATCACCAGCCTCTGTTGAAATGAAGTCCTCACTTATGTGCCCCAAAAGAAATTCCTCTTGCAGGGGTATCTGTGAAGAGAATGGCAGCCCCCGGCCTGTGGGTAAACTCTAGATAAGAGCGGCCTTTTTCCAGACCCCAAGGCTTCCTTGTGTACCCAAACCCAGCAGAGGACAAACACTTAGGTTTTTTTTTGGTGCTGGATACAGCACTGGGCTAAGTGAGCTGAAGGAAAGGGGTAACAAAGGGAAGGAGGAGGGGGTCCGGGAGTTCAGTGTCTGGTGCAGTGTAGGGCAGTCACCAGACTGGGTGAGGAAAGGCCTCAGATCCCACCGTCATGGCAGAGACTAGACCCTCATCCTTGGTTTGAGACGAATTGAGATGGGCTTCCCACATACCAACCACTGGGAGGGCAAAGGTGGAGAAAGGGCACAGGTTGAAAGCAATGAGGTGCCCAAGATAAAGGCCAAGCCCTTGTCAGCATGGGATATTGTCTCCTACTCCCAACCTTTGAGCCCAGCAGAGGAACCAGTTGAAAAGCAGAGCCCAAGACATTTCAGTAAGTCAGCAACAAGACCACAAACTTCTCTGTCTTGCCCAGTACTGAGAGTCGTGACCGTATCCGATACACATCCTACCTAGTCTGTGTAGCTCAGCCCTTCATCACTGATAGCTTCTGATGGCAGTCGACTCCAGCTATTTCATTGTCATTCACATGCAGTCAGTGGCTGAAGAAAGGTATACTCTTATGTCGACATAGACCTTGCTGCCACAGGGCTTCACCAACTGACAGGATTCCACCCAGCCCCCAAGTCCTCCTCACCCCTCATTCCCAGGTGGGCAGAGGTAGATGGCTTGCAGAGCGGGGGGATGCAAGATGGGGAGACTCCACCAGACCCTAGGAGGAGAATTAATGTTGCCTTTCTAGGGTCGTTATTATACCTTTCTGGTCATTCAGGACATTAACTAGACTCAAGAAGAGGCACCATCTTAATCCAACTACAGTTGCAGGATCTGGGTTACTGTTAATGTGTAACCTGGTTGGTTGCACAGGTCAGTGTGATGCTGAGCCTTTACCCTTAGGATGAGTCCCTTTTTTGTTTGTTTTTTATAACAAAGCTTTACTTGTTACGTTATGAGGTTCTTAGGTCCTTTGTGTTTCAGAGATGTTAATGTTTAGAGAATTGATACCTTTCCTGGAAATGAAGTACTCTTTTAATTTGTTAGGTACCTAACTCTTATTTATGGTATATTGACCTGATTTGTCTATTAACATAGATATGTTTCATAAGTAGAAACTATTTACAAGACAAAATGCTGAAAATTATATAGAAAGTTATGTCTATCTCATGAATTTATTAATATTCATGAGTTCCTCTCAAAAATTTAGTTCCCTGGAAAGTTCAGTATTTCTGGAGAATTTGGATAACCTCTGCCCCCTGGGTTCAAGCGATTCTCCTGCCTCAGCCTCCTGAGTAGCTGGGACTATAAGCACGCACCACCATGCCCCACTAATTTTTGTATTTTTAGTAGAGATGGGGTTTCACCATGTTGGCCAGGCTGGTCCTGAACTCCTGACCTCAGGTGATCTGCCCGCCTCAGCCTCCCAAAGTGCTGGGATTACAGGTGTGAGCCACTGCACCTGGCCATGACTCTTACCAGTTTTATTTCACTCCTTCCTGTTTACACATATAGAAACAAGAATATAATCTATGCTTTATCAGCAGACATATGTGTCAGCACTCCTGCTTATTTTATTTATTTATTTTTAGACAGAGTTTTGCTCTTGTTGCCCAGGCTGGAGTGCAAAGGCATGATCTCGGCTCACCGCAACGTCTGCCTCCCAGGTTCAAGTGATTCTCCTGCCTCGGCCTCCCAAGTAGCTGGGATTACAGGCATGCACCACCATTCCCTGCTAATTTTGTATTTTTAGTAGAGACGGGGGTTTCTCCATGTTGGTCAGGCTGGTCTCGACTCCCGACCTCAGGTGATCTGCCTGCCTTGGCCTCCCAAAGTGCTGGGATTACAGGTGTGAGCCACCACGCCTAGCAACACTCCTGCTTATTAGAAACATAATATTCACCAGTTTATATTAGAACTTTTTCTGTTCTTTATATTCACTTTCCTCTTTTAAGTATCATTATGAACACTTTGCTTTGTTCTAAGTAACCATAATGATTTGTTATTGATACTCAAAACGTACTAACTTTGCCCAGTAAACCCCTTGGGCAGGCTCTTCTTTTTTGGGGGTGAGGGGGCCAGAATCTCATTCTGTCGCCCAGGCTGGAGTGCAGTGGTGCTATCTCGGCTCACTGCAACCTCCACCCCCACAGGTTCAAGCAATTCTCCTGCCTCAGCCTCCTGAGTAGCTGGGACTACAGGCGCGAGCCACCATGCCCTGCTAATTTTTGTATTTTTAGTAGAGACGGGGTTTCACCATATTGGTCAGACTGGTCTCGAACTCTTGACCTCAGGTAATTGCAAAAAGCTGGGCGTAGTGGCTCACATCTGTAATCCCAGCACTTTGGGAGGCCCAGGTGGGTGGATCACTTGAGGTCAGGAGTTCAAGACCAGCCTGGCCAACATGGTGAAACCTCGTCTCTACTAAAAATACAAAAATTAGCTGGGCATGGTGGCGGGCGCCTGTAGTCCCAGCTATTCTGGAGGCTGAGGCAGGAGAATCGCTTGAACTGGGGAGGCAGAGGTTGCAGTGAGCCGAGATCAAGCCACTGCACTCCAGCCTGGGCAACAGAGACTCCGTCTCGAAACAAAACAAAACCAAAAGTGAAGTAGAGGTTCCTCTTCAAAGAGACTTTCCTCCCTGTCTAATTAAGAAGAAATACCAACTTCTCCTAGGAGCAAAATTTATTCAAAGACCTGTGCTAACATTCTTAAATATCTGCTAGCCATAATAAAGAAATCAATATACTTTGTGTTCTTAGCTCCCACAATTTAGCCTAAATATTTGCCCTGGCATGCTTATACTGGTCCAAGCAAACATTAGGTCATAGCCTGTTCCTCTTCCTTATTTGGAGGTGTTTTTTTTTTTACCTTTCTCAGCATCCCGCAAGTTACTTCCTCCTGCCTGTATTCTCCTTGCCTTTGCCTCTTTTGAAAAGTTCTAAGTTGCTAGCCAATGGGGACAAATAGAGAATGTGAGGTCCCATTCCAGTGAATGGAAACCAGGCACAGCAGTAGGGTGGATGCACCAGGTTATAAATGACCCTGTCTCTTTTGTTCGGTGTACTCTCGTGGCAAAACTGCTGGTGAGTGTACCCTTTCTGCAGAAAGTAAAAATGGCCTTGCTGAGAAAATTAAATATATGTTCAAGTGCTATTTCTTTATAGCACCGGGGAACAAGCATTTCTAACATCCACCCACCTCAGCCTCCCAAAGTGCTGGGATTACAGGTGTGAGCCACGGCACCCAGCCATGCTGGCTCTTGTCTTTAAAACTTCTCTGTGGCTGGGCAAGGTGGTTCACGCCTGTAATCCCAGCACTTTGGGAGGCCAAGGCCAGCAGATCACTTGAGGTCAGGAATTTGAAACGAGCCTGACCAGTATGGCAAAACCATCTCTACTAAAAATACAAAAATTAGCCAGGCATGGTGGTGTGCACCGGTAGTCCTAGCTACTTAGGAGCCTAAGGCAGGAGAATCACTTGAACCCAGGAGGTGGAGATTGCAATGAGCCGAGATCGCCCCACTGTCTGCACTCCAGCCTGGATGACAGAGTAAGACTCTGTCTCAAAAAAAAAAAAAAAAAAAAAAAAAAAGCTCTGGGTGTTTTTGAAAGTATTCTCATTGCCAGGCAGGAACAGGGTGTTGCAGATCCATCCTGACATTTTTCCTGCCTCAAGACATGGATTCAACTGCTACTCAAGGAATCCTGTTTCCTTTTAGTGGAGTATTAAATATCTAGGTGCTGGAGATGTACGTAAGAATTGTTGATGGGCAGCTGGTGGCGGTGGTTCACACCTGTAATTCCAGCACTTTCAGAAGCCGAGGTGGGTGGATCATGAGGTCAGGAGTTTGAGACCAGCCTGACCAACATGGTAAAACCCCATCTCTACTAAAAATATGAAAATTAGCCAGGCATGGTGGTGCACACCTGTAATCCCAGCTACTTAGGAGGGTGAGGCAGAAGAATTGCTTGAACCCAGGTGGAGGTTACAGTGAGCTGAGATTGCACCACTGCACTCCAGCCTGGCAATAGGGTGAAACTCCATCTCCAAAAAAAAAAAAAAAAAAAAAAAAAAGAATTATTGATGGGCACAAGTGCTACTGTTGCTGCTACTACTATTAGACCTTTTTTTTAGTGACAAAGTCAAAGATTTCATTTAAGGTTACTAAATTCAAACTATTCAGACTGAGTATTTTCAGTATGACAAACTACACTGTACTTTTCTTACTCCAACATTGATGGTCCACATTTAACTGTTTGAAAATCAGACTGGGCCAGGGGTGGTGGCTCACGCCTGTAATCCCAGCACTTTGGGTGGCTGAGGATCACGAGATTGCGCCACTGTGCTCCAGCGGGTGATGGTGAGACTCCATCTCAAAAAGTCTTAAGTAACTTCCACAGTCTCAGAGCTGTTAAGTGGTAGACCCAAATTTGAACCAGTGTTTCATTTAAACACTTAAGATCTCAACCTAAGAACAAGCTAAGCAGGGTCTAGGCAATTGTTGCAAGAAACCTGAAAGCTGCAGCCAGAGGAATTGGGAAATTCCGTTTTCCTTTCTTAGCTTGAGAAGGAAAGCACCCAAGGTTACACTTATTGGTGAAACCAGAACTAGACCACAAACCTGAATTCCTAAGTCCTATCACCGTTTTTTTCTTTTCTCACTGCAACCTCTGCCTCCCGGGTTCAAGCGATTCTCCTGCCTCAGCCTCCCAAGTAGCTGGGATTACAGGTGCCTGCCACCATGCCCAGCTAATTTTTTGTATTTTTAGTAGAGTCGGGGTTTCACCATGTTGGTCAGGCTGGTCTTGAACTTCTGACCTCAGGTGATCTGCCCGCCTCAGCTTCCCAAAGTGCTGGGATTACAAGCATGAGCCACTGGGCCCGGCTGGCAGTTAGACCTTCAGAGTCTCAGTTTATATAAATGTAGCATAGGCTTAATAGTCCCAAACCTAACATTGAGGGTTAAAATTACCTATCCTGATGTCTAATGCATAGCAAACACTTGGTTAGTTTTTCCTCTCCTATTAATCTCTAGTCTTCTGTCACTCTCCCTGCTCTAATACGAACTAAGTCCAGGTGTTTCTTATTCCTTGTTCTTCTAATAAACTAGTTGGCCTCTTAAGATGTAAATTATCTCCCTAGATTTCTTTTACTTGAGTTTGCTTGCTTGCCACTTTTACAGCCCAAACTACATTCTAGACAAGATTTCTTCAGTTAACATGCCTTTTATTCAATCCCCTCTCATTTGCTGACCAATCCTCCTTTTTTAAATTTCTTTGGGTACCTAGCAGGTGTATTTATTTCTGGGGTACAAGAGATGTTTTGATGTAGGCATGCAGTGTGAAATAATTATATCATGGAGAATCATATCATGGAGAATCATATCATGGAAATGGAGGGGTGATCATCATCACCCCTCAACCATTTATCCTTTGTTACAATCCAATTACATTCTTTTATTTTTAAATGTACAATTATTATTGACTATAGTCACCCCGTTGTGCTATCAAATAGATCCTTTTTTTTGTACCCCAAACACAACGAAATTACCAAAGCCAAAGGTATTCTAGGTACAGGATTTCAAGTGACTGACTTTTCATGTGATGATGGACTTTATTTCTCCCCTCTACTTCTGTCCAAGGTAAGGACAGCAAAAATATTTGCCTCAATGCCTTGCTTGCAGCAGCAGCCCAAAGGCCATGCTGAGGAGCTGGAGTTCCCTCCAACCTCCCAGATTTTACAGCTCCAAGAGAGATTACATCCTTGCACCGGGGAAAATAGAAACTGTCTTTCCCCATTATCAATGGAATAATGTAGTTCAGTCTGCAACAAAGAGAAACATGAAAATATCATAGATAGGATAATGTTTTACACACATGCCAGCCTGCCCTTCAACTGGCTTTCAATTTTCAGTATCTTCTAATCATGGAAATGCTAACACAATTATTAACTTTAAACAAATTTTTATTACACAAAGGTTGTCACATAATTGGATACTTCTCTACTTTGTACACAATTATTCTCACTCTCCACAGAAAGGCTGCTTAACTTCTCATCTGGTGGTGGCAAGCACTAAAATCCTGATTTTAACAGAATAGTAGTAAAAATGCCTCAGTGATTTAAGTTGAAAGCAGTACACTGGTACATGGCTCTTGTACCCAGTATCAGGAATGTACAAATGTTTTTTATTCAAAAATACAAAATAAATTATCTGTAGGCATGGACAATGACAGCAGTAAACCATTATATATTTTGTCAACTGAAACCAGTAACTGATGGTTATAGTGATTTTCAGCCAGCCTTTTTCTTCATTTTCTCCAACTGACTTCTCTGAAGTTATTGGTGAGGAACACTGCCTTGGGCTTCCTGTCACAGTTCATTAATAAAGGTAAAGCACTAGTCTAGGAGTTAGAACATGCCACCTCCCATACCACCTCCCATTCCACCCATTGCACCCATTCCAGGGTCCTTCTCTTCTTTAGGAATTTCTGTGACTACAACTTCTGCTGTAGTTAACAGAGAGGCCACACCAGCAGCATCCAATAAAGCAGTTCTCACAACCTAGAAAAAAATTTAATTAATTAGTTTTCCCTTAGTAAAATATGAGCAAGACTTATTGAAAATTTCTGTCTGGGCATGGTGGCTCACACCTGTAATCCAGCACTTTGGGAGGCTGAGGCAGGTAGATGACTTGAGGTTAGGAGTTCAAGACCAGCCTGGCCAACATGATGAGACCCCGTCTCTACTAAAAATACAAAAATTAGCCAGGCATGGTGGTGCATGCCTGTAATCCCAGCTACTCAGGAGCCTGAGGCAGGAGAATCGCTTGAACCCAGGAGGTGGAGGTTGTCACTGCCTGCACTCCAGCCTGGGCGACACAGCGACTCTGTCTTCAAAACAAAACAAAACCCTGTTCTGCGTATCTTGGAAAGTATTCTTACTGCCAGGCAGGAACAGGGTGTTCCAGATCCATCCTGATTTTTTCCTGCCTCCAGGCATGGACTCAACTGCTACTCAAGGGATCCTGCTTCCTTTTAGTGGAGTATTAAATATCTAGGTGCTGGAAATGTACATGAGAATTGTTGATGGGCACAAGAGCTATTGCTGTTGCTACTGCTATTAGACTATTTTTCTGGTGACAAAATCAAAGATTTGGGATGTGAGGATACATTAACAAAATGAACAACAAAAGAATTTTTAGAAAGTGTTCAACCATTTACCTTTGTTGGGTCAATGATTCCTTTTTCCACCATATTCACAAAATCTCCAGCCATAGCATCATAACCAACTTCTGAGGAACTTTGCATAATTTTCTCAACTATCAAAGATCCTTCAACACCTGCATTCTTAGCAATGGTCATTGCTGGAATTTTGAGTGTTCTTTTAATAATTTCTATACCTACAGAGAAATTTCAGCAAAATTTTAATACTTTCATTTGTAAATATTGTAACACATTTATAAGTTGTGAGGATATTGATGTAGGGAAATCCCAATCCTACTACAGATCAAATCATTTCCTCTGAAAAAGATGTGATGCATGTTTAGCTCTGACATTAGCACTATTCTACTTCTGTTATTCAGGAAATGAATGTGCTATTCCATTTAGGGGACTGCAACATTATTATTCTAAGAAAAACTAAAATCAGGCCACAAACTCATTTAAAAGGTAACTTTTTACCAATTTTTTGATCTTCATTAGCTGGAGTCAATGAGTCCAAGGCTGGAATGCATCGAAGGAGGGCACAACCCCCTCCCAAAACAATGCCTTCTTCAACAGCAGCTCTTGTAGCATTAAGGGCATCTGTAACTCTGTCTTTCTTTTCATTCACTTCAACATCACTTGTCCCACCAACCTAAAGACGAAAAGAATTCCAGTTAGTATGGCCTCTTCATTCAAGATGCTAATTGCCAAGTCATTTAAAAGCAGTTTACTTAAAAAGCAATCCTGAGGTGGGCGTGGTGGCTCACACCTGTAATCCTAGCACTTTGGGAGGCTGAGGTGAGTGGATCACTTGAGGTCAGGAGTTTGAGACCAGCCTGACCAACATGGTGAAGCCCTGTCTCCACTAAAAATACAAAATTAGCCAGGCATGGTGGCAAGTGCCTGTAATCCCAGCTACTCGGGAGGCCAAGGCAGGAGATTCGCTTGAACCCAAGAGGCGGAGGTTGCAGTGCGCCGAGATCGCACCACTGCATCCCAGCCTGGGTGACGAAGAGCTCAAAACAAAACAAACAAAATTCCACTATGAAGTTAATTCCTCAAGTATTCGTTTAGTTCTATGGTACTACTGGGGAATACTACAGAAGCAAAATCATTCTTGGACTCAGAACCCAAGAAACTTATTCATAATAATGAATGTTACCTTCAGCACAGCCACTCCATCTGAAAGTTTTGCAAGCCGTTCATTCAGTTTTTCCTTTTCATATTCACTAGTTGTGACATCTAACTGCTCAATGATTTCTTGAATACGTTTTTCAATTTGAGCCTTGTCACCTTTTCCTTTTAAGAGCATGGCATCGTCTTTGGTCACAATGACCTCTCCAACTTTTCCTAAGTCATGAGGCTGAACGTCTTCAAGATTCAGGGTCAATCCCTCTTCTCCAAACACCTACAAAAAGAGTTAAACGTAAACCTGTTGTAGGTTACAGTTTCTGCCATTATACCAAGTTTATTAATACACCATGCAAGAGAATCATCAAAATACTTTATTTCTTTGAAATGAGAGATTTTAAGATCACTGTTAGTCCAGAACAAGACTTGAGTATAGTCTCTTTCACTGCATTTCCAAATTCTCAATTCTCACAACTGTGGTAATTATTACCAGCCTTACTTGAGAAAAAAACATCGAAGGTCACACTTACTGGTAGAGCCAGGACAAGACCATAGGCCTTGACTCTCAAGTCCTACATCCCTTGTAGCATACACTTCTACCTTTCAAAACTGAGCTCGGTAGCTCATGCCTGTAATCCCAGGACTTTG